>NC_000018.10:17853482-18179120 GCF_000001405.40 Homo sapiens
GGAGCGCTTTCCGGCCTAAGGTGAAAAAGGACATATCTTCCCATAAAAACTAGACAGAAGCATTCTCAGAAACTTACTCGTGATGTGTGTCCTCAACTAAAGGAGTAGAACCTTTCTATTCATAGAGAAGTTTTGAAACGCTCTTTTTGTGGAATCTCCAAGTGGATATTTGGCTAGTTTTGAGGATTTCGTTGGAAGCGGGAATTCATACAAATTGCAGACTGCAGCGTTCTGAGAAACATCTTTGTGATGTTTGTATTCAGGACACAGAGATGAACATTCCCTATCATAGAGCAGGTTGGAATCACTCCTTTTGTAGTATCTGGAAGTGGACATTTGGAGCGCTTTCAGGCCTATGTTGAAAAAGGAAATATCTTCCCATAACAACTAGACACAAGCATTCTCAGAAACTTGTTTGTGATGTGTGACCTCTATTGACAGAGTTGAACCTTTCTTTTCATAGAGCAGTTTTGAAACACTCTTTTTGTAGAATCTGCAAGAGGATATTTGCATAGCTTTGAGGATTTCGTGGGAAACGGGATTGTCTTCAGGTAAAATCTAGACAGAAGCATTCTCAGAAACTTCTTTGGGATGTTTGCATTCAAGTCACAGAGTAGAACATTCCCTTTGGTAGAGCAGGTTTGAAACCCTCTTTTTGTAGTATCTGGAAGTGGACATTTGGAGCGCTTTCAGGCCCATGTTGGAAAGGGAAATATCTTCCCGTAACAACTAGGCAGAAGCATTCTCAGAAACTTATTTGAGATGTGTGTACTCAACTAAGAGAATTGAACCACCGTTTTGAAGGAGCAGTTTTGAAACACTCTTTTTCTGGAATCTGCAAGAGTATATTTGCCTAGCCTTGAAGATTTCGTTGGAAACGGGATTGTCTTCAGATAAAATCAAGACAGAAGCATTCTCAGAAACTTCTTTGGGATGTTTGCATTCAAGTCACAGAGTAGAACATTCCCTTTGGTAGAGCAGGTTTGAAACACTCTTTTTTTAGTATATGGAAGTGGACATTTGGAGCGCTTTCAGGCCTACGTTGGAAAAGGAAATATCTTCCCATAACAACTAGACAGAAGCATTCTCAGAAACTAGTTTCTGATGTGTGTCCTCAACTAACACAGTTGAACTTTTCTTTAGACAGAACAGTTTTGAAACACTCTTTTTGTGGAATCTGCAAGTGGATATTTGGCTAGATTTGAGGATTTCGTTGGAAACGGGATTACATATAAAAAGCAGACAGCAGCATTCTCAGAAAGTTCTTTGTGATGATTGCATTCAAGTCACAGAATTGAACATTCCCTTTCACAGAGCAGGTTTGAAACCCTCTTTTTGTAGTGTGTGTAAGTGGACATTTGGAGCGCTTTCCGGCCTAAGGTGAAAAAGGAAATATCTTCCCATAAAAACTAGACAGAAGCATTCTCAGAAACTTACTCGTGATGTGTGTCCTCAACTAAAGGAGTAGAACATTTCTATTCATAGAGAAGTTTTGAAACGCTCTTTTTGTGGAATCTCCAAGTGGATATTTGGCTAGTTTTGAGGATTTCGTTGGAAGCGGGAATTCATACAAATTGCAGACTGCAGCGTTCTGAGAATCATCTTTGTGATGTTTGTATTCAGGACACAGAGATGAACATTCCCTATCATAGAGCAGGTTGGAATCACTCCTTTTGTAGTATCCGGAAGTGGACATTTGGAGCGCTTTCAGTCCTATGTTGAAAAAGGAAATATCTTCCCATAACAAGTAGACACAAGCATTCTCAGAAACTTGTTTGTGATGTGTGCCCTCTACTGACAGAGTTGAACCTTTCTTTTCATAGAGCAGTTTTGAAACACTCTTTTTGTAGAATCTGCAAGAGGATATTTGCATAGCTTTGAGGATTTCGTGGGAAACGGGATTGTCTTCAGGTAAAATCTAGACAGAAGCATTCTCAGAAACTTCTTTGGGATGTTTGCATTCAAGTCACAGAGTAGAACATTCCCTTTGGTAGAGCAGGTTTGAAACACTCTTTTTGTAGTATCTGGAAGTGGACATTTGGAGCGCTTTCAGGCCCATGTTGGAAAGGGAAATATCTTTCCCGTAACAACTAGGCAGAAGCATTCTCAGAAACTTATTTGAGATGTGTGTACTCAACTAAGAGAATTGAACCACCGTTTTGAAGGAGAAGTTTTGAAACACTCTTTTTCTGGAATCTGAAAGAGTATATTTGCCTAGCCTTGAGGATTTCGTTGGAAACGGGATTGTCTTCAGATAAAATCTAGACAGAAGCATTCTCAGAAACTTCTTTGGGATGTTTGCATTCAAGTCACAGAGTAGAACATTCCCTTTGGTAGAGCAGGTTTGAAACACTCTTTTTTTAGTATCTGGAAGTGGACATTTGGAGCGCTTTCAGGCCTACGTTGGAAAAGGAAATATCTTCCCATAACAACTAGACAGAAGCATTCTCAGAAACTAGTTTCTGATGTGTGTCCTCAACTAACACAGTTGAACATTTCTTTAGACAGAACAGTTTTGAAACTCTCTTTTTGTGGAATCTGCAAGTGGCTATTTGGCTAGATTTGAGGATTTCGTTGGAAACGGGATTACATATAAAAAGCAGACAGCAGCATTCTCAGAAAGTTCTTTGTGATGATTGCATTCAAGTCACAGAATTGAACATTCCCTTTCACAGAGCAGGTTTGAAACACTCTTTTTGTAGTGTGTGTAAGTGGACATTTGGAGCACTTTCCGGCCTAAGGTGAAAAAGGAAATATCTTCCCATAAAAACTAGACAGAAGCATTCTCAGAAACTTACTCGTGATGTGTGTCCTCAACTAAAGGAGTAGAACCTTTCTTTCGCAGAGAAGTTTTGAAACGCTCTTTTTGTGGAATCTGCAAGTGGATATTTGGCTAGTTTGGAGGATTTCGTTGGAAGCGGGAATTCATACAAATTGCAGACTGCAGCGTTCTGAGAAACATCTTTGTGATGTTTGTATTCAGGACACAGAGTTGAACATTCCCTATCATAGAGCAGGTTGGAATCACTCCTTTTGTAGTATCTGGAAGTGGACATTTGGAGCGCTTTCAGGCCTATGTTGGAAAAGGAAATATCTTCCCATAACAACTAGACAGAAGCATTCTCAGAAACTTATTTGAGATGTGTGTACTCAACTAAGAGAATTGAACCACCGTTTTGAAGGAGCAGTTTTGAAACACTCTTTTTCTGGAATCTGCAAGTGGATATTTGGCTAGCTTTGGGGATTTCGCTGGAAGCGGGAATACATATAAAAAGCACACAGCAGCGTTCTGAGAAACTGCTTTCTGATGTTTGCATTCAAGTCAAAAGTTGAACACTCCCTTTCATAGAGCAGTCCTGAAACACTCCTTTTGTAGTATCTGGAACTGGACTTTTGGAGCGATTTCAGGGCTAAGGTGAAAAAGGAAATATCTTCCCATAAAAACTGGACAGAAGCATTCTCAGAAACTTGTTTATGCTGTATCTACTCAACTAACAAAGTTGAACCTTTCTTTTGATAGAGCAGTTTTGAAATGCTCTTTTTGTGGAATCTGCAAGTGGATATTTGGCTAGTTTTGAGGATTTCGCTGGAAGCGGGAATTCATACAAATTGCAGACTGCAGCGTTCTGAGAAACATCTTTGTGATGTTTGTATTCAGGACAGAGAGTTGAACATTCCCTATCATAGAGCAGGTTGGAATCACTCCTTTTGTAGTATCTGGAAGTGGACATTTGGAGCGCTTTCAGGCCTATGTTGAAAAAGGAAATATCTTCCCATAACAACTAGACACAAGCATTCTCAGAAACTTGTTTGTGATGTGTGCCCTCTACTGACAGAGTTGAACCTTTCTTTTCATAGAGCAGTTTTGAAACACTCTTTTTGTAGAATCTGCAAGAGGATATTTGCATAGCTTTGAGGATTTCGTGGGAAACGGGATTGTCTTCAGGTAAAATCTAGACAGAAGCATTCTCAGAAACTTCTTTGGGATGTTTGCATTCAAGTCACAGAGTAGAACATTCCCTTTGGTAGAGCAGGTTTGAAACACTCTTTTTGTAGTATCTGGAAGTGGACATTTGGAGCGCTTTCAGGCCCATGTTGGAAAGGGAAATATCTTCCCGTAACAACTAGGCAGAAGCATTCTCAGAAACTTATTTGAGATGTGTGTACTCAACTAAGAGAATTGAACCACCGTTTTGAAGGAGCAGTTTTGAAACACTCTTTTTCTGGAATCTGCAAGAGTATATTTGCCTAGCCTTGAGGATTTCGTTGGAAACGGGATTGTCTTCAGAGAAAATCTAGACAGAAGCATTCTCAGAAACTTCTTTGGGATGTTTGCATTCAAGTCACAGAGTAGAACATTCCCTTTGGTAGAGCAGGTTTGAAACACTCTTTTTGTAGTATATGGAAGTGGACATTTGGAGCGCTTTCAGGCCTACGTTGGAAAAGGAAATATCTTCCCATAACAACTAGACAGAAGCATTCTCAGAAACTAGTTTCTGATGTGTGTCCTCAACTAACACAGTTGAACATTTCTTTAGACAGAACAGTTTTGAAACACTCTTTTTGTGGAATCTGCAAGTGGCTATTTGGCTAGATTTGAGGATTTCGTTGGAAACGGGATTACATATAAAAAGCAGTCAGCAGCATTCTCAGAAAGTTCTTTGTGATGATTGCATTCAAGTCACAGAATTGAACATTCCCTTTCACAGAGCAGGTTTGAAACACTCTTTTTGTAGTGTGTGTAAGTGGACATTTGGAACCCTTACCGGCCTAAGGTGAAAAAGGAAATATCTTCCCATAAAAACTAGACAGAAGCATTCTCAGAAACTTACTCGTGATGTGTGTCCTCAACTAAAGGAGTAGAACCTTTCTTTTCATAGAGAAGTTTTGAAACGCTCTTTTTGTGGAATCTGCAAGTGGATATTTGGCTAGTTTTGAGGATTTCGTTGGAAGCGGGAATTCATACAAATTGCAGACTGCAGCGTTCTGAGAAACATCTTTGTGATGTTTGTATTCAGGACACAGAGTTGAACATTCCCTATCATAGAGCAGGTTTGAATCACTCCTTTTGTAGTATCTGGAAGTGGACATTTGGAGCGCTTTCAGGCCTATGTTGGAAAAGGAAATATCTTCCCATAACAACTAGACAGAAGCATTCTCAGAAACTTATTTGAGATGTGTGTACTCAACTAAGAGAATTGAACCACCGTTTTGAAGGAGCAGTTTTGAAACATTCTTTTTCTGGAATCTGCAAGTGGATATTTGGCTAGCTTTGGGGATTTCGCTGGAAGCGGGAATACATATAAAAAGCACACAGCAGCGTTCTGAGAAACTGCTTTCTGATGTTTGCATTCAAGTCAAAAGTTGAACACTCCCTTTCATAGAGCAGTCCTGAAACACTCCTTTTGTAGTATCTGGAACTGGACTTTTGGAGCGCTTTCAGGGCTAAGGTGAAAAAGGAAATATCTTCCCATAAAAACTGGACAGAAGCATTCTCAGAAACTTGTTTATGCTGTATCTACTCTACTAAAAAAGTTGAACCTTTCTTTTGATAGAGCAGTTTTGAAATGCTCTTTTTGTGGAATCTGCACGTGGATATTTGGCTAGATTTGAGGATTTCGTTGGAAGCTGGAATACATACAAATTGCAGACTGCAGCGTTCTGAGAAACATCTTTGTGATGTTTGTATTCAGGACAGAGAGTTGAACATTCCCTATCATAGAGCAGGTTGGAATCACTCCTTTTGTAGTATCTGGAAGTGGACATTTGGAGCGCTTTCAGGCCTATGTTGAAAAAGGAAATATCTTCCCATAACAACTAGACACAAGCATTCTCAGAAACTTGTTTGTGATGTGTGCCCTCTACTGACAGAGTTGAACCTTTCTTTTCATAGAGCAGTTTTGAAACACTCTTTTTGTAGAATCTGCAAGAGGATATTTGCATAGCTTTGAGGATTTCGTGGGAAACGGGATTGTCTTCAGGTAAAATCTAGACAGAAGCATTCTCAGAAACTTCTTTGGGATGTTTGCATTCAAGTCACAGAGCAGAACATTCCCTTTGGTAGAGCAGGTTTGAAACACTCTTTTTGTAGTATCTGGAAGTGGACATTTGGAGCGCTTTCAGGCCTATGTTGGAAAGGGAAATATCTTCCCGTAACAACTAGGCAGAAGCATTCTCAGAAACTTATTTGAGATGTGTGTACTCAACTAAGAGAATTGAACCACCGTTTTGAAGGAGCAGTTTTGAAACACTCTTTTTCTGGAATCTGCAAGAGTATATTTGCCTAGCCTTGAGGATTTCGTTGGAAACGGGATTGTCTTCAGATCAAATCTAGACAGAAGCATTCTCAGAAACTTCTTTGGGATGTTTGCATTCAAGTCACAGAGTAGAACATTCCCTTTGGTAGAGCAGGTTTGAAACACTCTTTTTTTAGTATATGGAAGTGGACATTTGGAGCGCTTTCAGGCCTACGTTGGAAAAGGAAATATCTTCCCATAACAACTAGACAGAAGCATTCTCAGAAACTAGTTTCTGATGTGTGTCCTCAACTAACACAGTTGAACATTTCTTTAGACAGAACAGTTTTGAAACACTCTTTTTGTGGTATCTGCAAGTGGCTATTTGGCTAGATTTGAGGATTTCGTTGGAAACGGGATTACATATAAAAAGCAGACAGCAGCATTCTCAGAAACTTCTTTGTGATGATTGCATTCAAGTCACAGTATTGAACATTCCCTTTCACAGAGCAGGTTTGAAACACTCTTTGTATAGTGTGTGTAAGTGGACATTTGGAGCACTTTCCGGCCTAAGGTGAAAAAGGAAATATCTTCCCATAAAAACTAGACAGAAGCATTCTCAGAAACTTATTTGAGATGTGTGTACGCAACTAGGAGAATTGAACCACCGTTTTGAAGGAGCAGTTTTGAAACACTCTTTTTCTGGAATCTGCAAGTGGATATTTGGCTAGCTTTGGGGATTTCGCTGGAAGCGGGAATACATATAAAAAGCACACAGCAGCGTTCTGAGAAACTGCTTTCTGATGTTTGCATTCAAGTCAAAAGTTGAACACTCCCTTTCATAGAGCAGTCTTGAAACACCCCTTTTGTAGTATCTGGAACTGGACATTTGGAGCGCTTTCAGGGCTAAGGTGAAAAAGGAAATATCTTCCCATAAAAACTGGACAGGAAGCATTCTCAGAAACTTGTTTATGCTGTATCTACTCAACTAACAAAGTTGAACCTTTCTTTTGATAGAGCAGTTTTGAAATGCTCTTTTTGTGGAATCTGCAAGTGGATATTTGGCTAGTTTTGAGGATTTCGTTGGAAGCGGGAATTCATACAAATTGCAGACTGCAGCGTTCTGAGAAACATCTTTGTGATGTTTGTATTCAGGACAGAGAGTTGAACATTCCCTATCATAGAGCAGGTTGGAATCACTCCTTTTGTAGTATCTGGAAGTGGACATTTGGAGCGCTTTCAGGCCTATGTTGAAAAAGGAAATATCTTCCCATAACAACTAGACACAAGCATTCTCAGAAACTTGTTTGTGATGTGTGCCCTCTACTGACAGAGTTGAACCTTTCTTTTCATAGAGCAGTTTTGAAACACTCTTTTTGTAGAATCTGCAAGAGGATATTTGCATAGCTTTGAGGATTTCGTGGGAAACGGGATTGTCTTCAGGTAAAATCTAGACAGAAGCATTCTCAGAAACTTCTTTGGGATGTTTGCATTCAAGTCACAGAGTAGAACATTCCCTTTGGTAGAGCAGGTTTGAAACACTCTTTTTGTAGTATCTGGAAGTGGACATTTGGAGCGCTTTCAGGCCTATGTTGGAAAGGGAAATATCTTCCCGCAACAACTAGGCAGAAGCATTCTCAGAAACTTATTTGAGATGTGTGTACTCAACCTAAGAGAATTGAACCACCGTTTTGAAGGAGCAGTTTTGAAACACTCTTTTTCTGGAATCTGCAAGAGTATATTTGCCTAGCCTTGAGGATTTCGTTGGAAACGGGATTGTCTTCAGAGAAAATCTAGACAGAAGCATTCTCAGAAACTTCTTTGGGATGTTTGCATTCAAGTCACAGAGTAGAACATTCCCTTTGGTAGAGCAGGTTTGAAACACTCTTTTTTTAGTATATGGAAGTGGACATTTGGAGCGCTTTCAGGCCTACGTTGGAAAAGGAAATATCTTCCCATAACAACTAGACAGAAGCATTCTCAGAAACTAGTTTCTGATGTGTGTCCTCAACTAACACAGTTGAACATTTCTTTAGACAGAACAGTTTTGAAACACTCTTTTTGTGGAATCTGCAAGTGGCTATTTGGCTAGATTTGAGGATTTCGTTGGAAACGGGATTACATATAAAAAGCAGTCAGCAGCATTCTCAGAAACTTCTTTGTGATGATTGCATTCAAGTCACAGTATTGAACATTCCCTTTCACAGAGCAGGTTTGAAACACTCTTTGTATAGTGTGTGTAAGTGGACATTTGGAGCACTTTCCGGCCTAAGGTGAAAAAGGAAATATCTTCCCATAAAAACTAGACAGAACCATTCTCAGAAACTTACTCGTGATGTGTGTCCTCAACTAAAGAAGTAGAACCTTTCTTTTCATAGAGAAGTTTTGAAACGCTCTTTTTGTGGAATCTGCAAGTGGATATTTGGCTAGTTTTGAGGATTTCGTTGGAAGCGGGAATTCATACAAATTGCAGACTGCAGCGTTCTGAGAAACATCTTTGTGATGTTTGTATTCAGGACACAGAGTGGAACATTCCCTATCATAGAGCAGGTTGGAATCACTCCTTTTGTAGTATCTGGAAGTGGACATTTGGAGCGCTTTCAGGCCTATGTTGAAAAAGGAAATATCTTCCCATAACAACTAGACACAAAGCATTCTCAGAAACTTATTTGAGATGTGTGTACTCAACTAAGAGAATTGAACCACCGTTTTGAAGGAGCAGTTTTGAAACACTCTTTTTCTGGAATCTGCAAGTGGATATTTGGCTAGCTTTGGGGATTTCGCTGGAGGCGGGAATACATATAAAAAGCACACAGCAGCGTTCTGAGAAAACTGCTTTCTGATGTTTGCATTCAAGTCAAAAGTTGAACACTCCCTTTCATAGTGCAGTCCTGAAACACTCCTTTTGTAGTATCTGGAACTGGACTTTTGGAGCGCTTTCAGGGCTAAGGTGAAAAAGGAAATATCTTCCCATAAAAACTGGACAGAAGCATTCTCAGAAACTTGTTTATGCTGTATCTACTCAACTAACAAAGTTGAACCTTTCTTTTGATAGAGCAGTTTTGAAATGCTCTTTTTGTGGAATCTGCAAGTGGATATTTGGCTAGTTTTGAGGATTTCGTTGGAAGCGGGAATTCATACAAATTGCAGACTGCAGCGTTCTGAGAAACATCTTTGTGATGTTTGTATTCAGGATAGAGAGTTGAACATTCCCTATCATAGAGCAGGTTGGAATCACTCCTTTTGTAGTATCTGGAAGTGGACATTTGGAGCGCTTTCAGGCCTATGTTGAAAAAGGAAATATCTTCCCATAACAACTAGACACAAGCATTCTCAGAAACTTGTTTGTGATGTGTGCCCTCTACTGACAGAGTTGAACCTTTCTTTTCATAGAGCAGTTTTGAAACACTCTTTTTGTAGAATCTGCAAGAGGATATTTGCATAGCTTTGAGGATTTCGTGGGAAACGGGATTGTCTTCAGGTAAAATCTAGACAGAAGCATTCTCAGAAACTTCTTTGGGATGTTTGCATTCAAGTCACAGAGTAGAACATTCCCTTTGGTAGAGCAGGTTTGAAACACTCTTTTTGTAGTATCTGGAAGTGGACATTTGGAGCGCTTTCAGGCCTATGTTGGAAAGGGAAATATCTTCCCGTAACAACTAGGCAGAAGCATTCTCAGAAACTTATTTGAGATGTGTGTACTCAACTAAGAGAATTGAACCACCGTTTTGAAGGAGCAGTTTTGAAACACTCTTTTTCTGGAATCTGCAAGAGTATATTTGCCTAGCCTTGAGGATTTCGTTGGAAACGGGATTGTCTTCAGAGAAAATCTAGACAGAAGCATTCTCAGAAACTTCTTTGGGATGTTTGCATTCAAGTCACAGAGTAGAACATTCCCTTTGGTAGAGCAGGTGTGAAACACTCTTTTTTTAGTATATGGAAGTGGACATTTGGAGCGCTTTCAGGCCTACGTTGGAAAACGAAATATCTTCCCATAACAACTAGACAGAAGCATTCTCAGAAACTAGTTTCTGATGTGTGTCCTCAACTAACACAGTTGAACATTTCTTTAGACAGAACAGTTTTGAAACTCTCTTTTTGTGGAATCTGCAAGTGGCTATTTGGCTAGATTTGAGGATTTCGTTGGAAACGGGATTACATATAAAAAGCAGACAGCAGCATTCTCAGAAAGTTCTTTGTGATGATTGCATTCAAGTCACAGAATTGAACATTCCCTTTCACAGAGCAGGTTTGAAACACTCTTTTTGTAGTGTGTGTAAGTGGACATTTGGAGCACTTTCCGGCCTAAGGTGAGAAAGGAAATATCTTCCCATAAAAACTAGACAGAAGCATTCTCAGAAACTTACTCGTGATGTGTGTCCTCAACTAAAGGAGTAGAACCTTTCTTTCGCAGAGAAGTTTTGAAACGCTCTTTTTGTGGAATCTGCAAGTGGATATTTGGCTAGTTTGGAGGATTTCGTTGGAAGCGGGAATTCATACAAATTGCAGACTGCAGCGTTCTGAGAAACATCTTTGTGATGTTTGTATTCAGGACACAGAGTTGAACATTCCCTATCATAGAGCAGGTTGGAATCACTCCTTTTGTAGTATCTGGAAGTGGACATTTGGAGCGCTTTCAGGCCTATGTTGGAAAAGGAAATATCTTCCCATAACAACTAGACAGAAGCATTCTCAGAAACTTATTTGAGATGTGTGTACTCAACTAAGAGAATTGAACCACCGTTTTGAAGGAGCAGTTTTGAAACACTCTTTTTCTGGAATCTGCAAGTGGATATTTGGCTAGCTTTGGGGATTTCGCTGGAAGCGGGAATACATATAAAAAGCACACAGCAGCGTTCTGAGAAACTGCTTTCTGATGTTTGCATTCAAGTCAAAAGTTGAACACTCCCTTTCATAGAGCAGTCCTGAAACACTCCTTTTGTAGTATCTGGAACTGGACTTTTGGAGCGCTTTCAGGGCTAAGGTGAAAAAGGAAATATCTTCCCATAAAAACTGGACAGAAGCATTCTCAGAAACTTGTTTATGCTGTATCTACTCAACTAACAAAGTTGAACCTTTCTTTTGATAGAGCAGTTTTGAAATGCTCTTTTTGTGGAATCTGCAAGTGGATATTTGGCTAGTTTTGAGGATTTCGTTGGAAGCGGGAATTCATACAAATTGCAGACTGCAGCGTTCTGAGAAACATCTTTGTGATGTTTGTATTCAGGACACAGAGTTGAACATTCCCTATCATAGAGCAGGTTTGAATCACTCCTTTTGTAGTATCTGGAAGTGGACATTTGGAGCGCTTTCAGGCCCTATGTTGGAAAAGGAAATATCTTCCCATAACAAATAGACAGGAAGCATTCTCAGAAACTTATTTGAGATGTGTGTACTCAACTAAGAGAATTGAACCACCGTTTTGAAGGAGCAGTTTTGAAACACTCTTTTTCTGGAATCTGCAAGTGGATATTTGGCTAGCTTTGGGGATTTCGCTGGAAGCGGGAATACATATAAAAAGCACACAGCAGCGTTCTGAGAAACTGCTTTCTGATGTTTGCATTCAAGTCAAAAGTTGAACACTCCCTTTCATAGAGCAGTCTTGAAACACCCCTTTTGTAGTATCTGGAACTGGACTTTTGGAGCGATTTCAGGGCTAAGGTGAAAAAGGAAATATCTTCCCATAAAAACTGGACAGAAGCATTCTCAGAAACTTGTTTATGCTGTATCTACTCAACTAACAAAGTTGAACCTTTCTTTTGATAGAGCAGTTTTGAAATGGTCTTTTTGTGGAATCTGCAAGTGGATATTTGGCTAGTTTTGAGGATTTCGTTGGAAGCGGGAATTCATACAAATTGCAGACTGCAGCGTTCTGAGAAACATCTTTGTGATGTTTGTATTCAGGACACAGAGTTGAACATTCCCTATCATAGAGCAGGTTGGAATCACTCCTTTTGTAGTATCTGGAAGTGGACATTTGGAGCGCTTTCAGGCCTATTTTGGAAAGGGAAATATCTTCCCGTAACAACTATGCAGAAGCATTCTCAGAAACTTGTTTGTGATGTGTGCCCTCTACTGACAGAGTTGAACCTTTCTTTTCATAGAGCAGTTTTGAAACACTCTTTTTGTAGAATCTGCAAGAGGATATTTGCATAGCTTTGAGGATTTCGTGGGAAACGGGATTGTCTTCAGGTAAAATCTAGACAGAAGCATTCTCAGAAACTTTTTTGGGATGTTTGCATTCAAGTCACAGAGTAGAACATTCCCTTTGGTAGAGCAGGTTTGAAACACTCTTTTTGTAGTATCTGGAAGTGGACATTTGGAGCACTATCAGGCCCATGTTGGAAAGGGAAATATCTTCCCGTAACAACTAGGCAGAAGCATTCTCAGAAACTTATTTGAGATGTGTGTACTCAACTAAGAGAATTGAACCACCGTTTTGAAGGAGCAGTTTTGAAACACTCTTTTTCTGGAATCTGCAAGAGGATATTTGCCTAGCCTTGAGGATTTCGTTGGAAACGGGATTGTCTTCAGATCAAATCTAGACAGAAGCATTCTCAGAAACTTCTTTGGGATGTTTGCATTCAAGTCACAGAGTAGAACATTCCCTTTGGTAGAGCAGGTTTGAAACACTCTTTTTTTAGTATATGGAAGTGGACATTTGGAGCGCTTTCAGGCCTACGTTGGAAAAGGAAATATCTTCCCATAACAACTAGACAGAAGCATTCTCAGAAACTAGTTTCTGATGTGTGTCCTCAACTAACACAGTTGAACATTTCTTTAGACAGAACAGTTTTGAAACACTCTTTTTGTGGAATCTGCAAGTGGCTATTTGGCTAGATTTGAGGATTTCGTTGGAAACGGGATTACATATAAAAAGCAGTCAGCAGCATTCTCAGAAAGTTCTTTGTGATGATTGCATTCAAGTCACAGAATTGAACATTCCCTTTCACAGAGCAGGTTTGAAACACTCTTTTTGTAGTGTGTGTAAGTGGACATTTGGAGCACTTACCGGCCTAAGGTGAAAAAGGAAATATCTTCCCATAAAAACTAGACAGAAGCATTCTCAGAAACTTACTCGTGATGTGTGTCCTCAACTAAAGGAGTAGAACCTTTCTTTTCATAGAGAAGTTTTGAAACGCTCTTTTTGTGGAATCTGCAAGTGGATATTTGGCTAGTTTTGAGGATTTCGTTGGAAGCGGGAATTCATACAAATTGCAGACTGCAGCGTTCTGAGAAACATCTTTGTGATGTTTGTATTCAGGACACAGAGTTGAACATTCCCTATCATAGAGCAGGTTTGAATCACTCCTTTTGTAGTATCTGGAAGTGGACATTTGGAGTGCTTTCAGGCCTATGTTGGAAAAGGAAATATCTTCCCATAACAACTAGACAGAAGCATTCTCAGAAACTTATTTGAGATGTGTGTACTCAACTAAGAGAATTGAACCACCGTTTTGAAGGAGCAGTTTTGAAACACTCTTTTTCTGGAATCTGCAAGTGGATATTTGGCTAGCTTTGGGGATTTCGCTGGAAGCGGGAATACATATAAAAAGCACACAGCAGCGTTCTGAGAAACTGCTTTCTGATGTTTGCATTCAAGTCAAAAGTTGAACACTCCCTTTCATAGAGCAGTCCTGAAACACCCCTTTTGTAGTATCTGGAACTGGACTTTTGGAGCGATTTCAGGGCTAAGGTGAAAAAGGAAATATCTTCCCATAAAAACTGGACAGAAGCATTCTCAGAAACTTGTTTATGCTGTATCTACTCAACTAACATAGTTGAACCTTTCTTTTGATAGAGCAGTTTTGAAATGCTCTTTTTGTGGAATCTGCAAGTGGATATTTGGCTAGTTTTGAGGATTTCGTTGGAAGCGGGAATTCATACAAATTGCAGACTGCAGCGTTCTGAGAAACATCTTTGTGATGTTTGTATTCAGGACAGAGAGTTGAACATTCCCTATCATAGAGCAGGTTGGAATCACTCCTTTTGTAGTATCTGGAAGTGGACATTTGGAGCGCTTTCAGGCCTATGTTGAAAAAGGAAATATCTTCCCATAACAACTAGACACAAGCATTCTCAGAAACTTGTTTGTGATGTGTGCCCTCTACTGACAGATTTGAACCTTTCTTTTCATAGAGCAGTTTTGAAACACTCTTTTTGTAGAATCTGCAAGAGGATATTTGCATAGCTTTGAGGATTTCGTGGGAAACGGGATTGTCTTCAGGTAAAATCTAGACAGAAGCATTCTCAGAAACTTCTTTGGGATGTTTGCATTCAAGTCACAGAGTAGAACATTCCCTTTGGTAGAGCAGGTTTGAAACACTCTTTTTGTAGTATCTGGAAGTGGACATTTGGATCGCTTTCAGGCCTATGTTGGAAAGGGAAATATCTTCCCGTAACAACAAGGCAGAAGCATTCTCAGAAAATTATTTGAGATGTGTGTACTCAACTAAGAGAATTGAACCACAGTTTTCAAGGAGCAGTTTTGAAACACTCTTTTTCTGGAATCTGCAAGAGGATATTTGCCTAGTCTTGAGGATTTCGTTGGAATCGGGATTGTCTTCAGATCAAATCTAGACAGAAGCATTCTCAGAAACTTCTTTGGGATGTTTGCATTCAAGTCACAGAGTAGAACATTCCCTTTGGTAGAGCAGGTTTGAAACACTCTTTTTCTAGTATATGGAAGTGGACATTTGGAGTGCTTTCAGGCCTACGTTGGAAAAGGAAATATCTTCCCATAACAACTAGACAGAAGCATTCTCAGCAAACTAGTTTCTGATGTGTGTCCTCAACTAACACAGTTGAACATTTCTTTAGACAGAACAGTTTTGAAACACTCTTTTTGTGGAATCTGCAAGTGGATATTTGGCTAGATTTGAGGATTTCGTTGGAAACGGGATTACATATAAAAAGCAGACAGCAGCATTCTCAGAAACTTCTTTGTGATGATTGCATTCAAGTCACAGAATTGAACATTCCCTTTCACAGAGCAGGTTTGAAACACTCTTTTTGTAGTGTGTGTAAGTGGACATTTGGAGCGCTTTCCGGCCTAAGGTGAACAAGGAAATATCTTCCCATAAAAACTAGACAGAAGCATTCTCAGAAACTTACTCGTGATGTGTGTCCTCAACTAAAGGAGTAGAACCTTTCTTTTCATAGAGAAGTTTTGAAACGCTCTTTTTGTGGAATCTGCAAGTGGATATTTGGCTAGTTTGGAGGATTTCGTTGGAAGCGGGAATTCATACAAATTGCAGACTGCAGCGTTCTGAGAAACATCTTTGTGATGTTTGTATTCAGGACACAGAGTTGAACATTCCCTATCATAGAGCAGGTTGGAATCACTCCTTTTGTAGTATCTGGAAGTGGACATTTGGAGCGCTTTCAGGCCTATGTTGGAAAAGGAAATATCTTCCCATAACAACTAGACAGAAGCATTCTCAGAAACTTATTTGAGATGTGTGTACTCAACTAAGAGAATTGAACCACCGTTTTGAAGGAGCAGTTTTGAAACACTCTTTTTCTGGAATCTGCAAGTGGATATTTGGCTAGCTTTGGGGATTTCGCTGGAAGCGGGAATACATATAAAAAGCACACAGCAGCGTTCTGAGAAACTGCTTTCTGATGTTTGCATTCAAGTCAAAAGTTGAACACTCCCTTTCATAGAGCAGTCCTGAAACACTCCTTTTGTAGTATCTGGAACTGGACTTTTGGAGCGCTTTCAGGGCTAAGGTGAAAAAGGAAATATCTTCCCATAAAAACTGGACAGAAGCATTCTCAGAAACTTGTTTATGCTGTATCTACTCAATTAACAAAGTTGAACCTTTCTTTTGATAGAGCAGTTTTGAAATGCTCTTTTTGTGGAATCTGCAAGTGGATATTTGGCTAGTTTTGAGGATTTCGTTGGAAGCGGGAATTCATACAAATTGCAGACTGCAGCGTTCTGAGAAACATCTTTGTGATGTTTGTATTCAGGACACAGAGTTGAACATTCCCTATCATAGAGCAGGTTGGAATCACTCCTTTTGTAGTATCTGGAAGTGGACATTTGGAGCGCTTTCAGGCCTATGTTGGAAAAGGAAATATCTTCCCATAACAACTAGACAGAAGCATTCTCAGAAACTTATTTGAGATGTGTGTACTCAACTAAGAGAATTGAACCACCGTTTTGAAGGAGCAGTTTTGAAACTCTCTTTTTCTGGAATCTGCAAGTGGATATTTGGCTAGCTTTGGGGATTTCGCTGGAAGCGGGAATACATATAAAAAGCACACAGCAGCGTTCTGAGAAACTGCTTTCTGATGTTTGCATTCAAGTCAAAAGTTGAACACTCCCTTTCATAGAGCAGTCTTGAAACACCCCTTTTGTAGTATCTGGAACTGGACTTTTGGAGCGATTTCAGGGCTAAGGTGAAAAAGGAAATATCTTCCCATAAAAACTGGACAGAAGCATTCTCAGAAACTTGTTTATGCTGTATCTACTCAACTAACAAAGTTGAACCTTTCTTTTGATAGAGCAGTTTTGAAATGGTCTTTTTGTGGAATCTGCAAGTGGATATTTGGCTAGTTTTGAGGATTTCGTTGGAAGCGGGAATTCATACAAATTGCAGACTGCAGCGTTCTGAGAAACATCTTTGTGATGTTTGTATTCAGGACACAGAGTTGAACATTCCCTATCATAGAGCAGGTTGGAATCACTCCTTTTGTAGTATCTGGAAGTGGACATTTGGAGCGCTTTCAGGCCTATGTTGAAAAAGGAAATATCTTCCCATAACAACTAGACACAAGCGTTCTCAGAAACTTGTTTGTGATGTGTGCCCTCTACTGACAGAGTTGAACCTTTCTTTTCTTAGAGCAGTTTTGAAACACTCTTTTTGTAGAATCTGCAAGAGGATATTTGCATAGATTTGAGGATTTCGTGGGAAACGGGATTGTCTTCAGGTAAAATCTAGACAGAAGCATTCTCAGAAACTTCTTTGGGATGTTTGCATTCAAGACACAGAGTAGAACATTCCCTTTGGTAGAGCAGGTTTGAAACACTCTTTTTGTAGTATCTGGAAGTGGACATTTGGAGCGCTTTCAGGCCCATGTTGGAAAGGGAAATATCTTCCCGTAACAACTAGGCAGAAGCATTCTCAGAAACTTATTTGAGATGTGTGTACTCAACTAAGAGAATTGAACCACCGTTTTGAAGGAGCAGTTTTGAAACACTCTTTTTCTGGATTCTGCAAGAATATATTTGCCTAGCCTTGAGGATTTCGTTGGAAACGGGATTGTCTTCAGATAAAATCTAGACAGAAGCATTCTCAGAAACTTCTTTGGGATGTTTGCATTCAAGTCACAGAGTAGAACATTCTCTTTGGTAGAGCAGGTTTGAAACACTCTTTTTTTAGTATCTGGAAGTGGACATTTGGAGCGCTTTCAGGCCTACGTTGGAAAAGGAAATATCTTCCCATAACAACTAGACAGAAGCATTCTCAGAAACTAGTTTCTGATGTGTGTCCTCAACTAACACAGTTGAACTTTTCTTTAGACAGAACAGTTTTGAAACACTCTTTTTGTGGAATCTGCAAGTGGATATTTGGCTAGATTTGAGGATTTCGTTGGAAACGGGATTACATATAAAAAGCAGACAGCAGCATTCTCAGAAAGTTCTTTGTGATGATTGCATTCAAGTCACAGAATTGAACATTCCCTTTCACAGAGCAGGTTTGAAACACTCTTTTTGTAGTGTGTGTAAGTGGACATTTGGAGCGCTTTCCGGCCTAAGGTGAAAAAGGACATATCTTCCCATAAAAACTAGACAGAAGCATTCTCAGAAACTTACTCGTGATGTGTGTCCTCAACTAAAGGAGTAGAACCTTTCTATTCATAGAGAAGTTTTGAAACGCTCTTTTTGTGGAATCTCCAAGTGGATATTTGGCTAGTTTTGAGGATTTCGTTGGAAGCGGGAATTCATACAAATTGCAGACTGCAGCGTTCTGAGAAACATCTTTGTGATGTTTGTATTCAAGACACAGAGATGAACATTCCCTATCATAGAGCATGTTGGAATCACTCCTTTTGTAGTATCTGGAAGTGGACATTTGGAGCGCTTTCAGGCCTATGTTGAAAAAGGAAATATCGTCCCATGCCAACTAGACACAAGCATTCTCAGAAACTTGTTTGTGATGTGTGCCCTCTACTGACAGAGTTGAACCTTTCTTTTCATAGAGCAGTTTTGAAACACTCTTTTTGTAGAATCCGCAAGAGGATATTTGCATAGCTTTGAGGATTTCGTGGGAAACGGGATTGTCTTCAGGTAAAATCTAGACAGAAGCATTCTCAGAAACTTCTTTGGGATGTTTGCATTCAAGTCACAGAGTAGAACATTCCCTTTGGTAGAGCAGGTTTGAAACACTCTTTTTGTAGTATCTGGAAGTGGACATTTGGAGCGCTTTCAGGCCCATGTTGGAAAGGGAAATATCTTCCCGTAACAACTAGGCAGAAGCATTCTCAGAAACTTATTTGAGATGTGTGTACTCAACTAAGAGAATTGAACCACCGTTTTGAAGGAGCAGTTTTGAAACCCTCTTTTTCTGGAATCTGCAAGAGTATATTTGCCTAGCCTTGAGGATTTCGTTGGAAACGGGATTGTCTTCAGATAAAATCTAGACAGAAGCATTCTCAGAAACTTCTTTGGGATGTTTGCACTCAAGTCACAGAGTAGAACATTCCCTTTGGTAGAGCAGGTTTGAAACACTCTTTTTTTAGTATATGGAAGTGGACAATTGGAGCGCTTTCAGGCCTAGGTTTGAAAAGGAAATATCTTCCCATAACAACTTGACAGAAGCATTCTCAGAAACTAGTTTCTGATGTGTGTCCTCAACTAACACAGTTGCACATTTCTTTAGACAGAACAGTTTTGAAACACTCTTTTTGTGGAATCTGCAAGTGGCTATTTGGCTAGATTTGAGGATTTCGTTGGAAACGGGATTACATATAAAAAGCAGACAGCAGCATTCTCAGAAAGTTCTTTGTGATGATTGCATTCAAGTCACAGAATTGAACATTCCCTTTCACAGAGCAGGTTTGAAACACTCTTTTTGTAGTGTGTGTAAGTGGACATTTGGAGCACTTTCCGGCCTAAGGTGAAAAAGGAAATATCTTCCCATAAAAACTAGACAGAAGCATTCTCAGAAACTTACTCGTGATGTGTGTCCTCAACTAAAGGAGTAGAACCTTTCTTTTCATAGAGAAGTTTTGAAACGCTCTTTTTGTGGAATCTGCAAGTGGATATTTGGCTAGTTTTGAGGATTTCGTTGGAAGCGGGAATTCATACAAATTGCAGACTGCAGCGTTCTGAGAAACATCTTTGTGATGTTTGTATTCAGGACACAGAGTTGAACATTCCCTATCATAGAGCAGGTTTGAATCACTCCTTTTGTAGTATCTGGAAGTGGACATTTGGAGCGCTTTCAGGCCTATGTTGGAAAAGGAAATATCTTCCCATAACAACTAGACAGAAGCATTCTCAGAAACTTATTTGAGATGTGTGTACTCAACTAAGAGAATTGAACCACCGTTTTGAAGGAGCAGTTTTGAAACTCTCTTTTTCTGGAATCTGCAAGTGGATATTTGGCTAGCTTTGGGGATTTCGCTGGAAGCGGGAATACATATAAAAAGCACACAGCAGCGTTCTGAGAAACTGCTTTCTGATGTTTGCATTCAAGTCAAAAGTTGAACACTCCCTTTCATAGAGCAGTCCTGAAACACCCCTTTTGTAGTATCTGGAACTGGACTTTTGGAGCGATTTCAGGGCTAAGGTGAAAAAGGAAATATCTTCCCATAAAAACTGGACAGAAGCATTCTCAGAAACTTGTTTATGCTGTATCTACTCAACTAACAAAGTTGAACCTTTCTTTTGATAGAGCAGTTTTGAAATGGTCTTTTTGTGGAATCTGCAAGTGGATATTTGGCTAGTTTTGAGGATTTCGTTGGAAGCGGGAATTCATACAAATTGCAGACTGCAGCGTTCTGAGAAACATCTTTGTGATGTTTGTATTCAGGACACAGAGTTGAACATTCCCTATCATAGAGCAGGTTGGAATCACTCCTTTTGTAGTATCTGGAAGTGGACATTTGGAGCGCTTTCAGGCCTATTTTGGAAAGGGAAATATCTTCCCGTAACAACTATGCAGAAGCATTCTCAGAAACTTGTTTGTGATGTGTGCCCTCTACTGACAGAGTTGAACCTTTCTTTTCATAGAGCAGTTTTGAAACACTCTTTTTGTAGAATCTGCAAGAGGATATTTGCATAGCTTTGAGGATTTCGTGGGAAACGGGATTGTCTTCAGGTAAAATCTAGACAGAAGCATTCTCAGAAACTTCTTTGGGATGTTTGCATTCAAGTCACAGAGTAGAACATTCCCTTTGGTAGAGCAGGTTTGAAACACTCTTTTTGTAGTATCTGGAAGTGGACATTTGGAGCGCTTTCAGGCCCATGTTGGAAAGGGAAATATCTTCCCGTAACAACTAGGCAGAAGCATTCTCAGAAACTTATTTGAGATGTGTGTACTCAACTAAGAGAATTGAACCACCGTTTTGAAGGAGCAGTTTTGAAACACTCTTTTTCTGGAATCTGCAAGAGGATATTTGCCTAGCCTTGAGGATTTCGTTGGAAACGGGATTGTCTTCAGATCAAATCTAGACAGAAGCATTCTCAGAAACTTCTTTGGGATGTTTGCATTCAAGTCACAGAGTAGAACATTCCCTTTGGTAGAGCAGGTTTGAAACACTCTTTTTTTAGTATATGGAAGTGGACATTTGGAGCGCTTTCAGGCCTACGTTGGAAAAGGAAATATCTTCCCATAACAACTAGACAGAAGCATTCTCAGAAACTAGTTTCTGATGTGTGTCCTCAACTAACACAGTTGAACATTTCTTTAGACAGAACAGTTTTGAAACACTCTTTTTGTGGAATCTGCAAGTGGCTATTTGGCTAGATTTGAGGATTTCGTTGGAAACGGGATTACATATAAAAAGCAGACAGCAGCATTCTCAGAAAGTTCTTTGTGATGATTGCATTCAAGTCACAGAATTGAACATTCCCTTTCACAGAGCAGGTTTGAAACACTCTTTTTGTAGTGTGTGTAAGTGGACATTTGGAGCACTTTCCGGCCTAAGGTGAAAAAGGGAATATCTTCCCATAAAAACTAGACAGAAGCATTCTCAGAAACTTACTCGTGATGTGTGTCCTCAACTAAAGGAGTAGAACCTTTGTTTTCATAGAGAAGTTTTGAAACGCTCTTTTTGTGGAATCTGCAAGTGGATATTTGGCTAGTTTGGAGGATTTCGTTGGAAGCGGGAATTCATACAAATTGCAGACTGCAGCGTTCTGAGAAACATCTTTGTGATGTTTGTATTCAGGACACAGAGTTGAACATTCCCTATCATAGAGCAGGTTTGAATCACTCCTTTTGTAGTATCTGGAAGTGGACATTTGGAGCGCTTTCAGGCCTATGTTGGAAAAGGAAATATCTTCCCATAACAACTAGACAGAAGCATTCTCAGAAACTTATTTGAGATGTGTGTACTCAACTAAGAGAATTGAACCACCGTTTTGAAGGAGCAGTTTTGAAACACTCTTTTTCTGGAATCTGCAAGTGGATATTTGGCTAGCTTTGGGGATTTCGCTGGAAGCGGGAATACATATAAAAAGCACACAGCAGCGTTCTGAGAAACTGCTTTCTGATGTTTGCATTCAAGTCAAAAGTTGAACACTCCCTTTCATAGAGCAGTCCTGAAACACTCCTTTTGTAGTATCTGGAACTGGACTTTTGGAGCGCTTTCAGGGCTAAGGTGAAAAAGGAAATATCTTCCCATAAAAACTGGACAGAATCATTCTCAGAAACTTGTTTATGCTGTATCTACTCAACTAACATAGTTGAACCTTTCTTTTGATAGAGCAGTTTTGAAATGCTCTTTTTGTGGAATCTGCAAGTGGATATTTGGCTAGTTTGGAGGATTTCGTTGGAAGCGGGAATTCATACAAATTGCAGACTGCAGCGTTCTGAGAAACATCTTTGTGATGTTTGTATTCAGGACACAGAGTTGAACATTCCCTATCATAGAGCAGGTTTGAATCACTCCTTTTGTAGTATCTGGAAGTGGACATTTGGAGCGCTTTCAGGCCTATGTTGGAAAAGGAAATATCTTCCCATAACAACTAGACAGAAGCATTCTCAGAAACTTATTTGAGATGTGTGTACTCAACTAAGAGAATTGAACCACCGTTTTGAAGGAGCAGTTTTGAAACACTCTTTTCCTGGAATCTGCAAGTGGATATTTGGCTAGCTTTGGGGATTTCGCTGGAAGCGGGAATACATATAAAAAGCACACAGCAGCGTTCTGAGAAACTGCTTTCTGATGTTTGCATTCAAGTCAAAAGTTGAACACTCCCTTTCATAGTGCAGTCCTGAAACACTCCTTTTGTAGTATCTGGAACTGGACTTTTGGAGCGCTTTCAGGGCTAAGGTGAGAAAGGAAATATCTTCCCATAAAAACTGGACAGAAGCATTCTCAGAAACTTGTTTATGCTGTATCTACTCAACTAACAAAGTTGAACCTTTCTTTTGATAGAGCAGTTTTGAAATGCTCTTTTTGTGGAATCTGCAAGTGGATATTTGGCTAGTTTTGAGGATTTCGTTGGAAGCGGGAATTCATACAAATTGCAGACTGCAGCGTTCTGAGAAACATCTTTGTGATGTTTGTATTCAGGACACAGAGTTGAACATTCCCTATCATAGAGCAGGTTGGGATCACTCCTTTTGTAGTATCTGGAAGTGGACATTTGGAGCGCTTTCAGGCCTATGTTGGAAAAGGAAATATCTTCCCATAACAACTAGACAGAAGCATTCCCAGAAACTTATTTGAGATGTGTGTACTCAACTAAGAGAATTGAACCACCGTTTTGAAGGAGCAGTTTGGAAACACTCTTTTTCTGGAATCTGCAAGTGGATATTTGGCTAGCTTTGGGGATTTCGCTGGAAGCGGGAATACATATAAAAAGCACACAGCAGCGTTCTGAGAAACTGCTTTCTGATGTTTGCATTCAAGTCAAAAGTTGAACACTCCCTTTCATAGAGCAGTCTTGAAACACCCCTTTTGTAGTATCTGGAACTGGAAATTTGGAGCGCTTTCAGGGCTAAGGTGAAAAAGGAAATATCTTCCCATAAAAACTGGACAGAAGCATTCTCAGAAACTTGTTTATGCTGTATCTACTCAACTAACAAAGTTGAACCTTTCTTTTGATAGAGCAGTTTTGAAATGCTCTTTTTGTGGAATCTGCAAGTGGATATTTGGCTAGTTTTGAGGATTTCGTTGGAAGCGGGAATTCATACAAATTGCAGACTGCAGCGTTCTGAGAAACATCTTTGTGATGTTTGTATTCAGGACAGAGAGTTGAACATTCCCTATCATAGAGCAGGTTGGAATCACTCCTTTTGTAGTATCTGGAAGTGGACATTTGGAGCGCTTTCAGGCCTATGTTGAAAAAGGAAATATCTTCCCATAACAACTAGACACAAGCATTCTCAGAAACTTGTTTGTGATGTGTGCCCTCTACTGACAGAGTTGAACCTTTCTTTTCATAGAGCAGTTTTGAAACACTCTTTTTGTAGAATCTGCAAGAGGATATTTGCATAGCTTTGAGGATTTCGTGGGGAAGCGAGATTGTCTTCAGGTAAAATCTAGACAGAAGCATTCTCAGAAACTTCTTTGGGATGTTTGCATTCAAGTCACAGAGTAGAACATTCCCTTTGGTAGAGCAGGTTTGAAACACTCTTTTTGTAGTATCTGGAAGTGGACATTTGGAGCGCTTTCAGGCCCATGTTGGAAAGGGAAATATCTTCCCGTAACAACTAGGCAGAAGCATTCTCAGAAACTTATTTGAGATGTGTGTACTCAACTAAGAGAATTGAACCACCGTTTTGAAGGAGCAGTTTTGAAACACTCTTTTTCTGGAATCTGCAAGAGTATATTTGCCTAGCCTTGAGGATTTCGTTGGAAACGGGATTGTCTTCAGAGAAAATCTAGACAGAAGCATTCTCAGAAACTTCTTTGGGATGTTTGCATTCAAGTCACAGAGTAGAACATTCCCTTTGGTAGAGCAGGTTTGAAACACTCTTTTTGTAGTATCTGGAAGTGGACATTTGGAGCGCTTTCAGGCCTACGTTGGAAAAGGAAATATCTTCCCATAACAACTAGACAGAAGCATTCTCAGAAACTAGTTTCTGATGTGTGTCCTCAACTAACACAGTTGAACATTTCTTTAGACAGAACAGTTTTGAAACACTCTTTTTGTGGAATCTGCAAGTGGCTATTTGGCTAGATTTGAGGATTTCGTTGGAAACGGGATTACATATAAAAAGCAGTCAGCAGCATTCTCAGAAAGTTCTTTGTGATGATTGCATTCAAGTCACAGAATTGAACATTCCCTTTCACAGAGCAGGTTTGAAACACTCTTTTTGTAGTGTGTGTAAGTGGACATTTGGAGCACTTACCGGCCTAAGGTGAAAAAGGAAATATCTTCCCATAAAAACTAGACAGAAGCATTCTCAGAAACTTACTCGTGATGTGTGTCCTCAACTAAAGGAGTAGAACCTTTCTTTTCATAGAGAAGTTTTGAAACGCTCTTTTTGTGGAATCTGCAAGTGGATATTTGGCTAGTTTTGAGGATTTCGTTGGAAGCGGGAATTCATACAAATTGCAGACTGCAGCGTTCTGAGAAACATCTTTGTGATGTTTGTATTCAGGACACAGAGTTGAACATTCCCTATCATAGAGCAGGTTGGAATCACTCCTTTTGTAGTATCTGGAAGTGGACATTTGGAGCGCTTTCAGGCCTATGTTGGAAAAGGAAATATCTTCCCATAACAACTAGACAGAAGCATTCTCAGAAACTTATTTGAGATGTGTGTACTCAACTAAGAGAATTGAACCACCGTTTTGAAGGAGCAGTTTTGAAACACTCTTTTTCTGGAATCTGCAAGTGGATATTTGGCTAGCTTTGGGGATTTCGCTGGAAGCGGGAATACATATAAAAAGCACACAGCAGCGTTCTGAGAAACTGCTTTCTGATGTTTGCATTCAAGTCAAAAGTTGAACACTCCCTTTCATAGAGCAGTCCTGAAACACTCCTTTTGTAGTATCTGGAACTGGACTTTTGGAGCGCTTCAGGGCTAAGGTGAAAAAGGAAATATCTTCCCATAAAAACTGGACAGAAGCATTCTCAGAAACTTGTTTATGCTGTATCTACTCAACTAACAAAGTTGAACCTTTCTTTTGATAGAGCAGTTTTGAAATGCTCTTTTTGTGGAATCTGCAAGTGGATATTTGGCTAGTTTTGAGGATTTCGTTGGAAGCGGGAATTCATACAAATTGCAGACTGCAGCGTTCTGAGAAACATCTTTGTGATGTTTGTATTCAGGACAGAGAGTTGAACATTCCCTATCATAGAGCAGGTTGGAATCACTCCTTTTGTAGTATCTGGAAGTGGACATTTGGAGCGCTTTCAGGCCTATGTTGAAAAAGGAAATATCTTCCCATAACAACTAGACACAAGCATTCTCAGAAACTTGTTTGTGATGTGTGCCCTCTACTGACAGAGTTGAACCTTTCTTTTCATAGAGCAGTTTTGAAACACTCTTTTTGTAGAATCTGCAAGAGGATATTTGCATAGCTTTGAGGATTTCGTGGGAAACGGGATTGTCTTCAGGTAAAATCTAGACAGAAGCATTCTCAGAAACTTCTTTGGGATGTTTGCATTCAAGTCACAAAGTAGAACATTCCCTTTGGTAGAGCAGGTTTGAAACCCTCTTTTTGTAGTATCTGGAAGTGGACATTTGGAGCGCTTTCAGGCCCATGTTGGAAAGGGAAATATCTTCCCGTAACAACTAGGCAGAAGCATTCTCAGAAACTTATTTGAGATGTGTGTACTCAACTAAGAGAATTGAACCACCGTTTTGAAGGAGCAGTTTTGAAACACTCTTTTTCTGGAATCTGCAAGAGGATATTTGCCTAGCCTTGAGGATTTCGTTGGAAACGGGATTGTCTTCAGATCAAATCTAGACAGAAGCATTCTCAGAAACTTCTTTGGGATGTTTGCATTCAAGTCACAGAGTAGAACATTCCCTTTGGTAGAGCAGGTTTGAAACACTCTTTTTTTAGTATATGGAAGTGGACATTTGGAGCGCTTTCAGGCCTACGTTGGAAAAGGAAATATCTTCCCATAACAACTAGACAGAAGCATTCTCAGAAACTAGTTTCTGATGTGTGTCCTCAACTAACACAGTTGAACATTTCTTTAGACAGAACAGTTTTGAAACACTCTTTTTGTGGAATCTGCAAGTGGCTATTTGGCTAGATTTGAGGATTTCGTTGGAAACGGGATTACATATAAAAAGCAGACAGCAGCATTCTCAGAAAGTTCTTTGTGATGATTGCATTCAAGTCACAGAATTGAACATTCCCTTTCACAGAGCAGGTTTGAAACACTCTTTTTGTAGTGTGTGTAAGTGGACATTTGGAGCACTTACCGGCCTAAGGTGAAAAAGGAAATATCTTCCCATAAAAACTAGACAGAAGCATTCTCAGAAACTTACTCGTGATGTGTGTCCTCAACTAAAGGAGTAGAACCTTTCTTTTCATAGAGAAGTTTTGAAACGCTCTTTTTGTGGAATCTGCAAGTGGATATTTGGCTAGTTTTGAGGATTTCGTTGGAAGCGGGGAATTCATACAAATTGCAGACTGCAGCATTCTCAGAAACTTATTTGAGATGTGTGTACTCAACTAAGAGAATTGAACCACCGTTTTGAAGGAGCAGTTTTGAAACACTCTTTTTCTGGAATCTGCAAGTGGATATTTGGCTAGCTTTGGGGATTTCGCTGGAAGCGGGAATACATATAAAAAGCACACAGCAGCGTTCTGAGAAACTGCTTTCTGATGTTTGCATTCAAGTCAAAAGTTGAACACTCCCTTTCATAGAGCAGTCCTGAAACACTCCTTTTGTAGTATCTGGAACTGGACTTTTGGAGCGCTTTCAGGGCTAAGGTGAAAAAGGAAATATCTTCCCATAAAAACTGGACAGAAGCATTCTCAGAAACTTGTTTATGCTGTATCTACTCAACTAACAAAGTTGAACCTTTCTTTTGATAGAGGAGTTTTGAAATGCTCTTTTTGTGGAATCTGCAAGTGGATATTTGGCTAGTTTTGAGGATTTCGTTGGAAGCGGGAATTCATACAAATTGCAGACTGCAGCATTCTCAGAAACTTATTTGAGATGAGTGTACTCAACTAAGAGAATTGAACCACCGTTTTGAAGGAGCAGTTTTGACACACTCTTTTTCTGGAATCTGCAAGTGGATATTTGGCTAGCTTTGGGGATTTCGCTGGAAGCGGGAATACATATAAAAAGCACACAGCAGCGTTCTGAGAAACTGCTTTCTGATGTTTGCATTCAAGTCAAAAGTTGAACACTCCCTTTCATAGAGCAGTCTTGAAACACCCCTTTTGTAGTATCTGGAACTGGACTTTTGGAGCGATTTCAGGGCTAAGGTGAAAAAGGAAATATCTTCCCATAAAAACTGGACAGAAGCATTCTCAGAAACTTGTTTATGCTGTATCTACTCAACTAACAAAGTTGAACCTTTCTTTTGATAGAGCAGTTTTGAAATGCTCTTTTTGTGGAATCTGCAAGTGGATATTTGGCTAGTTTTGAGGATTTCGTTGGAAGCGGGAATTCATACAAATTGCAGACTGCAGCGTTCTGAGAAACATCTTTGTGATGTTTGTATTCAGGACACAGAGTTGAACATTCCCTATCATAGAGCAGGTTGGAATCACTCCTTTTGTAGTATCTGGAAGTGGACATTTGGAGCGCTTTCAGGCCTATGTTGAAAAAGGAAATGTCTTCCCATAACAACTAGACACAAGCATTCTCAGAAACTTGTTTGTGATGTGTGCCCTCTACTGACAGAGTTGAACCTTTCTTTTCATAGAGCAGTTTTGAAACACTCTTTTTGTAGAATCTGCAAGAGGATATTTGCATAGCTTTGAGGATTTCGTGGGAAACGGGATTGTCTTCAGGTAAAATCTAGACAGAAGCATTCTCAGAAACTTCTTTGGGATGTTTGCATTCAAGTCACAGAGTAGAACATTCCCTTTGGTAGAGCAGGTTTGAAACACTCTTTTTGTAGTATCTGGAAGTGGACATTTGGAGCGCTTTCAGGCCTATGTTGGAAAGGGAAATATCTTCCCGTAACAACTAGGCAGAAGCATTCTCAGAAACTTATTTGAGATGTGTGTACTCAACTAAGAGAATTGAACCACCGTTTTGAAGGAGCAGTTTTGAAACACTCTTTTTCTGGAATCTGCAAGAGGATATTTGCCTAGCCTTGAGGATTTCGTTGGAAACGGGATTGTCTTCAGATCAAATCTAGACAGAAGCATTCTCAGAAACTTCTTTGGGATGTTTGCATTCAAGTCACAGAGTAGAACATTCCCTTTGGTAGAGCAGGTTTGAAACACTCTTTTTTTAGTATATGGAAGTGGACATTTGGAGCGCTTTCAGGCCTACGTTGGAAAAGGAAATATCTTCCCATAACAACTAGACAGAAGCATTCTCAGAAACTAGTTTCTGATGTGTGTCCTCAACTAACACAGTTGAACATTTCTTTAGACAGAACAGTTTTGAAACTCTCTTTTTGTGGAATCTGCAAGTGGCTATTTGGCTAGATTTGAGGATTTCGTTGGAAACGGGATTACATATAAAAAGCAGACAGCAGCATTCTCAGAAAGTTCTTTGTGATGATTGCATTCAAGTCACAGAATTGAACATTCCCTTTCACAGAGCAGGTTTGAAACACTCTTTTTATAGTGTGTGTAAGTGGACATTTGGAGCACTTTCCGGCCTAAGGTGAAAAAGGAAATATCTTCCCATAAAAACTAGACAGAAGCATTCTCAGAAACTTACTCGTGATGTGTGTCCTCAACTAAAGGAGTAGAACCTTTCTTTTCATAGAGAAGTTTTGAAATGTTCTTTTTGTGGAATCTGCAAGTGGATATTTGGCTAGTTTGGAGGATTTCGTTGGAAGCGGGAATTCATACAAATTGCAGACTGCAGCATTCTCAGAAACTTATTTGAGATGTGTGTACTCAACTAAGAGAATTGAACCACCGTTTTGAAGGAGCAGTTTTGAAACTCTCTTTTTCTGGAATCTGCAAGTGGATATTTGGCTAGCTTTGGGGATTTCGCTGGAAGCGGGAATACATATAAAAAGCACACAGCAGCGTTCTGAGAAACTGCTTTCTGATGTTTGCATTCAAGTCAAAAGTTGAACACTCCCTTTCATAGAGCAGTCTTGAAACACCCCTTTTGTAGTATCTGGAACTGGACTTTTGGAGCGATTTCAGGGCTAAGGTGAAAAAGGAAATATCTTCCCATAAAAACTGGACAGAAGCATTCTCAGAAACTTGTTTATGCTGTATCTACTCAACTAACAAAGTTGAACCTTTCTTTTGATAGAGCAGTTTTGAAATGGTCTTTTTGTGGAATCTGCAAGTGGATATTTGGCTAGTTTTTAGGATTTCGTTGGAAGCGGGAATTCATACAAATTGCAGACTGCAGCGTTCTGAGAAACATCTTTGTGATGTTTGTATTCAGGACAGAGAGTTGAACATTCCCTATCATAGAGCAGGTTGGAATCACTCCTTTTGTAGTATCTGGAAGTGGACATTTGGAGCGCTTTCAGGCCTATGTTGAAAAAGGAAATATCTTCCCATAACAACTAGACACAAGCATTCTCAGAAACTTGTTTGTGATGTGTGCCCTCTACTGACAGAGTTGAATCTTTCTTTTCATAGAGCAGTTTTGAAACACTCTTTTTGTAGAATCAGCAAGAGGATATTTGCATAGCTTTGAGGATTTCGTGGGAAACGGGATTGTCTTCAGGTAAAATCTAGACAGAAGCATTCTCAGAAACTTCTTTGGGATGTTTGCATTCAAGTCACAGAGTAGAACATTCCCTTTGGTAGAGCAGGTTTGAAACACTCTTTTTGTAGTATCTGGAAGTGGACATTTGGAGCGCTTTCAGGCCTATGTTGGAAAGGGAAATATCTTCCGGTAACAACTAGGCAGAAGCATTCTCAGAAACTTATTTGAGATGTGTGTACTCAACTAAGAGAATTGAACCACCGTTTTGAAGGAGCAGTTTTGAAACACTCTTTTTCTGGAATCTGCAAGAGGATATTTGCCTAGCTTTGAGGATTTCGTTGGAAACGGGATTGTGTTCAGATCAAATCTAGACAGAAGCATTCTCAGAAACTTCTTTGGGATGTTTGCATTCAAGTCACAGAGTAGAACATTCCCTTTGGTAGAGCAGGTGTGAAACACTCTTTTTTTAGTATATGGAAGTGGACATTTGGAGCGCTTTCAGGCCTACTTTGGAAAACGAAATATCTTCCCATAACAACTAGACAGAAGCATTCTCAGAAACTAGTTTCTGATGTGTGTCCTCAACTAACACAGTTGAACATTTCTTTAGACAGAACAGTTTTGAAACTCTCTTTTTGTGGAATCTGCAAGTGGCTATTTGGCTAGATTTGAGGATTTCGTTGGAAACGGGATTACATATAAAAAGCAGACACCAGCATTCTCAGAAAGTTCTTTGTGATGATTGCATTCAAGTCACAGAATTGAACATTCCCTTTCACAGAGCAGGTTTGAAACACTCTTTTTGTAGTGTGTGTAAGTGGACATTTGGAGCACTTTCCGGCCTAAGGTGAGAAAGGAAATATCTTCCCATAAAAACTAGACAGAAGCATTCTCAGAAACTTACTCGTGATGTGTGTCCTCAACTAAAGGAGTAGAACCTTTCTTTCGCAGAGAAGTTTTGAAACGCTCTTTTTGTGGAATCTGCAAGTGGATATTTGGCTAGTTTTGAGGATTTCGTTGGAAGCGGGAATTCATACAAATTGCAGACTGCAGCGTTCTGAGAAACATCTTTGTGATGTTTGTATTCAGGACACAGAGTTGAACATTCCCTATCATAGAGCAGGTTGGAATCACTCCTTTTGTAGTATCTGGAAGTGGACATTTGGAGCGCTTTCAGGCCTATGTTGGAAAAGGAAATATCTTCCCATAACAACTAGACAGAAGCATTCTCAGAAACTTATTTGAGATGTGTGTACTCAACTAAGAGAATTGAACCACCGTTTTGAAGGAGCAGTTTTGAAACACTCTTTTTCTGGAATCTGCAAGTGGATATTTGGCTAGCTTTGGGGAATTCGCTGGAAGCGGGAATACATATAAAAAGCACACAGCAGCATTCTCAGAAAGTTCTTTGTGATGATTGCATTCAAGTCACAGAATTGAACATTCCCTTTCACAGAGCAGGTTTGAAACACTCTTTTTGTAGTGTGTGTAAGTGGACATTTGGAGCGCTTTCCGACCTAAGGTGAAAAAGGAAATATCTTCCCATAAAAACTGGACAGAAGCATTCTCAGAAACTTGTTTATGCTGTATCTACTCAACTAACAAAGTTGAACCTTTCTTTTGATAGAGCAGTTTTGAAATGCTCTTTTTGTGGAATCTGCAAGTGGATATTTGGCTAGTTTTGAGGATTTCGTTGGAAGCGGGAATTCATACAAATTGCAGACTGCAGCGTTCTGAGAAACATCTTTGTGATGTTTGTATTCAAGACACAGAGATGAACATTCCCTATCATAGAGCATGTTGGAATCACTCCTTTTGTACTATCTGGAAGTGGACATTTGGAGCGCTTTCAGGCCTATGTTGAAAACGGAAATATTTTCCCATAACAACTAGACACAAGCATTCTCAGAAACTTGTTGGTGATGTGTGTCCTCTACTGACAGAGTTGAACCTTTCTTTTCATAGAGCAGTTTCGAAACACTCTTTTTGTAGAATCTGCAAGAGGATATTTGCATAGCTCTGAGGATTTCGTGGGAAACGGGATTGTCTTCAGGTAAAATCTAGACAGAAGCATTCTCAGAAACTTCTTCGGGATGTTTGCATTCAAGTCACAGAGTAGAACATTCCCTTTGGTAGAGCAGGTTTGAAACACTCTTTTTGTCGTATCTGGAAGTGGACATTTGTTGCGCTTTCAGGCCTATGTTGGAAAGGGAAATATCTTCCCGTAACAACTAGGCAGAAGCATTCTCAGAAACTTATTTGAGATGTGTGTACTCAACTAAGAGAATTGAACCACCGTTTTGAAGGAGCAGTTTGGAAACACTCTTTTTCTGGAATCTGCAAGAGGATATTTGCCTAGCTTTGAGGATTTCGTTGGAAAAGGGATTGTCTTCAGATCAAATCTAGACAGAAAGCATTCTCAGAAACTTCTTTGGGATGTTTGCATTCAAGTCACAGAGTAGAACATTCCTTTGGTAGAGCAGGTTTGAAACACTCTTTTTTTAGTATATGGAAGTGGACATTTGGAGCGCTTTCAGGCCTACGTTGGAAAAGGAAATATCTTCCCATAACAACTAGACAGAAGCATTCTCAGAAACTAGTTTCTGATGTGTGTCCTCAACTAACACAGTTGAACATTTCTTTAGACAGAACAGTTTTGAAACACTCTTTTTGTGGAATCTGCAAGTGGATATTTGGCTAGATTTGAGGATTTCGTTGGAAACGGGATTACATATAAAAAGCAGACAGCAGCATTCTCAGAAACTTCTTTGTGATGATTGCATTCAAGTCACAGAATTGAACATTCCCTTTCACAGAGCAGGTTTGAAACACTCTTTTTGTAGTGTGTGTAAGTGGACATTTGGAGCGCTTTCCGGCCTAAGGTGAACAAGGAAATATCTTCCCATAAAAACTAGACAGAAGCATTCTCAGAAACTTACTCGTGATGTGTGTCCTCAACTAAAGGAGTAGAACCTTTCTTTTCATAGAGAAGTTTTGAAACGCTCTTTTTGTGGAATCTGCAAGTGGATATTTGGCTAGTTTGGAGGATTTCGTTGGAAGCGGGAATTCATACAAGATGCAGACTGCAGCGTTCTGAGAAACATCTTTGTGATGTTTGTATTCAGGACACAGAGTTGAACATTCCCTATCATAGAGCAGGTTGGAATCACTCCTTTTGTAGTATCTGGAAGTGGACATTTGGAGCGCTTTCAGGCCTATGTTGGAAAAGGAAATATCTTCCCATAACAACTAGACAGAAGCATTCTCAGAAACTTATTTGAGATGTGTGTACTCAACTAAGAGAATTGAACCACCGTTTTGAAGGAGCAGTTTTGAAACTCTCTTTTTCTGGAATCTGCAAGTGGATATTTGGCTAGCTTTGGGGATTTCGCTGGAAGCGGGAATACATATAAAAAGCACACAGCAGCGTTCTGAGAAACTGCTTTCTGATGTTTGCATTCAAGTCAAAAGTTGAACACTCCCTTTCATAGAGCAGTCTTGAAACACCCCTTTTGTAGTATCTGGAACTGGACTTTTGGAGCGATTTCAGGGCTAAGGTGAAAAAGGAAATATCTTCCCATAAAAACTGGACAGAAGCATTCTCAGAAACTTGGTTATGCTGTATCTACTCAACTAACAAAGTTGAACCTTTCTTTTGATAGAGCAGTTTTGAAATGGTCTTTTTGTGGAATCTGCAAGTGGATATTTGGCTAGTTTTGAGGATTTCGTTGGAAGCGGGAATTCATACAAATTGCAGACTGCAGCGTTCTGAGAAACATCTTTGTGATGTTTGTATTCAGGACACAGAGTTGAACATTCCCTATCATAGAGCAGGTTGGAATCACTCCTTTTGTAGTATCTGGAAGTGGACATTTGGAGCGCTTTCAGGCCTATTTTGGAAAGGGAAATATCTTCCCGTAACAACTATGCAGAAGCATTCTCAGAAACTTGTTTGTGATGTGTGCCCTCTACTGACAGAGTTGAACCTTTCTTTTCATAGAGCAGTTTTGAAACACTCTTTTTGTAGAATCTGCAAGAGGATATTTGCATAGCTTTGAGGATTTCGTGGGAAACGGGATTGTCTTCAGGTAAAATCTAGACAGAAGCATTCTCAGAAACTTCTTTGGGATGTTTGCATTCAAGTCACAGAGTAGAACATTCCCTTTGGTAGAGCAGGTTTGAAACACTCTTTTTGTAGTATCTGGAAGTGGACATTTGGAGCGCTTTCAGGCCCATGTTGGAAAGGGAAATATCTTCCCGTAACAACTAGGCAGAAGCATTCTCAGAAACTTATTTGAGATGTGTGTACTCAACTAAGAGAATTGAACCACCGTTTTGAAGGAGCAGTTTTGAAACACTCTTTTTCTGGAATCTGCAAGAGGATATTTGCCTAGCCTTGAGGATTTCGTTGGAAACGGGATTGTCTTCAGATCAAATCTAGACAGAAGCATTCTCAGAAACTTCTTTGGGATGTTTGCATTCAAGTCACAGAGTAGAACATTCCCTTTGGTAGAGCAGGTTTGAAACACTCTTTTTTTAGTATATGGAAGTGGACATTTGGAGCGCTTTCCGGCCTACGTTGGAAAAGGAAATATCTTCCCATAACAACTAGACAGAAGCATTCTCAGAAACTAGTTTCTGATGTGTGTCCTCAACTAACACAGTTGAACATTTCTTTAGACAGAACAGTTTTGAAACACTCTTTTTGTGGAATCTGCAAGTGGCTATTTGGCTAGATTTGAGGATTTCGTTGGAAAGGGGATTACATATAAAAAGCAGACAGCAGCATTCTCAGAAAGTTCTTTGTGATGATTGCATTCAAGTCACAGAATTGAACATTCCCTTTCACAGAGCAGGTTTGAAACACTCTTTTTGTAGTGTGTGTAAGTGGACATTTGGAGCACTTTACCGGCCTAAGGTGAAAAAGGAAATATCTTCCCATAAAAACTAGACAGAAGCATTCTCAGAAACTTACTCGTGATGTGTGTCCTCAACTAAAGGAGTAGAACCTTTCTTTTCATAGAGAAGTTTTGAAACGCTCTTTTTGTGGAATCTGCAAGTGGATATTTGGCTAGTTTTGAGGATTTCGTTGGAAGCGGGAATTCATACAAATTGCAGACTGCAGCGTTCTGAGAAACATCTTTGTGATGTTTGTATTCAGGACACAGAGTTGAACATTCCCTATCATAGAGCAGGTTGGGATCACTCCTTTTGTAGTATCTGGAAGTGGACATTTGGAGCGCTTTCAGGCCTATGTTGAAAAAGGAAAAATCTTCCCATAACAACTAGACAGAAGCATTCTCAGAAACTTGTTGGTGATGTGTTTCCTCTACTGACAGAGTTGAACCTTTCTTTTCATAGAGCAGTTTCGAAACACTCTTTTTGTAGAATCTGCAAGAGGATATTTGCATAGCTCTGAGGATTTCGTGGGAAACGGGATTGTCTTCAGGTAAAATCTAGACAGAAGCATTCTCAGAAACTTCTTCGGGATGTTTGCATTCAAGTCACAGAGTAGAACATTCCCTTTGGTAGAGCAGGTTTGAAACACTCTTTTTGTCGTATCTGGAAGTGGACATTTGTTGCGCTTTCAGGCCTATGTTGGAAAGGGAAATATCTTCCCGTAACAACTAGGCAGAAGCATTCTCAGAAACTTATTTGAGATGTGTGTACTCAACTAAGAGAATTGAACCACCGTTTTGAAGGAGCAGTTTGGAAACACTCTTTTTCTGGAATCTGCAAGAGGATATTTGCCTAGCTTTGAGGATTTCGTTGGAAAAGGGATTGTCTTCAGATCAAATCTAGACAGAAGCATTCTCAGAAACTTCTTTGGGATGTTTGCATTCAAGTCACAGAGTAGAACATTCCTTTGGTAGAGCAGGTTTGAAACACTCTTTTTTTAGTATATGGAAGTGGACATTTGGAGCGCTTTCAGGCCTACGTTGGAAAAGGAAATATCTTCCCATAACAACTAGACAGAAGCATTCTCAGAAACTAGTTTCTGATGTGTGTCCTCAACTGACACAGTTGAACATTTGTTTAGACAGAACAGTTTTGAAACACTCTTTTTGTGGAATCTGCAAGTGGATATTTGGCTAGATTTGAGGATTTCGTTGGAAACGGGATTACATATAAAAAGCAGACAGCAGCATTCTCAGAAACTTCTTTGTGATGATTGCATTCAAGTCACAGAATTGAACATTCCCTTTCACAGAGCAGGTTTGAAACACTCTTTTTGTAGTGTGTGTAAGTGGACATTTGGAGCGCTTTCCGGCCTAAGGTGAACAAGGAAATATCTTCCCATAAAAACTAGACAGAAGCATTCTCAGAAACTTACTCGTGATGTGTGTCCTCAACTAAAGGAGTAGAACCTTTCTTTTCATAGAGAAGTTTTGAAACGCTCTTTTTGTGGAATCTGCAAGTGGATATTTGGCTAGTTTGGAGGATTTCGTTGGAAGTGGGAATTCATACAAGATGCAGACTGCAGCGTTCTGAGAAACATCTTTGTGATGTTTGTATTCAGGACACAGAGTTGAACATTCCCTATCATAGAGCAGGTTTGAATCACTCCTTTTGTAGTATCTGGAAGTGGACATTTGGAGCGCTTTCAGGCCTATGTTGGAAAAGGAAATATCTTCCCATAACAACTAGACAGAAGCATTCCCAGAAACTTATTTGAGATGTGTGTACTCAACTAAGAGAATTGAACCACCGTTTTGAAGGAGCAGTTTGGAAACACTCTTTTTCTGGAATCTGCAAGTGGATATTTGGCTAGCTTTGGGGATTTCGCTGGAAGCGGGAATACATATAAAAAGCACACAGCAGCGTTCTGAGAAACTGCTTTCTGATGTTTGCATTCAAGTCAAAAGTTGAACACTCCCTTTCATAGAGCAGTCTTGAAACACCCCTTTTGTAGTATCTGGAACTGGAAATTTGGAGCGCCTTCAGGGCTAAGGTGAAAAAGGAAATATCTTCCCATAAAAACTGGACAGAAGCATTCTCAGAAACTTGTTTATGCTGTATCTACTCAACTAACAAAGTTGAACCTTTCTTTTGATAGAGCAGTTTTGAAATGCTCTTTTTGTGGAATCTGCAAGTGGATATTTGGCTAGTTTTGAGGATTTCGTTGGAAGCGGGAATTCATACAAATTGCAGACTGCAGCGTTCTGAGAAACATCTTTGTGATGTTTGTATTCAGGACAGAGAGTTGAACATTCCCTATCATAGAGCAGGTTGGAATCACTCCTTTTGTAGTATCTGGAAGTGGACATTTGGAGCGCTTTCTGGCCTATGTTGAAAAAGGAAATATCTTCCCATAACAACTAGACACAAGCATTCTCAGAAACTTGTTTGTGATGTGTGCCCTCTACTGACAGAGTTGAACCTTTCTTTTCATAGAGCAGTTTTGAAACACTCTTTTTGTAGAATCTGCAAGAGGATATTTGCATAGCTTTGAGGATTTCGTGGGAAACGGGATTGTCTTCAGGTAAAATCTAGACAGAAGCATTCTCAGAAACTTCTTTGGGATGTTTGCATTCAAGTCACAGAGTAGAACATTCCCTTTGGTAGAGCAGGTTTGAAACACTCTTTTTGTAGTATCTGGAAGTGGACATTTGGAGCGCTTTCAGGCCTATGTTGGAAAAGGAAATATCTTCCCGTAACAACTAGGCAGAAGCATTCTCAGAAACTTATTTGAGATGTGTGTACTCAACTAAGAGAATTGAACCACCGTTTTGAAGGAGCAGTTTTGAAACACTCTTTTTCTGGAATCTGCAAGAGGATATTTGCCTAGCCTTGAGGATTTCGTTGGAAACGGGATTGTCTTCAGATCAAATCTAGACAGAAGCATTCTCAGAAACTTCTTTGGGATGTTTGCATTCAAGTCACAGAGTAGAACATTCCCTTTGGTAGAGCAGGTTTGAAACACTCTTTTTTTAGTATATAGAAGTGGACATTTGGAGCGCTTTCAGGCTTACGTTGGAAAAGGAAATATCTTCCCATAACAACTAGACAGAAGCATTCTCAGAAACTAGTTTCTGATGTGTGTCCTCAACTAACACAGTTGAACATTTCTTTAGACAGAACAGTTTTGAAACACTCTTTTTGTGGAATCTGCAAGTGGCTATTTGGCTAGATTTGAGGATTTCGTTGGAAACGGGATTACATATAAAAAGCAGACAGCAGCATTCTCAGAAAGTTCTTTGTGATGATTGCATTCAAGTCACAGAATTGAACATTCCCTTTCACAGAGCAGGTTTGAAACACTCTTTTTGTAGTGTGTGTAAGTGGACATTTGGAGCACTTTCCGGCCTAAGGTGAAAAAGGAAATATCTTCCCTTAAAAACTAGACAGAAGCATTCTCAGAAACTTACTCGTGATGTGTGTCCTCAACTAAAGGAGTAGAACCTTTCTTTTCATAGAGAAGTTTTGAAACGCTCTTTTTGTGGAATCTGCAAGTGGATATTTGGCTAGTTTGGAGGATTTCGTTGGAAGCGGGAATTCATACAAATTGCAGACTGCAGCGTTCTGAGAAACATCTTTGTGATGTTTGTATTCAGGACACAGAGTTGAACATTCCCTATCATAGAGCAGGTTGGAATCACTCCTTTTGTAGTATCTGGAAGTGGACATTTGGAGCGCTTTCAGGCCTATGTTGGAAAAGGAAATATCTTCCCATAACAACTAGACAGAAGCATTCTCAGAAACTTATTTGAGATGTGTGTACTCAACTAAGAGAATTGAACCACCGTTTTGAAGGAGCAGTTTTGAAACACTCTTTTTCTGGAATCTGCAAGTGGATATTTGGCTAGCTTTGGGGACTTCGCTGGAGGCGGGAATACATATAAAAAGCACACAGCAGCGTTCTGAGAAACTGCTTTCTGATGTTTGCATTCAAGTCAAAAGTTGAACACTCCCTTTCATAGAGCAGTCCTGAAACACTCCTTTTGTAGTATCTGGAACTGGACTTTTGGAGCGCTTTCAGGGCTAAGGTGAAAAAGGAAATATCTTCCCATAAAAACTGGACAGAAGCATTCTCAGAAACTTGTTTATGCTGTATCTACTCAACTAACAAATTTGAACCTTTCTTTTGATAGAGCAGTTTTGAAATGCTCTTTTTGTGGAATCTGCAAGTGGATATTTGGCTAGTTTTGAGGATTTCGTTGGAAGCGGGAATTCATACAAATTGCAGACTGCAGCGTTCTGAGAAACATCTTTGTGGTGTTTGTATTCAGGACAGAGAGTTGAACATTCCCTATCATAGAGCAGGTTGGAATCACTCCTTTTGTAGTATCTGGAAGTGGACATTTGGAGCGCTTTCAGGCCTATGTTGAAAAAGGAAATATCTTCCCATAACAACTAGACACAAGCATTCTCAGAAACTTATTTGAGATGTGTGTACTCAACTAAGAGAATTGAACCACCGTTTTGAAGGAGCAGTTTTGAAACTCTCTTTTTCTGGAATCTGCAAGTGGATATTTGGCTAGCTTTGGGGATTTCGCTGGAAGCGGGAATACATATAAAAAGCACACAGCAGCGTTCTGAGAAACTGCTTTCTGATGTTTGCATTCAAGTCAAAAGTTGAACACTCCCTTTCATAGAGCAGTCCTGAAACACCCCTTTTGTAGTATCTGGAACTGGACTTTTGGAGCGATTTCAGGGCTAAGGTGAAAAAGGAAATATCTTCCCATAAAAACTGGACAGAAGCATTCTCAGAAACTTGTTTATGCTGTATCTACTCAACTAACAAAGTTGAACCTTTCTTTTGATAGAGCAGTTTTGAAATGGTCTTTTTGTGGAATCTGCAAGTGGATATTTGGCTAGTTTTGAGGATTTCGTTGGAAGCGGGAATTCATACAAATTGCAGACTGCAGCGTTCTGAGAAACATCTTTGTGATGTTTGTATTCAGGACACAGAGTTGAACATTCCCTATCATAGAGCAGGTTGGAATCACTCCTTTTGTAGTATCTGGAAGTGGACATTTGGAGCGCTTTCAGGCCTATTTTGGAAAGGGAAATATCTTCCCGTAACAACTATGCAGAAGCATTCTCAGAAACTTGTTTGTGATGTGTGCCCTCTACTGACAGAGTTGAACCTTTCTTTTCATAGAGCACTTTTGAAACACTCTTTTTGTAGAATCTGCAAGAGGATATTTGCATAGCTTTGAGGATTTCGTGGGAAACGGGATTGTCTTCAGGTAAAATCTAGACAGAAGCATTCTCAGAAACTTCTTTGGGATGTTTGCATTCAAGTCACAGAGTAGAACATTCCCTTTGGTAGAGCAGGTTTGAAACACTCTTTTTGTAGTATCTGGAAGTGGACATTTGGAGCGCTTTCAGGCCCATGTTGGAAAGGGAAATATCTTCCCGTAACAACTAGGCAGAAGCATTCTCAGAAACTTATTTGAGATGTGTGTACTCAACTAAGAGAATTGAACCACCGTTTTGAAGGAGCAGTTTTGAAACACTCTTTTTCTGGAATCTGCAAGAGTATATTTGCCTAGCCTTGAGGATTTCGTTGGAAACGGGATTGTCTTCAGAGAAAATCTAGACAGAAGCATTCTCAGAAACTTCTTTGGGATGTTTGCATTCAAGTCACAGAGTAGAACATTCCCTTTGGTAGAGCAGGTTTGAAACACTCTTTTTTTAGTATATGGAAGTGGACATTTGGATCGCTTTCAGGCCTACGTTGGAAAAGGAAATATCTTCCCATAACAACTAGACAGAAGCATTCTCAGAAACTAGTTTCTGATGTGTGTCCTCAACTAACACAGTTGAACATTTCTTTAGACAGAACAGTTTTGAAACACTCTTTTTGTGGAATCTGCAAGTGGCTATTTGGCTAGATTTGAGGATTTCGTTGGAAACGGGATTACATATAAAAAGCAGTCAGCAGCATTCTCAGAAAGTTCTTTGTGATGATTGCATTCAAGTCACAGAATTGAACATTCCCTTTCACAGAGCAGGTTTGAAACACTCTTTTTGTAGTGTGTGTAAGTGGACATTTGGAGCACTTACCGGCCTAAGGTGAAAAAGGAAATATCTTCCCATAAAAACTAGACAGAAGCATTCTCAGAAACTTACTCGTGATGTGTGTCCTCAACTAAAGGAGTAGAACCTTTCTTTTCATAGAGAAGTTTTGAAACGCTCTTTTTGTGGAATCTGCAAGTGGATATTTGGCTAGTTTTGAGGATTTCGTTGGAAGCGGGAATTCATACAAATTGCAGACTGCAGCGTTCTGAGAAACATCTTTGTGATGTTTGTATTCAGGACACAGAGTTGAACATTCCCTATCATAGAGCAGGTTGGAATCACTCCTTTTGTAGTATCTGGAAGTGGACATTTGGAGCGCTTTCAGGCCTATGTTGGAAAAGGAAATATCTTCCCATAACAACTAGACAGAAGCATTCTCAGAAACTTATTTGAGATGTGTGTACTCAACTAAGAGAATTGAACCACCGTTTTGAAGGAGCAGTTTTGAAACTCTCTTTTTCTGGAATCTGCAAGTGGATATTTGGCTAGCTTTGGGGATTTCGCTGGAAGCGGGAATACATATAAAAAGCACACAGCAGCGTTCTGAGAAACTGCTTTCTGATGTTTGCATTCAAGTCAAAAGTTGAACACTCCCTTTCATAGAGCAGTCTTGAAACACCCCTTTTGTAGTATCTGGAACTGGACTTTTGGAGCGATTTCAGGGCTAAGGTGAAAAAGGAAATATCTTCCCATAAAAACTGGACAGAAGCATTCTCAGAAACTTGTTTATGCTGTATCTACTCAACTAACAAAGTTGAACCTTTCTTTTGATAGAGCAGTTTTGAAATGGTCTTTTTGTGGAATCTGCAAGTGGATATTTGGCTAGTTTTGAGGATTTCGTTGGAAGCGGGAATTCATACAAATTGCAGACTGCAGCGTTCTGAGAAACATCTTTGTGATGTTTGTATTCAGGACACAGAGTTGAACATTCCCTATCATAGAGCAGGTTGGAATCACTCCTTTTGTAGTATCTGGAAGTGGACATTTGGAGCGCTTTCAGGCCTATTTTGGAAAGGGAAATATCTTCCCGTAACAACTATGCAGAAGCATTCTCAGAAACTTGTTTGTGATGTGTGCCCTCTACTGACAGAGTTGAACCTTTCTTTTCATAGAGCAGTTTTGAAACACTCTTTTTGTAGAATCTGCAAGAGGATATTTGCATAGCTTTGAGGATTTCGTGGGAAACGGGATTGTCTTCAGGTAAAATCTAGACAGAAGCATTCTCAGAAACTTCTTTGGGATGTTTGCATTCAAGTCACAGAGTAGAACATTCCCCTTTGGTAGAGCAGGTTTGAAACACTCTTTTTGTAGTATCTGGAAGTGGACATTTGGAGCGCTTTCAGGCCCATGTTGGAAAGGGAAATATCTTCCCGTAACAACTAGGCAGAAGCATTCTCAGAAACGTATTTGAGATGTGTGGACTCAACGAAGAGATTTGAACCACCGTTTTGAAGGAGCAGTTTTGAAACACTCTTTTTCTGGAATCTGCAAGAGTATATTTGCCTAGCCTTGAGGATTTCGTTGGAAACGGGATTGTCTTCACATAAAATCTAGACAGAAGCATTCTCAGAAACTTCTTTGGGATGTTTGCATTCAAGTCACAGAGTAGAACATTCCCTTTGGTAGAGCAGGTTTGAAACACTCTTTTTGTAGTGTGTGTAAGTGGACATTTGGAGCGCTTTCTGGCCTACGTTGGAAAAGGAAATATCTTCCCATAACAACTAGACAGAAGCATTCTCAGAAACTAGTTTCTGATGTGTGTCCTCAACTAACACAGTTGAACATTTCTTTAGACAGAACAGTTTTGAAACACTCTTTTTGTGGAATCTGCAAGTGGATATTTGGCTAGATTTGAGGATTTCGTTGGAAACGGGATTACATATAAAAAGCAGACAGCAGCATTCTCAGAAACTTCTTTGTGATGATTGCATTCAAGTCACAGAATTGAACATTCCTTTTCACAGAGCAGGTTTGAAACACTCTTTTTCTAGTGTGTGTAAGTGGACATTTGGAGCGCTTTCCGGCCTAAGGTGAACAAGGAAATATCTTCCCATAAAAACTAGACAGAAGCATTCTCAGAAACTTACTCGTGATGTGTGTCCTCAACTAAAGGAGTAGAACCTTTCTTTTCATAGAGAAGTTTTGAAACGCTCTTTTTGTGGAATCTGCAAGTGGATATTTGGCTAGTTTGGAGGATTTCGTTGGAAGCCGGAATTCATACAAATTGCAGACCGCAGCGTTCTGAGAAACATCTTTGTGATGTTTGTATTCAGGACACAGAGTTGAACATTCCCTATCATAGAGCAGGTTGGAATCACTCCTTTTGTAGTATCTGGAAGTGGACATTTGGAGCGCTTTCAGGCCTATGTTGGAAAAGGAAATATCTTCCCATAACAACTAGACAGAAGCATTCTCAGAAACTTATTTGAGATGTGTGTACTCAACTAAGAGAATTGAACCACCGTTTTGAAGGAGCAGTTTTGAAACACTCTTTTTCTGGAATCTGCAAGTGGATATTTGGCTAGCTTTGGGGATTTCGCTGGAAGCGGGAATACATATAAAAAGCACACAGCAGCGTTCTGAGAAACTGCTTTCTGATGTTTGCATTCAAGTCAAAAGTTGAACACTCCCTTTCATAGAGCAGTCTTGAAACACCCCTTTTGTAGTATCGGGAACTGGACATTTGGAGCGCTTTCAGGGCTAAGGTGAAAAAGGAAATATCTTCCCATAAAAACTGGACAGAAGCATTCTCAGAAACTTGTTTATGCTGTATCTACTCAACTAACAAAGTTGAACCTTTCTTTTGATAGAGCAGTTTTGAAATGCTCTTTTTGTGGAATCTGCAAGTGGATATTTGGCTAGGTTTGAGGATTTCGTTGGAAGCGGGAATTCATACAAATTGCAGACTGCAGCGTTCTGAGAAACATCTTTGTGATGTTTGTATTCAGGACACAGAGTTGAACATTCCCTATCATAGAGCAGGTTGGAATCACTCCTTTTGTACTATCTGGAAGTGGACATTTGGAGCGCTTTCAGGCCTATGTTGAAAAAGGAAATATCTTCCCATAACAACTAGGCAGAAGCATTCTCAGAAACTTGTTTGTGATGTGTGCCCTCTACTGACACAGTTGATCCTTTCTTTTCATAGAGCAGTTTCGAAACACACTTTTTGTAGAATCTGCAAGAGGATATTTGCATAGCTTTGAGGATTTCGTGGGAAACGGGATTGTCTTCAGATCAAATCTAGACAGAAGCATTCTCAGAAACTTCTTTGGGATGTTTGCATTCAAGTCACAGAGTAGAACATTCACTTTGGTAGAGCAGGTTTGAAACACTCTTTTTGTAGTGTGTGTAAGTGGACATTTGGAGCGCTTTCAGGCCTACGTTGGAAAAGGAAATATCTTCCCATAACAACTAGACAGAAGCATTCTCAGAAACAAGTTTCTGATGTGTGTCCTCAACTAACACAGTTGAACATTTCTTTAGACAGAACAGTTTTGAAACACTCTTTTTGTGGAATCTGCAAGTGGATATTTGGCTAGATTTGAGGATTTCGTTGGAAACGGGATTACATATAAAAAGCAGACAGCAGCATTCTCAGAAACTTCTTTGTGATGATTGCATTCAAGTCACAGAATTGAACATTCCCTTTCACAGAGCAGGTTTGAAACACTCTTTTTGTAGTGTGTGTAAGTGGACATTTGGAGCGCTTTCCGGCCTAAGGTGAACAAGGAAATATCTTCCCATAAAAACTAGACAGAAGCATTCTCAGAAACTTACTCGTGATGTGTGTCCTCAACTAAAGGAGTAGAACCTTTCTTTTCATAGAGAAGTTTTGAAACGCTCTTTTTGTGGAATCTGCAAGTGGATATTTGGCTAGTTTGGAGGATTTCGTTGGAAGCGGGAATTCATACAAATTGCAGACTGCAGCGTTCTGAGAAACATCTTTGTGATGTTTGTATTCAGGACACAGAGTTGAACGTTCCCTATAATAGAGCAGGTTGGAATCACTCCTTTTGTAGTATCTGGAAGTGGACATTTGGAGCGCTTTCAGGCCTATGTTGAAAAAGGAAATATCTTCCCATAACAACTAGACAGAAGCATTCTCAGAAACTTATTTGAGATGTGTGTACTCAACTAAGAGAATTGAACCACCGTTTTGAAGGAGCAGTTTTGAAACACTCTTTTTCTGGAATCTGCAAGTGGATATTTGGCTAGCTTTGGGGATTTCGCTGGAAGCGGGAATACATATAAAAAGCACACAGCAGCGTTCTGAGAAACTGCTTTCTGATGTTTGCATTCAAGTCAAAAGTTGAACACTCCCTTTCATAGAGCAGTCTTGAAACACCCCTTTTGTAGTATCTGGAACTGGACTTTTGGAGCGATTTCAGGGCTAAGGTGAAAAAGGAAATATCTTCCCATAAAAACTGGACAGAAGCATTCTCAGAAACTTGTTTATGCTGTATCTACTCAACTAACAAAGTTGAACCTTTCTTTTGATAGAGCAGTTTTGAAATGGTCTTTTTGTGGAATCTGCAAGTGGATATTTGGCTAGTTTTGAGGATTTCGTTGGAAGCGGGAATTCATACAAATTGCAGACTGCAGCGTTCTGAGAAACATCTTTGTGATGTTTGTATTCAGGACACAGAGTTGAACATTCCCTATCATAGAGCAGGTTGGAATCACTCCTTTTGTAGTATCTGGAAGTGGACATTTGGAGCGCTTTCAGGCCTATTTTGGAAAGGGAAATATCTTCCCGTAACAACTATGCAGAAGCATTCTCAGAAACTTGTTTGTGATGTGTGCCCTCTACTGACAGAGTTGAACCTTTCTTTTCATAGAGCAGTTTTGAAACACTCTTTTTGTAGAATCTGCAAGAGGATATTTGCATAGCTTTGAGGATTTCGTGGGAAACGGGATTGTCTTCAGGTAAAATCTAGACAGAAGCATTCTCAGAAACTTCTTTGGGATGTTTGCATTCAAGTCACAGAGTAGAACATTCCCTTTGGTAGAGCAGGTTTGAAACACTCTTTTTGTAGTATCTGGAAGTGGACATTTGGAGCGCTTTCAGGCCCATGTTGGAAAGGGAAATATCTTCCCGTAACAACTAGGCAGAAGCATTCTCAGAAACTTATTTGAGATGTGTGTACTCAACTAAGAGAATTGAACCACCGTTTTGAAGGAGCAGTTTTGAAACACTCTTTTTCTGGAATCTGCAAGAGGATATTTGCCTAGCCTTGAGGATTTCGTTGGAAACGGGATTGTCTTCAGAGAAAATCTAGACAGAAGCATTCTCAGAAACTTCTTTGGGATGCTTGCATTCAAGTCACAGAGTAGAACATTCCCTTTGGTAGAGCAGGTTTGAAACACTCTTTTTGTAGTATCTGGAAGTGGACATTTGGAGCGCTTTCAGGCCTACGTTGGAAAAGGAAATATCTTCCCATAACAACTAGACAGAAGCATTCTCAGAAACTAGTTTCTGATGTGTGTCCTCAACTAACACAGTTGAACATTTCTTTAGACAGAACAGTTTTGAAACACTCTTTTTGTGGAATCTGCAAGTGGCTATTTGGCTAGATTTGAGGATTTCGTTGGAAACGGGATTACATATAAAAAGCAGTCAGCAGCATTCTCAGAAAGTTCTTTGTGATGATTGCATTCAAGTCACAGAATTGAACATTCCCTTTCACAGAGCAGGTTTGAAACACTCTTTTTGTAGTGTGTGTAAGTGGACATTTGGAGCACTTACCGGCCTAAGGTGAAAAAGGAAATAATCTTCCCATAAAAACTAGACAGAAGCACTCTCAGCAAACTTACTCGTGATGTGTGTCCTCAACTAAAGGAGTAGAACCTTTCTTTTCATAGAGAAGTTTTGAAACGCTCTTTTTGTGGAATCTGCAAGTGGATATTTGGCTAGTTTGGAGGATTTCGTTGGAAGCGGGAATTCATACAAATTGCAGACTGCAGCGTTCTGAGAAACATCTTTGTGATGTTTGTATTCAGGACACAGAGTTGAACATTCCCTATCATAGAGCAGGTTTGAATCACTCCTTTTGTAGTATCTGGAAGTGGACATTTGGAGCGCTTTCAGGCCTATGTTGGAAAAGGAAATATCTTCCCATAACAACTAGACAGAAGCATTCTCAGAAACTTATTTGAGATGTGTGTACTCAACTAAGAGAATTGAACCACCGTTTTGAAGGAGCAGTTTTGAAACACTCTTTTTCTGGAATCTGCAAGTGGATATTTGGCTAGCTTTGGGGATTTCGCTGGAAGCGGGAATACATATAAAAACCACACAGCAGCGTTCTGAGAAACTGCTTTCTGATGTTTGCATTCAAGTCAAAAGTTGAACACTCCCTTTCATAGAGCAGTCCTGAAACACTCCTTTTGTAGTATCTGGAACTGGACTTTTGGAGCGCTTTCAGGGCTAAGGTGAAAAAGGAAATATCTTCCCATAAAAACTGGACAGAAGCATTCTCAGAAACTTGTTTATGCTGTATCTACTCAACTAACAAAGTTGAACCTTTCTTTTGATAGAGCAGTTTTGAAATGCTCTTTTTGTGGAATCTGCAAGTGGATATTTGGCTAGTTTTGAGGATTTCGTTGGAAGCGGGAATTCATACAAATTGCAGACTGCAGCGTTCTGAGAATCATCTTTGTGATGTTTGTATTCAGGACACAGAGATGAACATTCCCTATCATAGAGCAGGTTGGAATCACTCCTTTTGTAGTATCCGGAAGTGGACATTTGGAGCGCTTTCAGTCCTATGTTGAAAAAGGAAATATCTTCCCATAACAACTAGACACAAGCATTCTCAGAAACTTGTTTGTGATGTGTGCCCTCTACTGACAGAGTTGAACCTTTCTTTTCATAGAGCAGTTTTGAAACACTCTTTTTGTAGAATCTGCAAGAGGATATTTGCATAGCTTTGAGGATTTCGTGGGAAACGGGATTGTCTTCAGGTAAAATCTAGACAGAAGCATTCTCAGAAACTTCTTTGGGATGTTTGCATTCAAGTCACAGAGTAGAACATTCCCTTTGGTAGAGCAGGTTTGAAACACTCTTTTTGTAGTATCTGGAAGTGGACATTTGCAGCACTTTCAGGCCCATGTTGGAAAGGGAAATATCTTCCCGTAACAACTAGGCAGAAGCATTGTCAGAAACTTATTTGAGATGTGTGTACTCAACTAAGAGAATTGAACCACCGTTTTGAAGGAGCAGTTTTGAAACACTCTTTTTCTGGAATCTGCTAGACGATATTTGCCTAGTCTTGAGGATTTCGTTGGAAACGGGATTGTCTTCAGATAAAATCTAGACAGAAGCATTCTCAGAAACTTCTTTGGGATGTTTGTATTCAAGTCACAGAGTAGAACATTCCCTTTGATAGAGCAGGTTTGAAACACTCTTTTTTTAGTATATGGAAATGGACATTTGGAGCGCTTTCAGGCCTACGTTGGAAAAGGAAATATCTTCCCATAACAACTAGACAGAAGCATTCTCAGAAACTAGTTTCTGATGTGTGTCCTCAACTAACACAGTTGAACTTTTCTTTAGACAGAACAGTTTTGAAACACTCTTTTTGTGGAATCTGCAAGTGGATATTTGGCTAGATTTGAGGATTTCGTTGGAAACGGGATTACATATAAAAAGCAGACAGCAGCATTCTCAGAAAGTTCTTTGTGATGATTGCATTCAAGTCACAGAATTGAACATTCCCTTTCACAGAGCAGGTTTGAAACACTCTTTTTGTAGTGTGTGTAAGTGGACATTTGGAGCACTTTCCGGCCTAAGGTGAAAAAGGAAATATCTTCCCATAAAAACTAGACAGAAGCATTCTCAGAAACTTACTCGTGATGTGTGTCCTCAACTAAAGGAGTAGAACCTTTCTTTTCATAGAGAAGTTTTGAAACGCTCTTTTTGTGGAATCTGCAAGTGGATATTTGGCTAGTTTTGAGGATTTCGTTGGAAGCGGGAATTCATACAAATTGCAGACTGCAGCGTTTTGAGAAACATCTTTGTGATGTTTGTATTCAGGACACAGAGTTGAACATTCCCTATCATAGAGCAGGTTTGAATCACTCCTTTTGTAGTATCTGGAAGTGGACATTTGGAGCGCTTTCAGGCCTATGTTGGAAAAGGAAATATCTTCCCATAACAACTAGACAGAAGCATTCTCAGAAACTTATTTCAGATGTGTGTACTCAATTAAGAGAATTGAACCACCGTTTTGAAGGAGCAGTTTTGAAACACTCTTTTTGTAGAATCTGCACGTGGATATTTGGCTAGCTTTGGGGATTTCGCTGGAAGCGGGAATACATATAAAAAGCACACAGCAGCGTTCTGAGAAACTGCTTTCTGATGTTTGCATTCAAGTCAAAAGTTGAACACTCCCTTTCATAGAGCAGTCTTGAAACACCCCTTTTGTAGTATCTGGAACTGGACTTTTGGAGCGATTTCAGGGCTAAGGTGAAAAAGGAAATATCTTCCCATAAAAACTGGACAGAAGCATTCTCAGAAACTTGTTTATGCTGTATCTACTCAACTAACAAAGTTGAACCTTTCTTTTGATAGAGCAGTTTTGAAATGGTCTTTTTGTGGAATCTGCAAGTGGATATTTGGCTAGTTTTGAGGATTTCGTTGGAAGCGGGAATTCATACAAATTGCAGACTGCAGCGTTCTGAGAAACATCTTTGTGATGTTTGTATTCAGGACACAGAGTTGAACATTCCCTATCATAGAGCAGGTTGGAATCACTCCTTTTGTAGTATCTGGAAGTGGACATTTGGAGCGCTTTCAGGCCTATTTTGGAAAGGGAAATATCTTCCCGTAACAACTATGCAGAAGCATTCTCAGAAACTTGTTTGTGATGTGTGCCCTCTACTGACAGAGTTGAACCTTTCTTTTCATAGAGCAGTTTTGAAACACTCTTTTTGTAGAATCTGCAAGAGGATATTTGCATAGCTTTGAGGATTTCGTGGGAAACGGGATTGTCTTCAGGTAAAATCTAGACAGAAGCATTCTCAGAAACTTCTTTGGGATGTTTGCATTCAAGTCACAGAGTAGAACATTCCCTTTGGTAGAGCAGGTTTGAAACACTCTTTTTGTAGTATCTGGAAGTGGACATTTGGAGCGCTTTCAGGCCCATGTTGGAAAGGGAAATATCTTCCCGTAACAACTAGGCAGAAGCATTCTCAGAAACGTATTTGAGATGTGTGGACTCAACGAAGAGAATTGAACCACCGTTTTGAAGGAGCAGTTTTGAAACACTCTTTTTCTGGAATCGGCAAGAGTATATTTGCCTAGCCTTGAGGATTTCGTTGGAAACGGGATTGTCTTCAGATAAAATCTAGACAGAAGCATTCTCAGAAACTTCTTTGGGATGTTTGCATTCAAGTCACAGAGTAGAACATTCCCTTTGGTAGAGCAGGTTTGAAACACTCTTTTTTTAGTATATGGAAGTGGACATTTGGAGCGCTTTCAGGCCTACGTTGGAAAAGGAAATATCTTCCCATAACAACTAGACAGAAGCATTCTCAGAAACTAGTTTCTGATGTGTGTCCTCAACTAACACAGTTGAACGTTTCTTTAGACAGAACAGTTTTGAAACTCTCTTTTTGTGGAATCTGCAAGTGGCTATTTGGCTAGATTTGAGGATTTCGTTGGAAACGGGATTACATATAAAAAGCAGACAGCAGCATTCTCAGAAAGTTCTTTGTGATGATTGCATTCAAGTCACAGAATTGAACATTCCCTTTCACAGAGCAGGTTTGAAACACTCTTTTTGTAGTGTGTGTAAGTGGACATTTGGAGCACTTACCGGCCTAAGGTGAAAAAGGAAATATCTTCCCATAAAAACTAGACAGAAGCATTCTCAGAAACTTACTCGTGATGTGTGTCCTCAACTAAAGGAGTAGAACCTTTCTTTTCATAGAGAAGTTTTGAAACGCTCTTTTTGTGGAATCTGCAAGTGGATATTTGGCTAGTTTTGAGGATTTCGTTGGAAGCGGGAATTCATACAAATTGCAGACTGCAGCGTTCTGAGAAACATCTTTGTGATGTTTGTATTCAGGACACAGAGTTGAACATTCCCTATCATAGAGCAGGTTTGAATCACTCCTTTCGTAGTATCTGGAAGTGGACATTTGGAGTGCTTTCAGGCCTATGTTGGAAAAGGAAATATCTTCCCATAACAACTAGACAGAAGCATTCTCAGAAACTTATTTGAGATGTGTGTACTCAACTAAGAGAATTGAACCACCGTTTTGAAGGAGCAGTTTTGAAACACTCTTTTTCTGGAATCTGCAAGTGGATATTTGGCTAGCTTTGGGGATTTCGCTGGAAGCGGGAATACATATAAAAAGCACACAGCAGCGTTCTGAGAAACTGCTTTCTGATGTTTGCATTCAAGTCAAAATTTGAACACTCCCTTTCATAGAGCAGTCCTGAAACACTCCTTTTGTAGTATCTGGAACTGGACATTTGGAGCGCTTTCAGGGCTAAGGTGAAAAAGGAAATATCTTCCCATAAAAACTGGACAGAAGCATTCTCAGAAACTTGTTTATGCTGTATCTACTCAACTAACAAAGTTGAACCTTTCTTTTGATAGAGCAGTTTTGAAATGGTCTTTTTGTGGAATCTGCAAGTGGATATTTGGCTAGTTTTGAGGATTTCGTTGGAAGCGGGAATTCATACAAATTGCAGACTGCAGCGTTCTGAGAAACATCTTTGTGATGTTTGTATTCAGGACACAGAGTTGAACATTCCCTATCATAGAGCAGGTTGGAATCACTCCTTTTGTAGTATCTGGAAGTGGACATTTGGAGCGCTTTCAGGCCTATTTTGGAAAGGGAAATATCTTCCCGTAACAACTATGCAGAAGCATTCTCAGAAACTTGTTTGTGATGTGTGCCCTCTACTGACAGAGTTGAACCTTTCTTTTCATAGAGCAGTTTTGAAACACTCTTTTTGTAGAATCTGCAAGAGGATATTTGCATAGCTTTGAGGATTTCGTGGGAAACGGGATTGTCTTCAGGTAAAATCTAGACAGAAGCATTCTCAGAAACTTCTTTGGGATGTTTGCATTCAAGTCACAGAGTAGAACATTCCCTTTGGTAGAGCAGGTTTGAAACACTCTTTTTGTAGTATCTGGAAGTGGACATTTGGAGCGCTTTCAGGCCTATGTTGGAAAGGGAAATATCTTCCCGTAACAACTAGGCAGAAGCATTCTCAGAAACTTATTTGAGATGTGTGTACTCAACTAAGAGAATTGAATCACCGTTTTGAAGGAGCAGTTTTGAAACACTCTTTTTCTGGAATCTGCAAGAGGATATTTGCCTAGCCTTGAGGATTTCGTTGGAAACGGGATTGTCTTCAGATCAAATCTAGACAGAAGCATTCTCAGAAACTTCTTTGGGATGTTTGCATTCAAGTCACAGAGTAGAACATTCCCTTTGGTAGAGCAGGTTTGAAACACTCTTTTTTTAGTATATGGAAGTGGACATTTGGAGCGCTTTCAGGCCTACGTTGGAAAAGGAAATATCTTCCCATAACAACTAGACAGAAGCATTCTCAGAAACTAGTTTCTGATGTGTGTCCTCAACTAACACAGTTGAACTTTTCTTTAGACAGAACAGTTTTGAAACACTCTTTTTGTGGAATCTGCAAGTGGCTATTTGGCTAGATTTGAGGATTTCGTTGGAAACGGGATTACATATAAAAAGCAGACAGCAGCATTCTCAGAAAGTTCTTTGTGATGACTGCATTCAAGTCACAGAATTGAACATTCCCTTTCACAGAGCAGGTTTGAAACACTCTTTTTGTAGTGTGTGTAAGTGGACATTTGGAGCGCTTTCCGGCCTAAGGTGAAAAAGGAAATATCTTCCCATAAAAACTAGACAGAAGCATTCTCAGAAACTTACTCGTGATGTGTGTCCTCAACTAAAGGAGTAGAACCTTTCTATTCATAGAGAAGTTTTGAAACGCTCTTTTTGTGGAATCTCCAAGTGGATATTTGGCTAGTTTTGAGGATTTCGTTGGAAGCGGGAATTCATACAAATTGCAGACTGCAGCGTTCTGAGAAACATCGTTGTGATGTTTGTATTCAGGACACAGAGTTGAACATTCCCTATCATAGAGCAGGTTTGAATCACTCCTTTTGTAGTATCTGGAAGTGGACATTTGGAGCGCTTTCAGGCCTATGTTGGAAAAGGAAATATCTTCCCATAACAACTAGACAGAAGCATTCTCAGAAACTTATTTGAGATGTGTGTACTCAACTAAGAGAATTGAACCACCGTTTTGAAGGAGCAGTTTTGAAACACTCTTTTTCTGGAATCTGCAAGTGGATATTTGGCTAGCTTTGGGGATTTCGCTGGAAGCGGGAATACATATAAAAAGCACACAGCAGCGTTCTGAGAAACTGCTTTCTGATGTTTGCATTCAAGTCAAAAGTTGAACACTCCCTTTCATAGAGCAGTCTTGAAACACCCCTTTTGTAGTATCTGGAACTGGACATTTGGAGCGCTTTCAGGGCTAAGGTGAAAAAGGAAATATCTTCCCATAAAAACTGGACAGAAGCATTCTCAGAAACTTGTTTACGCTGTATCTACTCTACTAACAAAGTTGAACCTTTCTTTTGATAGAGCAGTTTTGAAATGCTCTTTTTGTGGAATCTGCAAGTGGATATTTGGCTAGTTTTGAGGATTTCGTTGGAAGCTGGAATTCATACAAATTGCAGACTGCAGCATTCTCAGAAACTTATTTGAGATGTGTGTACTCAACTAAGAGAATTGAACCACCGTTTTGAAGGAGCAGTTTTGAAACACTCTTTTTCTGGAATCTGCAAGTGACTATTTGGCTAGCTTTGGGGATTTCGCTGGAAGCGGGAATACATATAAAAAGCACACAGCAGCGTTCTGAGAAACTGCTTTCTGATGTTTGCATTCAAGTCAAAAGTTGAACACTCCCTTTCATAGAGCAGTCCTGAAACACTCCTTTTGTAGTATCTGGAACTGGACTTTTGGAGCGCTTTCAGGGCTAAGGTGAAAAAGGAAATATCTTCCCATAAAAACTGGACAGAAGCATTCTCAGAAACTTGTTTATGCTGTATCTACTCAACTAACAAAGTTGAACCTTTCTTTTGATAGAGCAGTTTTGAAATGCTCTTTTTGTGGAATCTGCAAGTGGATATTTGGCTAGTTTTGAGGATTTCGTTGGAAGCGGGAATTCATACAAATTTCAGACTGCAGCGTTCTGAGAAACATCTTTGTGATGTTTGTATTCAGGACAGAGAGTTGAACATTCCCTATCATAGAGCAGGTTGGAATCACTCCTTTTGTAGTATCTGGAAGTGGACATTTGGAGCGCTTTCAGGCCTATGTTGAAAAAGGAAATATACTTCCCATAACAACTAGACACAAGCATTCTCAGAAACTTGTTTGTGATGTGTGCCCGCTACTGACAGAGTTGAACCTTTCTTTTCATAGAGCAGTTTTGAAACACTCTTTTTGTAGAATCTGCAAGAGGATATTTGCATAGCTTTGAGGATTTCGTGGGAAACGGGATTGTCTTCAGGTAAAATCTAGACAGAAGCATTCTCAGAAACTTCTTTGTGATGTTTGCATTCAAATCACAGAGTAGAACATTCCCTTTGGTAGAGTAGGTTTGAAACACTCTTTTTGTAGTATCTGGAAGTGGACATTTGGAGCGCTTTCAGGCCCATGTTGGAAAGGGAAATATCTTCCCGTAACAACTAGGCAGAAGCATTCTCAGAAACTTATTTGAGATGTGTGTACTCAACTAAGAGAATTGAACCACCGTTTTGAAGGAGCAGTTTTGAAACACTCTTTTTCTGGAATCTGCAAGAGGATATTTGCCTAGCCTTGAGGATTTCGTTGGAAACGGGATTGTCTTCAGATCAAATCTAGACAGAAGCATTCTCAGAAACTTCTTTGGGATGTTTGCATTCAAGTCACAGAGTAGAACATTCCCTTTGGTAGAGCAGGTTTGAAACACTCTTTTTTTAGTATATGGAAGTGGACATTTGGAGCGCTTTCAGGCCTACGTTGGAAAAGGAAATATCTTCCCATAACAACTAGACAGAAGCATTCTCAGAAACTAGTTTCTGATGTGTGTCCTCAACTAACACAGTTGAACATTTCTTTAGACAGAACAGTTTTGAAACACTCTTTTTGTGGAATCTGCAAGTGGCTATTTGGCTAGATTTGAGGATTTCGTTGGAAACGGGATTACATATAAAAAGCAGTCAGCAGCATTCTCAGAAAGTTCCTTGTGATGATTGCATTCAAGTCACAGAATTGAACATTCCCTTTCACAGAGCAGGTTTGAAACACTCTTTTTGTAGTGTGTGTAAGTGGACATTTGGAGCACTTACCGGCCTAAGGTGAAAAAGGAAATATCTTCCCATAAAAACTAGACAGAAGCATTCTCAGAAACTTACTCGTGATGTGTGTCCTCAACTAAAGGAGTAGAACCTTTCTTTTCATAGAGAAGTTTTGAAACGCTCTTTTTGTGGAATCTGCAAGTGGATATTTGGCTAGTTTTGAGGATTTCGTTGGAAGCGGGAATTCATACAAATTGCAGACTGCAGCGTTCTGAGAAACATCTTTGTGATGTTTGTATTCAGGACACAGAGTTGAACATTCCCTATCATACAGCAGGTTTGAATCACTCCTTTTGTAGTATCTGGAAGTGGACATTTGGAGCGCTTTCCGGCCTCAGGTGAAAAAGGAAATATCTTCCCATAAAAACTAGGCAGAAGCATTCTCAGAAACTTATTTGTGATGTGTGTCCTCAACTGACAGAGTTGAACATTTCTTTTGAGAGAGCAGTTTTGAAACACTCTTTTTGTGGAATCTGCAAGTGGATATTTGGCTGGCTTTGAGGATTTCGTTGGAAACGGGAATACATATAAAAAGCAGACAGCAGCATTCTCAGAAAGTTCTTTGTGATGATTGCATTCAAGTCACAGAATTGAACATTCCCTTTCACAGAGCAGGTTTGAAACACTCTTTTTGTAGTGTGTGTAAGTGGACATTTGGAGCGCTTTCCGGCCTAAGGTGAAATAGGAAATATCTTCCCATAAAAACTAGACAGAAGCATTCTCAGAAACTTACTCGTGATGTGTGTCCTCAACTAAAGGAGTAGAACCTTTCTATTCATAGAGAAGTTTTGAAACGCTCTTTTTGTGGAATCTCCAAGTGGATATTTGGCTAGTTTTGAGGATTTCGTTGGAAGCGGGAATTCATACAAATTGCAGACTGCAGCGTTCTGAGAAACATCTTTGTGATGTTTGTATTCAGGACACAGAGATGAACATTCCCTATCATAGAGCAGGTTGGAATCACTCCTTTTGTAGTATCTGGAAGTGGACATTTGGAGCGCTTTCAGGCCTATGTTGAAAAAGGAAATATCTTCCCATAACAACTAGACACAAGCATTCTCAGAAACTTGTTTGTGATGTGTGCCCTCTACTGACAGAGTTGAACCTTTCTTTTCATAGAGCAGTTTTGAAACACTCTTTTTGTAGAATCCGCAAGAGGATATTTGCATAGCATTGAGGATTTCGTGGGAAACGGGATTGTCTTCAGGTAAAATCTAGACAGAAGCATTCTCAGAAACTTCTTTGGGATGTTTGCATTCAAGTCACAGAGTAGAACATTCCCTTTGGTAGAGCAGGTTTGAAACACTCTTTTTGTAGTATCTGGAAGTGGACATTTGGAGCGCTTTCAGGACCATGTTGGAAAGGGAAATATCTTCCCGTAACAACTAGGCAGAAGCATTCTCAGAAACTTATTTGAGATGTGTGTACTCAACTAAGAGAATTGAACCACCGTTTTGAAGGAGCAGTTTTGAAACACTCTTTTTCTGGAATCTGCAAGAGAATATTTGCCTAGCCTTGAGGATTTCGTTGGAAACGGGATTGTCTTCAGATAAAATCTAGACAGAAGCATTCTCAGAAACTTCTTTGGGATGTTTGCATTCAAGTCACAGAGTAGAACATTCCCTTTGGTAGAGCAGGTTTGAAACACTCTTTTTGTAGTATATGGAAGTGGACATTTGGAGCGCTTTCAGGCCTACGTTGGAAAAGGAAATATCTTCCCATAACAACTAGACAGAAGCATTCTCAGAAACTAGTTTCTGATGTGTGTCCTCAACTAACACAGTTGAACATTTCTTTAGACAGAACAGTTTTGAAACACTCTTTTTGTGGAATCTGCAAGTGGATATTGGGCTAGATTTGAGGATTTCGTTGGAAACGGGATTACATATAAAAAGCAGACAGCAGCATTCTCAGAAAGTTCTTTGTGATGATTGCATTCAAGTCACAGAATTGAACATTCCCTTTCACAGAGCAGGTTTGAAACACTCTTTTTGTAGTGTGTGTAAGTGGACATTTGGAGCGCTTTCCGGCCTAAGGTGAAAAAGGACATATCTTCCCATAAAAACTAGACAGAAGCATTCTCAGAAACTTACTCGTGATGTGTGTCCTCAACTAAAGGAGTAGAACCTTTGTTTTCATAGAGAAGTTTTGAAACGCTCTTTTTGTGGAATCTGCAAATGGATATTTGGCTAGTTTGGAGGATTTCGTTGGAAGCGGGAATTCATACAAATTGCAGACTGCAGCGTTCTGAGAAACATCTTTGTGATGTTTGTATTCAGGACACAGAGTTGAACATTCCCTATCATAGAGCAGGTTTGAATCACTCCTTTTGTAGTATCTGGAAGTGGACATTTGAAGCGCTTTCAGGCCTATGTTGGAAAAGGAAATATCTTCCCATAACAACTAGACAGAAGCATTCTCAGAAACTTATTTGAGATGTGTCTACTCAACTAAGAGAATTGAACCACCGTTTTGAAGGAGCAGTTTTGAAACACTCTATTTCTGGAATCTGCAAGTGGATATTTGGCTAGCTTTGGGGATTTCGCTGGAAGCGGGAATACATATAAAAAGCACACAGCAGGGTTCTGAGAAACTGCTTTCTGATGTTTGCATTCAAGTCAAAAGTTGAACACTCCCTTTCATAGAGCAGTCTTGAAACACCCCTTTTGTAGTATCTGGAACTGGACTTTTGGAGCGATTTTAGGGCTAAGGTGAAAAAGGAAATATCTTCCCATAAAAACTGGACAGAAGCATTCTCAGAAACTTGTTTATGCTGTATCTACTCAACTAACAAAGTTGAACCTTTCTTTTGATAGAGCAGTTTTGAAATGGTCTTTTTGTGGAATCTGCAAGTGGATATTTGGCTAGTTTTGAGGATTTCGTTGGAAGCGGGAATTCATACAAATTGCAGACTGCAGCGTTCTGAGAAACATCTTTGTGATGTTTGTATTCAGGACACAGAGTTGAACATTCCCTATCATAGAGCAGGTTGGAATCACTCCTTTTGTAGTATCTGGAAGTGGACATTTGGAGCGCTTTCAGGCCTATTTTGGAAAGGGAAATATCTTCCCGTAACAACTATGCAGAAGCATTCTCAGAAACTTGTTTGTGATGTGTGCCCTCTACTGACAGAGTTGAACCTTTCTTTTCATAGAGCAGTTTTGAAACACTCTTTTTGTAGAATCTGCAAGAGGATATTTGCATAGCTTTGAGGATTTCGTGGGAAACGGGATTGTCTTCAGGTAAAATCTAGACAGAAGCATTCTCAGAAACTTCTTTGGGATGTTTGCATTCAAGTCACAGAGTAGAACATTCCCTTTGGTAGAGCAGGTTTGAAACACTCTTTTTGTAGTATCTGGAAGTGGACATTTGGAGCGCTTTCAGGCCCATGTTGGAAAGGGAAATATCTTCCCGTAACAACTAGGCAGAAGCATTCTCAGAAACTTATTTGAGATGTGTGTACTCAACTAAGAGAATTGAACCACCGTTTTGAAGGAGCAGTTTTGAAACACTCTTTTTCTGGAATCTGCAAGAGTATATTTGCCTAGCCTTGAGGATTTCGTTGGAAACGGGATTGTCTTCAGAGAAAATCTAGACAGAAGCATTCTCAGAAACTTCTTTGGGATGCTTGCATTCAAGTCACAGAGTAGAACATTCCCTTTGGTAGAGCAGGTTTGAAACACTCTTTTTGTAGTATCTGGAAGTGGACATTTGGAGCGCTTTCAGGCCTACGTTGGAAAAGGAAATATCTTCCCATAACAACTAGACAGAAGCATTCTCAGAAACTAGTTTCTGATGTGTGTCCTCAACTAACACAGTTGAACATTTCTTTAGACAGAACAGTTTTGAAACACTCTTTTTGTGGAATCTGCAAGTGGCTATTTGGCTAGATTTGAGGATTTCGTTGGAAACGGGATTACATATAAAAAGCAGTCAGCGGCATTCTCAGAAAGTTCTTTGTGATGATTGCATTCAAGTCACAGAATTGAACATTCCCTTTCACAGAGCAGGTTTGAAACACTCTTTTTGTAGTGTGTGTAAGTGGACATTTGGAGCACTTACCGGCCTAAGGTGAAAAAGGAAATATCTTCCCATAAAAACTAGACAGAAGCATTCTCAGAAACTTACTCGTGATGTGTGTCCTCAACTAAAGGAGTAGAACCTTCCTTTTCATAGAGAAGTTTTGAAACGCTCTTTTTGTGGAATCTGCAAGTGGATATTTGGCTAGTTTTGAGGATTTCCGTTGGAAGCGGGAATTCATACAAATTGCAGACTGCAGCGTTCTGAGAAACTGCTTTCTGATGTTTGCATTCAAGTCAAAAGTTGAACACTCCCTTTCATAGAGCAGTCCTGAAACACCCCTTTTGTAGTATCTGGAACTGGACTTTTGGAGCGATTTCAGGGCTAAGGTGAAAAAGGAAATATCTTCCCATAAAAACTGGACAGAAGCATTCTCAGAAACTTTTTTATGCTGTATCTACTCAACTAACAAAGTTGAACCTTTCTTTTGATAGAGCAGTTTTGAAATGCTCTTTTTGTGGAATCTGCAAGTGGATATTTGGCTAGTTTTGAGGATTTCGTTGGAAGCGGGAATTCATACAAATTGCAGACTGCAGCGTTCTGAGAAACATCTTTGTGATGTTTGTATTCAGGACAGAGAGTTGAACATTCCCTATCATAGAGCAGGTTGGAATCACTCCTTTTGTAGTATCTGGAAGTGGACATTTGGAGCGCTTTCTGGCCTATGTTGAAAAAGGAAATATCTTCCCATAACAACTAGACACAAGCATTCTCAGAAACTTGTTTGTGATGTGTGCCCTCTACTGACAGAGTTGAACCTTTCTTTTCATAGAGCAGTTTTGAAACACTCTTTTTGTAGAATCTGCAAGAGGATATTTGCATAGCTTTGAGGATTTCGTGGGAAACGGGATTGTCTTCAGGTAAAATCTAGACAGAAGCATTCTCAGAAACTTCTTTGGGATGTTTGCATTCAAGTCACAGAGTAGAACATTCCCTTTGGTAGAGCAGCTTTGAAACACTCTTTTTGTAGTATCTGGAAGTGGACATTTGGAGCGCTTTCAGGCCTATGTTGGAAAGGGAAATATCTTCCGGTAACAACTAGGCAGAAGCATTCTCAGAAACTTATTTGAGATGTGTGTACTCAACTAAGAGAATTGAACCACCGTTTTGAAGGAGCAGTTTTGAAACACTCTTTTTCTGGAATCTGCAAGAGGATATTTGCCTAGCTTTGAGGATTTCGTTGGAAACGGGATTGTGTTCAGATCAAATCTAGACAGAAGCATTCTCAGAAACTTCTTTGGGATGTTTGCATTCAAGTCACAGAGTAGAACATTCCCTTTGGTAGAGCAGGTGTGAAACACTCTTTTTTTAGTATATGGAAGTGGACATTTGGAGCGCTTTCAGGCCTACGTTGGAAAAGGAAATATCTTCCCATAACAACTAGACAGAAGCATTCTCAGAAACTAGTTTCTGATGTGTGTCCTCAACTAACACAGTTGAACATTTCTTTAGACAGAACAGTTTTGAAACTCTCTTTTTGTGGTATCTGCAAGTGGCTATTTGGCTAGATTTGAGGATTTCGTTGGAAACGGGATTACATATAAAAAGCAGACAGCAGCATTCTCAGAAAGTTCTTTGTGATGATTGCATTCAAGTCACAGAATTGAACATTCCCTTTCACAGAGCAGGTTTGAAACACTCTTTTTGTAGTGTGTGTAAGTGGACATTTGGAGCACTTACCGGCCTAAGGTGAAAAAGGAAATATCTTCCCATAAAAACTAGACAGAAGCATTCTCAGAAACTTACTCGTGATGTGTGTCCTCAACTAAAGGAGTAGAACCTTTCTTTTCATAGAGAAGTTTTGAAACGCTCTTTTTGTGGAATCTGCAAGTGGGTATTTGGCTAGTTTTGAGGATTTCGTTGGAAGCGGGAATTCATAGAAATTGCAGACTGCAGCGTTCTGAGAAACATCTTTGTGATGTTTGTATTCAGGACACAGAGTTGAACATTCCCTATCATAGAGCAGGTTTGAATCACTCCTTTTGTAGTATCTGGAAGTGGACATTTGGAGCGCTTTCAGGCCTATGTTGGAAAAGGAAATATCTTCCCATAACAACTAGACAGAAGCATTCCCAGAAACTTATTTGAGATGTGTGTACTCAACTAAGAGAATTGAACCACCGTTTTGAAGGAGCAGTTTGGAAACACTCTTTTTCTGGAATCTGCAAGTGGATATTTGGCTAGCTTTGGGGATTTCGCTGGAAGCGGGAATACATATAAAAAGCACACAGCAGCGTTCTGAGAAACTGCTTTCTGATGTTTGCATTCAAGTCAAAAGTTGAACACTCCCTTTCATAGAGCAGTCTTGAAACACCCCTTTTGTAGTATCTGGAACTGGAAATTTGGAGCGCTTTCAGGGCTAAGGTGAAAAAGGAAATATCTTCCCATAAAAACTGGACAGAAGCATTCTCAGAAACTTGTTTATGCTGTATCTGCTCAACTAACAAAGTTGAACCTTTCTTTTGATAGAGCAGTTTTGAAATGCTCTTTTTGTGGAATCTGCAAGTGGATATTTGGCTAGTTTGGAGGATTTCGTTGGAAGCGGGAATTCATACAAATTGCAGACTGCAGCGTTCTGAGAAACATCTTTGTGATGTTTGTATTCAGGACACAGAGTTGAACATTCCCTATCATAGAGCAGGTTGGAATCACTCCTTTTGTAGTATCTGGAAGTGGACATTTGGAGCGCTTTCAGGCCTGTGTTGGAAAAGGAAATATCTTCCCATAACAACTAGACAGAAACATTCTCAGAAACTTATTTGAGATGTGTGTACTCAACTAAGAGAATTGAACCACCGTTTTGAAGGAGCAGTTTTGAAACACTCTTTTTCTGCAATCTGCAAGTGGATATTTGGCTAGCTTTGGGGATTTCGCTGGAAGCGGGAATACATATAAAAAGCACACAGCAGCGTTCTGAGAAACTGCTTTCTGATGTTTGCATTCAAGTCAAAAGTTGAACACTCCCTTTCATAGAGCAGTCCTGAAACACTCCTTTTGTAGTATCTGGAACTGGACTTTTGGAGCGCTTTCTGGGCTAAGGTGAAAAAGGAAATATCTTCCCATAAAAACTGGACAGAAGCATTCTCAGAAACTTGGTTATGCTGTATCTACTCAACTAACAAAGTTGAACCTTTCTTTTGATAGAGCAGTTTTGAAATGGTCTTTTTGTGGAATCTGCAAGTGGATATTTGGCTAGTTTTGAGAATTTCGTTGGAAGCGGGAATTCATACAAATTGCAGACTGCAGCGTTCTGAGAAACATCTTTGTGATGTTTGTATTCAGGACACAGAGTTGAACATTCCCTATCATAGAGCAGGTTGGAATCACTCCTTTTGTAGTATCTGGAAGTGGACATTTGGAGCGCTTTCAGGCCTATGTTAAAAAAGGAAATATCTTCCCATAACAACTAGACACAAGCATTCTCAGAAACTTGTTTGTGATGTGTGCCCTCTACTGACAGAGTTGAACCTTTCTTTTCATAGAGCAGTTTTGAAACACTCTTTTTGTAGAATCTGCAAGAGGATATTTGCATAGCTTTGAGGATTTCGTGGGAAACGGGATTGTCTTCAGGTAAAATCTAGACAGAAGCATTCTCAGAAACTTCTTTGGGATGTTTGCATTCAAGTCACAGAGTAGAACATTCCCTTTGGTAGAGCAGGTTTGAAACACTCTTTTTGTAGTATCTGGAAGTGGACATTTGGAGCGCTTTCAGGCCCATGATGGAAAGGGAAATATCTTCCCGTAACAACTAGGCAGAAGCATTCTCAGAAACTTATTTGAGATGTGTGTACTCAACTAAGAGAATTGAACCACCGTTTTGAAGGAGCAGTTTTGAAACACTCTTTTTCTGGAATCTGCAAGAGTATATTTGCCTAGCCTTGAGGATTTCGTTGGAAACGGGATTGTCTTCAGAGAAAATCTAGACAGAAGCATTCTCAGAAACTTCTTTGGGATGTTTGCATTCAAGTCACAGAGTAGAACATTCCCTTTGGTAGAGCAGGTTTGAAACACTCTTTTTTTAGTATATGGAAGTGGACATTTGGAGCGCTTTCAGGCCTACGTTGGAAAAGGAAATATCTTCCCATAACAACTAGACAGAAAGCATTCTCAGAAAGTAGTTTCTGATGTGTGTCCTCAACTAACACAGTTGAACATTTCTTTAGACAGAACAGTTTTGAAACTCTCTTTTTGTGGAATCTGCAAGTGGCTATTTGGCTAGATTTGAGGATTTCGTTGGAAACGGGATTACATATAAAAAGCAGACAGCAGCATTCTCAGAAAGTTCTTTGTGATGATTGCATTCAAGTCACAGAATTGAACATTCCCTTTCACAGAGCAGGTTTGAAAGACTCTTTTTGTAGTGTGTGTAAGTGGACATTTGGAGCACTTACCGGCCTAAGGTGAAAAAGGAAATATCTTCCCATAAAAACTAGACAGAAGCATTCTCAGAAACTTACTCGTGATGTGTGTCCTCAACTAAAGGAGTAGAACCTTTCTTTTCATAGAGAAGTTTTGAAACGCTCTTTTTGTGGAATCTGCAAGTGGATATTTGGCTAGTTTGGAGGATTTCGTTGGAAGCGGGAATTCATACAAATTGCAGACTGCAGCGTTCTGAGAAACATCTTTGTGATGTTTGTATTCAGGACACAGAGTTGAACATTCCCTATCATAGAGCAGGTTTGAATCACTCCTTTCGTAGTATCTGGAAGTGGACATTTGGAGCGCTTTCAGGCCTATGTTGGAAAAGGAAATATCTTCCCATAACCACTAGACAGAAGCATTCTCAGAAACTTATTTGAGATGTGTGTACTCAACTAAGAGAATTGAACCACCGTTTTGAAGGAGCAGTTTTGAAACACTCTTTTTCTGGAATCTGCAAGTGGATATTTGGCTAGCTTTGGGGATTTCGCTGGAAGCGGGAATACATGTAAAAAGCACACAGCAGCGTTCTGAGAAACTGCTTTCTGATGTTTGCATTCAAGTCAAAAGTTGAACACTCCCTTTCATAGAGCAGTCCTGAAACACTCCTTTTGTAGTATCTGGAACTGGACTTTTGGAGCGCTTTCAGGGCTAAGGTGAAAAAGGAAATATCTTCCCATAAAAACTGGACAGAAGCATTCTCAGAAACTTGTTTATGCTGTATCTACTCAACTAACAAAGTTGAACCTTTCTTTTGATAGAGCAGTTTTGAAATGCTCTTTTTGTGGAATCTGCAAGTGGATATTTGGCTAGTTTGGAGGATTTCGTTGGAAGCGGGAATTCATACAAATTGCAGACTGCAGCGTTCTGAGAAACATCTTTGTGATGTTTGTATTCAGGACAGAGAGTTGAACATTCCCTATCATAGAGCAGGTTGGAATCACTCCTTTTGTAGTATCTGGAAGTGGACATTTGGAGCGCTTTCAGGCCTATGTTGAAAAAGGAAATATCTTCCCATAACAACTAGACACAAGCATTCTCAGAAACTTGTTTGTGATGTGTGCCCTCTACTGACAGAGTTGAACCTTTCTTTTCATAGAGCAGTTTTGAAACACTCTTTTTGTAGAATCTGCAAGAGGATATTTGCATAGCTTTGAGGATTTCGTGGGAAACGGGATTGTCTTCAGGTAAAATCTAGACAGAAGCATTCTCAGAAACTTCTTTGGGATGTTTGCATTCAAGTCACAGAGTAGAACATTCCCTTTGGTAGAGCAGGTTTGAAACACTCTTTTTGTAGTATCTGGAAGTGGACATTTGGAGCGCTTTCAGGCCTATGTTGGAAAGGGAAATATCTTCCCGTAACAACTAGGCAGAAGCATTCTCAGAAACTTATTTGAGATGTGTGTACTCAACTAAGAGAATTGAACCACCGTTTTGAAGGAGCAGTTTTGAAACACTCTTTTTCTGGAATCTGCAAGAGGATATTTGCCTAGCCTTGAGGATTTCGTTGGAAACGGGATTGTCTTCAGATCAAATCTAGACAGAAGCATTCTCAGAAACTTCTTTGGGATGTTTGCATTCAAGTCACAGAGTAGAACATTCCCTTTGGTAGAGCAGGTTTGAAACACTCTTTTTTTAGTATATGGAAGTGGACATTTGGAGCACTTTCAGGCCTACGTTGGAAAAGGAAATATCTTCCCATAACAACTAGACAGAGAGCATTCTCAGAAACTACTTTCTGATGTGTGTCCTCAACTAACACAGTTGTACATTTCTTTATACAGAACAGTTTTGAAACACTCTTTTTGTGGAATCTGCAAGTGGATATTGGGCTAGATTTGAGGATTTCGTTGGAAACGGGATTACATATAAAAAGCAGACAGCAGCATTCTCAGAAAGTTCTTTGTGATGATTGCATTCAAGTCACAGAATTGAACATTCCCTTTCACAGAGCAGGTTTGAAACACTCTTTTTGTAGTGTGTGTAAGTGGACATTTGGAGCGCTTTCCGGCCTAAGGTGAAAAAGGAAATATCTTCCCATAAAAACTAGACAGAAGCATTCTCAGAAACTTACTCGTGATGTGTGTCCTCAACTAAAGGAGTAGAACCTTTCTATTCATAGAGAAGTTTTGAAACGCTCTTTTTGTGGAATCTCCAAGTGGATATTTGGCTAGTTTTGAGGATTTCGTTGGAAGCGGGAATTCATACAAATTGCATACTGCAGCGTTCTCAGAAACATCGTTGTGATGTTTGTATTCAGGACACAGAGATGAACATTCCCTATCATAGAGCAGGTTGGAATCACTCCTTTTGTAGTATCTGGAAGTGGACATTTGGAGCGCTTTCAGGCCTATGTTGAAAAAGGAAATATCTTCCCATAACAACTAGACACAAACATTCTCAGAAACTTGTTTGTGATGTGTGCCCTCTACTGACAGAGTTGAACCTTTCTTTTCATAGAGCAGTTTTGAAACACTCTTTTTGTAGAATCTGCAAGAGGATATTTGCATAGCTTTGAGGATTTCGTGGGAAACGGGATTGTCTTCAGGTAAAATCTAGACAGAAGCATTCTCAGAAACTTCTTTGGGATGTTTGCATTCAAGTCACAGAGTAGAACATTCCCTTTGGTAGAGCAGGTTTGAAACACTCTTTTTGTAGTATCTGGAAGTGGACATTTGGAGCGCTTTCAGGCCTATGTTGGAAAGGGAAATATCTTCCCGTAACAACTAGGCAGAAGCATTCTCAGAAACTTATTTGAGATGTGTGGACTCAACTAAGAGAATTGAACCACCGTTTTGAAGGAGCAGTTTTGAAACCCTCTTTTTCTGGAATCTGCAAGAGTATATTTGCCTAGCCTTGAGGATTTCGCTGGAAACGGGATTGTCTTCAGATAAAATCTAGACAGAAGCATTCTCAGAAACTTCTTTGGGATGTTTGCATTCAAGTCACAGAGTAGAACATTCCCTTTGGTAGAGCAGGTTTGAAACACTCTTTTTTTAGTATATGGAAGTGGACATTTGGAGCGCTTTCAGGCCTACGTTGGAAAAGGAAATATCTTCCCATAACAACTAGACAGAAGCATTCTCAGAAACTAGTTTCTGATGTGTGTCCTCAACTAAAACAGTTGTACATTTCTTTACACAGAACAGTTTTGAAACACTCTTTTTGTGGAATCTGCAAGTGGATATTGGGGTAGATTTGAGGATTTCGTTGGAAACGGGATTACATATAAAAAGCAGACAGCAGCATTCTCAGAAAGTTCTTTGTGATGATTGCATTCAAGTCACAGAATTGAACATTCCCTTTCACAGAGCAGGTTTGAAACACTCTTTTTATAGTGTGTGTAAGTGGACATTTGGAGCGCTTTCCGGCCTAAGGTGAAAAAGGACATATCTTCCCATAAAAACTAGACAGAAGCATTCTCAGAAACTTACTCGTGATGTGTGTCCTCAACTAAAGGAGTAGAACCTTTCTATTCATAGAGAAATTTTGAAACGCTCTTTTTGTGGAATCTCCAAGTGGATATTTGGCTAGTTTTGAGCATTTCGTTGGAAGCGGGAATTCATACAAATTGCAGACTGCAGCGTTCTGAGAAACATCTTTGTGATGTTTGTATTCAGGACACAGAGATGAACATTCCCTATCATAGAGCAGGTTGGAATCACTCCTTTTGTAGTATCTGGAAGTGGACATTTGGAGCGCTTTCAGGCCTATGTTGAAAAAGGAAATATCTTCCCATAACAACTAGACACAAGCATTCTCAGAAACTTGTTTGTGATGTGTGCCCTCTACTGACAGAGTTGAACCTTTCTTTTCATAGAGCAGTTTTGAAACATTCTTTTTGTAGAATCTGCAAGAGGATATTTGCATAGCTTTGAAGATTTCGTGGGAAACGGGATTGTCTTCAGGTAAAATCTAGACAGAAGCATTCTCAGAAACTTCTTTGGGATGTTTGCATTCAAGTCACAGAGTAGAACATTCCCTTTGGTAGAGCAGGTTTGAAACCCTCCTTTTGTAGTATCTGGAAGTGGACATTTGGAGCGCTTTCAGGCCCATGTTGGAAAGGGAAATATCTTCCCGTAACAACTAGGCAGAAGCATTCTCAGAAACTTATTTGAGATGTGTGTACTCAACTAAGAGAATTGAACCACCGTTTTGAAGGCGCAGTTTTGAAACACTCTTTTTCTGGAATCTGCAAGAGTATATTTGCCTAGCCTTGAGGATTTCGTTGGAAACGGGATTGTCTTCAGATAAAATCTAGACAGAAGCATTCTCAGAAACTTCTTTGGGATGTTTGCATTCAAGTCTCAGAGTAGAACATTCCCTTTGGTAGAGCAGGTTTGAAACACTCTTTTTTTAGTATATGGAAGTGGACATTTGGAGCGCTTTCAGGCCTACGTTGGAAAAGGAAATATCTTCCCATAACAACTAAACAGAAGCATTCTCAGAAACTAGTTTCTGATGTGTGTCCTCAACTAACACAGTTGAACATTTCTTTAGACAGAACAGTTTTGAAACACTCTTTGTGGAATCTGCAAGTGGCTATTTGGCTAGATTTGAGGATTTCGTTGGAAACGGGATTACATATAAAAAGCAGTCAGCAGCATTCTCAGAAACTTCTTTGTGATGATTGCATTCAAGTCACAGAATTGAACATTCCCTTTCACAGAGCAGGTTTGAAACACTCTTTTTGTAGTGTGTGTAAGTGGACATTTGGAGCGCTTTCCGGCCTAAGGTGAACAAGGAAATATCTTCCCATAAAAACTAGACAGAAGCATTCTCAGAAACTTACTCGTGATGTGTGTCCTCAACTAAAGGAGTAGAACCTTTCTTTTCATAGAGAAGTTTTGAAACGCTCTTTTTGTGGAATCTGCAAGTGGATATTTGGCTAGTTTGGAGGATTTCGTTGGAAGCGGGAATTCATACAAATTGCAGACTGCAGCGTTCTGAGAAACATCTTTGTGATGTTTGTATTCAGGACACAGAGTTGAACATTCCCTATCATAGAGCAGGTTGGAATCACTCCTTTTGTAGTATCTGGAAGTGGACATTTGGAGCGCTTTCTGCCCTATGTTGGAAAAGGAAATATCTTCCCATCACAACTAGACAGAAGCATTCTCAGAAACTTATTTGAGATGTGTGTACTCAACTAAGAGAATTGAACCACCGTTTTGAAGCAGCAGTTTTGAAACACTCTTTTTCTGGAATCTGCAAGTGGATATTTGGCTAGCTTTGGGGATTTTGCTGGAAGCGGGAATACATATAAAAAGCACACAGCAGCGTTCTGAGAAACTGCTTTCTGATGTTTGCATTCAAGTCAAAAGTTGAACACTCCCTTTCATAGAGCAGTCCTGAAACACTCCTTTTGTAGTATCTGGAACTGGACTTTTGGAGCGCTTTCAGGGCTAAGGTGAAAAAGGAAATATCTTCCCATAAAAACTGGACAGAAGCATTCTCAGAAACTTGTTTATGCTGTATCTACTCAACTAACAAAGTTGAACCTTTCTTTTGATAGAGCAGTTTTGAAATGCTCTTTTTGTGGAATCTGCAAGTGGATATTTGGCTAGTTTTGAGGATTTCGCTGGAAGCGGGAATTCATACAAATTGCAGACTGCAGCGTTCTGAGAAACATCTTTGTGATGTTTGTATTCAGGACAGAGAGTTGAACATTCCCTATCATAGAGCAGGTTGGAATCACTCCTTTTGTAGTATCTGGAAGTGGACATTTGGAGCGCTTTCAGGCCTATGTTGAAAAAGGAAATATCTTCCCATAACAACTAGACACAAGCATTCTCAGAAACTTGTTTGTGATGTGTGCCCTCTAGTGACAGAGTTGAACCTTTCTTTTCATAGAGCAGTTTTGAAACACTCTTTTTGTAGAATCTGCAAGAGGATATTTGAATAGCTTTGAGGATTTCGTGGGAAACGGGATTGTCTTCAGGTAAAATCTAGACAGAAGCATTCTCAGAAACTTCTTTGGGATGTTTGCATTCAAGTCACAGAGTAGAACATTCCCTTTGGTAGAGCAGGTTTGAAACACTCTTTTTGTAGTATCTGGAAGTGGACATTTGGAGCGCTTTCAGGCCCATGTTGGAAAGGGAAATATCTTCCCGTAACAACTAGGCAGAAGCATTCTCAGAAACTTATTTGAGATGTGTGTACTCAACTAAGAGAATTGAACCACCGTTTTGAAGGAGCAGTTTTGAAACACTCTTTTTCTGGAATCTGCAAGAGTATATTTGCCTAACCTTGAGGATTTCGTTGGAAACGGGATTGTCTTCAGATAAAATCTAGACAGAAGCATTCTCAGAAACTTCTTTGGGATGTTTGCATTCAAGTCACAGAGTAGAACATTCCCTTTGGTAGAGCAGGTTTGAAACACTCTTTTTTTAGTATATGGAAGTGGACATTTGGAGCGCTTTCAGGCCTACGTTGGAAAAGGAAATATCTTCCCATAACAACTAGACAGAAGCATTCTCAGAAACTAGTTTCTGATGTGTGTCCTCAACTAACACAGTTGTACATTTCCTTAGACAGAACAGTTTTGAAACACTCTTTTTGTGGAATCTGCAAGTGGATATTGGGCTAGATTTGAGGATTTCGTTGGAAACGGGATTACATATAAAAAGCAGTCAGCAGCATTCTCAGAAAGTTCTTTGTGATGATTGCATTCAAGTCACAGAATTGAACATTCCCTTTCACAGAGCAGGTTTGAAACACTCTTTTTGTAGTGTGTGTAAGTGGACATTTGGAGTGCTTTCCGGCCTAAGGTGAAAAAGGACATATCTTCCCATAAAAACTAGACAGAAGCATTCTCAGAAACTTACTCGTGATGTGTGTCCTCAACTAAAGGAGTAGAACCTTTCTTTTCATAGAGAAGTTTTGAAACGCTCTTTTTGTGGAATCTGCAAGTGGATATTTGGCTAGTTTGGAGGATTTCGTTGGAAGCGGGAATTCATACAAATTGCAGACTGCAGCGTTCTGAGAAACATCTTTGTGATGTTTGTATTCAGGACACAGAGTTGAACATTCCCTATCATAGAGCAGGTTGGAATCACTCCTTTTGTAGTATCTGGAAGTGGACATTTGGAGCGCTTTCAGGCCTATGTTGGAAAAGGAAATATCTTCCCATAACAACTAGACAGAAGCATTCTCAGAAACTTATTTGAGATGTGTGTACTCAACTAAGAGAATTGAACCACCGTTTTGAAGGAGCAGTTTTGAAACACTCTTTTTCTGGAATCTGCAAGTGGATATTTGGCTAGCTTTGGGGATTTCGCTGGAAGCGGGAATACATATAAAAAGCACACAGCAGCGTTCTGAGAAACTGCTTTCTGATGTTTGCATTCAAGTCAAAAGTTGAACACTCCCTTTCATAGAGCAGTCCTGAAACACTCCTTTTGTAGTATCTGGAACTGGACTTTTGGAGCGCTTTCAGGGCTAAGGTGAAAAAGGAAATATCTTCCCATAAAAACTGGACAGAAGCATTCTCAGAAACTTGTTTATGCTGTATCTACTCAACTAACAAAGTTGAACCTTTCTTTTGATAGAGCAGTTTTGAAATGCTCTTTTTGTGGAATCTGCAAGTGGATATTTGGCTAGTTTGGAGGATTTCGTTGGAAGCGGGAATTCATACAAATTGCAGACTGCAGCGTTCTGAGAAACATCTTTGTGATGTTTGTATTCAGGACACAGAGTTGAACATTCCCTATCATAGAGCAGGTTGGGATCACTCCTTTTGTAGTATCTGGAAGTGGACATTTGGAGCGCTTTCAGGCCTATGTTGAAAAAGGAAAAATCTTCCCATAACAACTAGACAGAAGCATTCTCAGAAACTTGTTGGTGATGTGTTTCCTCTACTGACAGAGTTGAACCTTTCTTTTCATAGAGCAGTTTCGAAACACTCTTTTTGTAGAATCTGCAAGAGGATATTTGCATAGCTCTGAGGATTTCGTGGGAAACGGGATTGTCTTCAGGTAAAATCTAGACAGAAGCATTCTCAGAAACTTCTTCGGGATGTTTGCATTCAAGTCACAGAGTAGAACATTCCCTTTGGTAGAGCAGGTTTGAAACACTCTTTTTGTAGTATCTGGAAGTGGACATTTGTTGCGCTTTCAGGCCTATGTTGGAAACGGAAATATCTTCCCGTAACAACTAGGCAGAAGCATTCTCAGAAACTTATTTGAGATGTGTGTACTCAACTAAGAGAATTGAACCACCGTTTTGAAGGAGCAGTTTGGAAACACTGTTTTTCTGGAATCTGCAAGAGGATATTTGCCTAGCTTTGAGGATTTCGTTGGAAAAGGGATTGTCTTCAGATCAAATCTAGACAGAAGCATTCTCAGAAACTTCTTTGGGATGTTTGCATTCAAGTCACAGAGTAGAACATTCCTTTGGTAGAGCAGGTTTGAAACACTCTTTTTTTAGTATATGGAAGTGGACATTTGGAGCGCTTTCAGGCCTACGTTGGAAAAGGAAATATCTTCCCATAACAACTAGACAGAAGCATTCTCAGAAACTAGTTTCTGATGTGTGTCCTCAACTAACACAGTTGAACATTTCTTTAGACAGAACAGTTTTGAAACACTCTTTTTGTGGAATCTGCAAGTGGATATTTGGCTAGATGTGAGGATTTCGTTGGAAACGGGATTACATATAAAAAGCAGACAGCAGCATTCTCAGAAACTTCTTTGTGATGATTGCATTCAAGTCACAGAATTGAACATTCCCTTTCACAGAGCAGGTTTGAAACACTCTTTTTGTAGTGTGTGTAAGTGGACATTTGGAGCGCTTTCCGGCCTAAGGTGAACAAGGAAATATCTTCCCATAAAAACTAGACAGAAGCATTCTCAGAAACTTACTCGTGATGTGTGTCCTCAACTAAAGGAGTAGAACCTTTCTTTTCATAGAGAAGTTTTGAAACGCTCTTTTTGTGGAATCTGCAAGTGGATATTTGGCTAGTTTTGAGGATTTCGTTGGAAGCGGGAATTCATACAAGATGCAGACTGCAGCGTTCTGAGAAACATCTTTGTGATGTTTGTATTCAGGACACAGAGTTGCACATTCCCTATCATAGAGCAGGTTTGAATCACTCCTTTTGTAGTATCTGGAAGTGGACATTTGGAGCGCTTTCAGGCCTATGTTGGAAAAGGAAATATCTTCCCATAACAACTAGACAGAAGCATTCTCAGAAACTTATTTGAGATGTGTGTACTCAACTAAGAGAATTGAACCACCGTTTTGAAGGAGCAGTTTTGAAACTCTCTTTTTCTGGAATCTGCAAGTGGATATTTGGCTAGCTTTGGGGATTTCGCTGGAAGCGGGAATACATATAAAAAGCACACAGCAGCGTTCTGAGAAACTGCTTTCTGATGTTTGCATTCAAGTCAAAAGTTGAACACTCCCTTTCATAGAGCAGTCTTGAAACACCCCTTTTGTAGTATCTGGAACTGGACTTTTGGAGCGATTTCAGGGCTAAGGTGAAAAAGGAAATATCTTCCCATAAAAACTGGACAGAAGCATTCTCAGAAACTTGTTTATGCTGTATCTACTCAACTAACAAAGTTGAACTTTTCTTTTGATACAGCAGTTTTGAAATGGTCTTTTTGTGCAATCTGCAAGTGGATATTTGGCTAGTTTTGAGGATTTCGTTGGAAGCGGGAATTCATACAAATTGCAGACTGCAGCGTTCTGAGAAACATCTTTGTGATGTTTGTATTCAGGACAGAGAGTTGAACATTCCCTATCATAGAGCAGGTTGGAATCACTCCTTTTGTAGTATCTGGAAGTGGACATTTGGAGCGCTTTCAGGCCTATCTTGAAAAAGGAAATATCTTCCCATAACAACTAGACACAAGCATTCTCAGAAACTTGTTTGTGATGTGTGCCCTCTACTGACAGAGTTGAACCTTTCTTTTCATAGAGCAGTTTTGAAACACTCTTTTTGTAGAATCTGCAAGAGGATATTTGCATAGCTTTGAGGATTTCGTGGGAAACGGGATTGTCTTCAGGTAAAATCTAGACAGAAGCATTCTCAGAAACTTCTTTGGGATGTTTGCATTCAAGTCACAGAGTAGAACATTCCCTTTGGTAGAGCAGGTTTGAAACACTCTTTTTGTAGTATCTGGAAGTGGACATTTGGAGCGCTTTCAGGCCTATGTTGGAAAGGGAAATATCTTCCCGTAACAACTAGGCAGAAGCATTCTCAGAAACTTATTTGAGATGTGTGTACTCAACTAAGAGAATTGAACCACCGTTTTGAAGGAGCAGTTTTGAAACACTCTTTTTCTGGAATCTGCAAGAGGATATTTGCCTAGCCTTGAGGATTTCGTTGGAAACGGGATTGTCTTCAGATCAAATCTAGACAGAAGCATTCTCAGAAACTTCTTTGGGATGTTTGCATTCAAGTCACAGAGTAGAACATTCCCTTTGGTAGAGCAGGTTTGAAACACTCTTTTTTTAGTATATGGAAGTGGACATTTGGAGCGCTTTCAGGCCTACGTTGGAAAAGGAAATATCTTCCCATAACAATTAGACAGAAGCATTCTCAGAAACTAGTTTCTGATGTGTGTCCTCAACTAACACAGTTGAACATTTCTTTAGACAGAACAGTTTTGAAACTCTCTTTTTGTGGAATCTGCAAGTGGCTATTTGGCTAGATTTGAGGATTTCGTTGGAAACGGGATTACATATAAAAAGCAGACAGCAGCATTCTCAGAAAGTTCTTTGTGATGATTGCATTCAAGTCACAGAATTGAACATTCCCTTTCACAGAGCAGGTTTGAAACACTCTTTTTGTAGTGTGTGTAAGTGGACATTTGGAGCACTTTCCGGCCTAAGGTGAAAAAGGAAATATCTTCCCATAAAAACTAGACAGAAGCATTCTCAGAAACTTACTCGTGATGTGTGTCCTCAACTAAAGGAGTAGAACCTTTCTTTTCATAGAGAAGTTTTGAAACGCTCTTTTTGTGGAATCTGCAAGTGGATATTTGGCTAGTTTGGAGGATTTCGTTGGAAGCGGGAATTCATACAAATTGCAGACTGCAGCTTTCTGAGAAACTGCTTTCTGATGTTTGCATTCAAGTCAAAAGTTGAACACTCCCTTTCATAGAGCAGTCTTGAAACACCCCTTTTGTAGTATCTGGACCTGGACTTTTGGAGCGATTTCAGGGCTAAGGTGAAAAAGGAAATATCTTCCCATAAAAACTGGACAGAAGCATTCTCAGAAACTTATTTGAGATGTGTGTACTCAACTAAGAGAATTGAACCACCGTTTTGAAGGAGCAGTTTTGAAACACTCTTTTTCTGGAATCTGCAAGTGGATATTTGGCTAGCTTTGGGGATTTCGCTGGAAGCGGGAATACATATAAAAAGCACACAGCAGCGTTCTGAGAAACTGCTTTCTGATGTTTGCATTCAAGTCAAAAGTTGAACACTCCCTTTCATAGAGCAGTCCTGAAACACTCCTTTTGTAGTATCTGGAACTGGACTTTTGGAGCGCTTTCAGAGCTAAGGTGAAAAAGGAAATATCTTCCCATAAAAACTGGACAGAAGCATTCTCAGAAACTTGTTTATGCTGTATCTACTCAACTAACAAAGTTGAACCTTTCTTTTGATAGAGCAGTTTTGAAATGGTCTTTTTGTGGAATCTGCAAGTGGATATTTGGCTAGTTTTGAGGATTTCGTTGGAAGCGGGAATTCATACAAATTGCAGACTGCAGCGTTCTGAGAAACATCTTTGTGATGTTTGTATTCAGGACACAGAGTTGAACATTCCCTATCATAGAGCAGGTTGGAATCACTCCTTTTGTAGTATCTGGAAGTGGACATTTGGAGCGCTTTCAGGCCTATTTTGGAAAGGGAAATATCTTCCCGTAACAACTATGCAGAAGCATTCTCAGAAACTTGTTTGTGATGTGTGCCCTCTACTGACAGAGTTGAACCTTTCTTTTCATAGAGCAGTTTTGAAACACTCTTTTTGTAGAATCTGCAAGAGGATATTTGCATAGCTTTGAGGATTTCGTGGGAAACGGGATTGTCTTCAGGTAAAATCTAGACAGAAGCATTCTCAGAAACTTCTTTGGGATGTTTGCATTCAAGTCACAGAGTAGAACATTCCCTTTGGTAGAGCAGGTTTGAAACACTCTTTTTGTAGTATCTGGAAGTGGACATTTGGAGAGCTTTCAGGCCCATGTTGGAAAGGGAAATATCTTCCCGTAACAACTAGGCAGAAGCATTCTCAGAAACTTATTTGAGATGTGTGTACTCAACGAAGAGAATTGAACCACCGTTTTGAAGGAGCAGTTTTGAAACCCTCTTTTTCTGGAATCTGCAAGAGTATATTTGCCTAGCCTTGAGGATTTCGTTGGAAACGGGATTGTCTTCAGATCAAATCTAGACAGAAGCATTCTCAGAAACTTCTTTGGGATGTTTGCATTCAAGTCACAGAGTAGAACATTCCCTTTGGTAGAGCAGGTTTGAAACACTCTTTTTTTAGTATATGGAAGTGGACATTTGGAGCGCTTTCAGGCCTACGTTGGAAAAGGAAATATCTTCCCATAACAACTAGACAGAAGCATTCTCAGAAACTAGTTTCTGATGTGTGTCCTCAACTAACACAGTTGAACATTTCTTTAGACAGAACAGTTTTGAAACACTCTTTTTGTGGAATCTGCAAGTGGCTATTTGGCTAGATTTGAGGATTTCGTTGGAAACGGGATTACATATAAAAAGCAGTCAGCAGCATTCTCAGAAAGTTCTTTGTGATGATTGCATTCAAGTCACAGAATTGAACATTCCCTTTCACAGAGCAGGTTTGAAACACTCTTTTTGTAGTGTGTGTAAGTGGACATTTGGAGCACTTTCCGGCCTAAGGTGAAAAAGGAAATATCTTCCCATACAAACTAGACAGAAGCATTCTCAGAAACTTACTCGTGATGTGTGTCCTCAACTAAAGGAGTAGAACCTTTCTTTTCATAGAGAAGTTTTGAAACGCTCTTTTTGTGGAATCTGCAAGTGGATATTTGGCTAGTTTTGAGGATTTCGTTGGAAGCGGGAATTCATACAAATTGCAGACTGCAGCGTTCTGAGAAACATCTTTGTGATGTTTGTATTCAGGACACAGAGTTGAACATTCCCTATCATAGAGCAGGTTTGAATCACTCCTTTTGTAGTATCTGGAAGTGGACATTTGGAGCGCTTTCAGGCCTATGTTGGAAAAGGAAATATCTTCCCATAACAACTAGACAGAAGCATTCTCAGAAACTTATTTGAGATGTGTGTACTCAACTAAGAGAATTGAACCACCGTTTTGAAGGAGCAGTTTTGAAACACTCTTTTTCTGGAATCTGCAAGTGGATATTTGGCTAGCTTTGGGGATTTCGCTGGAAGCGGGAATACATATAAAAAGCACACAGCAGCGTTCTGAGAAACTGCTTTCTGATGTTTGCATTCAAGTCAAAAGTTGAACACTCCCTTTCATAGAGCAGTCCTGAAACACTCCTTTTGTAGTATCTGGAACTGGACTTTTGGAGCGCTTTCAGGGCTAAGGTGAAAAAGGAAATATCTTCCCATAAAAACTGGACAGAAGCATTCTCAGAAACTTACTCGTATTGTGTGTCCTCAACTAAAGGAGTAGAACCTTTCTTTTCATAGAGAAGTTTTGAAACGCTCTTTTTGTGGAATCTGCAAGTGGATATTTGGCTAGTTTTGAGGATTTCGTTGGAAGCGGGAATTCATACAAATTGCAGACTGCAGCGTTCTGAGAAACATCTTTGTGATGTTTGTATTCAGGACACAGAGTTGAACATTCCCTATCATAGAGCAGGTTGGAATCACTCCTTTTGTAGTATCTGGAAGTGGACATTTGGAGCGCTTTCAGGCCTATGTTGGAAAAGGAAATATCTTCCCATAACAACTAGACAGAAGCATTCTCAGAAACTTATTTGAGATGTGTGTACTCAACTAAGAGAATTGAACCACCGTTTTGAAGGAGCAGTTTTGAAACTCTCTTTTTCTGGAATCTGCAAGTGGATATTTGGCTAGCTTTGGGGATTTCGCTGGAAGCGGGAATACATATAAAAAGCACACAGCCAGCGTTCTGAGAAACTGCTTTCTGATGTTTGCATTCAAGTCAAAAGTTGAACACTCCCTTTCATAGAGCAGTCTTGAAACACCCCTTTTGTAGTATCTGGAACTGGACTTTTGGAGCGATTTCAGGGCTAAGGTGAAAAAGGAAATATCTTCCCATAAAAACTGGACAGAGCATTCTCAGAAACTTGTTTATGCTGTATCTACTCAACTAACAAAGTTGAACCTTTCTTTTGATAGAGCAGTTTTGAAATGGTCTTTTTGTGGAATCTGCAAGTGGATATTTGGCTAGTTTTGAGGATTTCGTTGGAAGCGGGAATTCATACAAATTGCAGACTGCAGCGTTCTGAGAAACATCTTTGTGATGTTTGTATTCAGGACACAGAGTTGAACATTCCCTATCATAGAGCAGGTTGGAATCACTCCTTTTGTAGTATCTGGAAGTGGACATTTGGAGCGCTTTCAGGCCTATTTTGGAAAGGGAAATATCTTCCCGTAACAACTATGCAGAAGCATTCTCAGAAACTTGTTTGTGATGTGTGCCCTCTACTGACAGAGTTGAACCTTTCTTTTCATAGAGCAGTTTTGAAACACTCTTTTTGTAGAATCTGCAAGAGGATATTTGCATAGCTTTGAGGATTTCGTGGGAAACGGGATTGTCTTCAGGTAAAATCTAGACAGAAGCATTCTCAGAAACTTCTTTGGGATGTTTGCATTCAAGTCACAGAGTAGAACATTCCCTTTGGTAGAGCAGGTTTGAAACACTCTTTTTGTAGTATCTGGAAGTGGACATTTGGAGCGCTTTCAGGCCCATGTTGGAAAGGGAAATATCTTCCCGTAACAACTAGGCAGAAGCATTCTCAGAAACTTATTTGAGATGTGTGTACTCAACTAAGAGAATTGAACCACCGTTTTGAAGGAGCAGTTTTGAAACACTCTTTTTCTGGAATCTGCAAGAGTATATTTGCCTAGCCTTGAGGATTTCGTTGGAAACGGGATTGTCTTCAGAGAAAATCTAGACAGAAGCATTCTCAGAAACTTCTTTGGGATGCTTGCATTCAAGTCACAGAGTAGAACATTCCCTTTGGTAGAGCAGGTTTGAAACACTCTTTTTTTAGTATCTGGAAGTGGACATTTGGAGCGCTTTCAGGCCTACGTTGGAAAAGGAAATATCTTCCCATAACAACTAGACAGAAGCATTCTCAGAAACTAGTTTCTGATGTGTGTCCTCAACTAACACAGTTGAACATTTCTTTAGACAGAACAGTTTTGAAACACTCTTTTTGTGGAATCTGCAAGTGGCTATTTGGCTAGATTTGAGGATTTCGTTGGAAACGGGATTACATATAAAAAGCAGTCAGCGGCATTCTCAGAAAGTTCTTTGTGATGATTGCATTCAAGTCACAGAATTGAACATTCCCTTTCACAGAGCAGGTTTGAAACACTCTTTTTGTAGTGTGTGTAAGTGGACATTTGGAGCACTTACCGGCCTAAGGTGAAAAAGGAAATAATCTTCCCATAAAAACTAGACAGAAGCATTCTCAGAAACTTACTCGTGATGTGTGTCCTCAACTAAAGGAGTAGAACCTTTCTTTTCATAGAGAAGTTTTGAAACGCTCTTTTTGTGGAATCTGCAAGTGGATATTTGGCTAGTTTTGAGGATTTCGTTGGAAGCGGGAATTCATACAAATTGCAGACTGCAGCGTTCTGAGAAACATCTTTGTGATGTTTGTATTCAGGACACAGAGTTGAACATTCCCTATCATAGAGCAGGTTTGAATCACTCCTTTTGTAGTATCTGGAAGTGGACATTTGGAGCGCTTTCAGGCCTATGTTGGAAAAGGAAATATCTTCCCATAACAACTAGACAGAAGCATTCTCAGAAACTTATTTGAGATGTGTGTACTCAACTAAGAGAATTGAACCACCGTTTTGAAGGAGTAGTTTTGAAACACTCTTTTTCTGGAATCTGCAAGTGGATATTTGGCTAGCTTTGGGGATTTCGCTGGAAGCGGGAGTACATATAAAAAGCACACAGCAGCGTTCTGAGAAACTGCTTTCTGATGTTTGCATTCAAGTCAAAAGTTGAACACTCCCTTTCATAGAGCAGTCTTGAAACACCCCTTTTGTAGTATCTGGAACTGGTCATTTCGGGCGCTTTCAGGGCTAAGGTGAAAAAGGAAATATCTTCCCATAAAAACTGGACAGAAGCATTCTCAGAAACTTGTTTATGCTGTATCTACTCAACTAACAAAGTTGAACCTTTCTTTTGATAGAGCAGTTTTGAAATGCTCTTTTTGTGGAATCTGCAAGTGGATAGTTGGCTAGTTTTGAGGATTTCGTTGGAAGCGGGAATTCATACAAATTGCAGACTGCAGCGTTCTGAGAAACATCTTTGTGATGTTTGTATTCAGGACACAGAGTTGAACATTCCCTATCATAGAGCAGGTTGGAATCACACCTTTTGTAGTATCTGTAAGTGGATATTTGGAGCGATTTAAGGCCTATGTTGAAAAAGGAAATATCTTCCCATAACAACTAGGCAGAAGCATTCTCAGAAACTTGTTTGTGATGTGTGCAATCTACTGACACAGTTGAACCTTTCTTTTCATAGAGCACTTTCGAAACACTCTTTTTGTAGAATCTGCAAGAGGATATTTGCATAGCTTTGAGGATTTCGTGGGAAACGGGATTGTCTTCAGGTAAAATCTAGACAGAAGCATTCTCAGAAACTTCTTTGGGATGTTTGCATTCAAGTCACAGAGTAGAACATTCCCTTTGGTAGAGCAGGTTTGAAACCCTCTTTTTGTAGTATCTGGAAGTGGACATTCGGAGCGCTATCAGGCCCATGTTGGAAAGGGAAATATCTTCCCGTAACAACTAGGCAGAAGCATTCTCAGAAACTTATTTGAGATGTGTGTACTCAACTAAGAGAATTGAACCACCGTTTTGAAGGTGCAGTTTTGAAACACTCTTTTTCTGGAATCTGCAAGAGTATATTTGCCTAGCCTTGAGGATTTCGTTGGAAACGGGATTGTCTTCAGATAAAATCTAGACAGAAGCATTCTCAGAAACTTCTTTGGGATGTTTGCATTCAAGTCACAGAGTAGAACATTCCCTTTGGTAGAGCAGGTTTGAAACACTCTTTTTTTAGTATATGGAAGTGGACATTTGGAGCGCTTTCAGGCCTACGTTGGAAAAGGAAATATCTTCCCATAACAACTAGACAGAAGCATTCTCAGAAACTAGTTTCTGATGTGTGTCCTCAACTAACACAGTTGAACATTTCTTTAGACAGAACAGTTTTGAAACACTCTTTTTGTGGAATCTGCAAGTGGCTATTTGGCTAGATTTGAGGATTTCGTTGGAAACGGGATTACATATAAAAAGCAGTCAGCAGCATTCTCAGAAAGTTCTTTGTGATGATTGCATTCAAGTCACAGAATTGAACATTCCCTTTCACAGAGCAGGTTTGAAACACTCTTTTTGTAGTGTGTGTAAGTGGACATTTGGAGCGCTTTCCGGCCTAAGGTGAAAAAGGAAATATCTTCCCATAAAAACTAGACAGAAGCATTCTCAGAAACTTACTCGTGATGTGTGTCCTCAACTAAAGGAGTAGAACCTTTCTTTTCATAGAGAAGTTTTGAAACACTCTTTTTGTGGAATCTGCAAGTGGATATTTGGCTAGTTTTGAGGATTTCGTTGGAAGCGGGAATTCATACAAATTGCAGACTGCAGCGTTCTGAGAAACATCTTTGTGATGTTTGTATTCAGGACACAGAGTTGAACATTCCCTATCATAGAGCAGGTTTGAATCACTCCTTTTGTAGTATCTGGAAGTGGACATTTGGAGCGCTTTCAGGCCTATGTTGGAAAAGGAAATATCTTCCCATAACAACTAGACAGAAGCATTCCCAGAAACTTATTTGAGATGTGTGTACTCAACTAAGAGAATTGAACCACCGTTTTGAAGGAGCAGTTTGGAAACACTCTTTTTCTGGAATCTGCAAGTGGATATTTGGCTAGCTTTGGGGATTTCGCTGGAAGCGGGAATACATATAAAAAGCACACAGCAGCGTTCTGAGAAACTGCTTTCTGATGTTTGCATTCAAGTCAAAAGTTGAACACTCCCTTTCATAGAGCAGTCTTGAAACACCCCTTTTGTAGTATCTGGAACTGGAAATTTGGAGCGCTTTCAGGGCTAAGGTGAAAAAGGAAATATCTTCCCATAAAAACTGGACAGAAGCATTCTCAGAAACTTGTTTATGCTGTATCTGCTCAACTAACAAAGTTGAACCTTTCTTTTGATAGAGCAGTTTTGAAATGCTCTTTTTGTGGAATCTGCAAGTGGATATTTGGCTAGTTTTGAGGATTTCGTTGGAAGCGGGAATTCATACAAATTGCAGACTGCAGCGTTCTGAGAAACATCTTTGTGATGTTTGTATTCAGGACACAGAGTTGAACATTCCCTATCATAGAGCAGGTTGGGATCACTCCTTTTGTAGTATCTGGAAGTGGACATTTGGAGCGCTTTCAGGCCTATGTTGAAAAAGGAAAAATCTTCCCATAACAACTAGACAGAAGCATTCTCAGAAACTTGTTGGTGATGTGTTTCCTCTACTGACAGAGTTGAACCTTTCTTTTCATAGAGCAGTTTCGAAACACTCTTTTTGTAGAATCTGCAAGAGGATATTTGCATAGCTCTGAGGATTTCGTGGGAAACGGGATTGTCTTCAGGTAAAATCTAGACAGAAGCATTCTCAGAAACTTCTTCGGGATGTTTGCATTCAAGTCACAGAGTAGAACATTCCCTTTGGTAGAGCAGGTTTGAAACACTCTTTTTGTAGTATCTGGAAGTGGACATTTGTTGCGCTTTCAGGCCTATGTTGGAAAGGGAAATATCTTCCCGTAACAACTAGGCAGAAGCATTCTCAGAAACTTATTTGAGATGTGTGTACTCAACTAAGAGAATTGAACCACCGTTTTGAAGGAGCAGTTTGGAAACACTCTTTTTCTGGAATCTGCAAGAGGATATTTGCCTAGCTTTGAGGATTTCGTTGGAAAAGGGATTGTCTTCAGATCAAATCTAGACAGAAGCATTCTCAGAAACTTCTTTGGGATGTTTGCATTCAAGTCACAGAGTAGAACCTTCCTTTGGTAGAGCAGGTTTGAAACACTCTTTTTTTAGTATATGGAAGTGGACATTTGGAGCGCTTTCAGGCCTACGTTGGAAAAGGAAATATCTTCCCATAACAACTAGACAGAAGCATTCTCAGAAACTAGTTTCTGATGTGTGTCCTCAACTAACACAGTTGAACATTTCTTTAGACAGAACAGTTTTGAAACACTCTTTTTGTGGAATCTGCAAGTGGATATTTGGCTAGATATGAGGATTTCGTTGGAAACGGGATTACATATAAAAAGCAGACAGCAGCATTCTCAGAAACTTCTTTGTGATGATTGCATTCAAGTCACAGAATTGAACATTCCCTTTCACAGAGCAGGTTTGAAACACTCTTTTTGTAGTGTGTGTAAGTGGACATTTGGAGCGCTTTCCGGCCTAAGGTGAACAAGGAAATATCTTCCCATAAAAACTAGACAGAAGCATTCTCAGAAACTTACTCGTGATGTGTGTCCTCAACTAAAGGAGTAGAACCTTTCTTTTCATAGAGAAGTTTTGAAACGCTCTTTTTGTGGAATCTGCAAGTGGATATTAGGCTAGTTTGGAGGATTTCGTTGGAAGCGGGAATTCATACAAGATGCAGACTGCAGCGTTCTGAGAAACATCTTTGTGATGTTTGTATTCAGGACACAGAGTTGAACATTCCCTATCATAGAGCAGGTTTGAATCACTCCTTTTGTAGTATCTGGAAGTGGACATTTGGAGCGCTTTCAGGCCTATGTTGGAAAAGGAAATATCTTCCCATAACAACTAGACAGAAGCATTCTCAGAAACTTATTTGAGATGTGTGTACTCAACTAAGAGAATTGAACCACCGTTTTGAAGGAGCAGTTTTGAAACACTCTTTTTCTGGAATCTGCAAGTGGATATTTGGCTAGCTTTGGGGATTTCGCTGGAAGCGGGAATACATATAAAAAGCACACAGCAGGGTTCTGAGAAACTGCTTTCTGATGTTTGCATTCAAGTCAAAAGTTGAACACTCCCTTTCATAGAGCAGTCTTGAAACACCCCTTTTGTAGTGTCTGGAACTGGACTTTTGGAGCGATTTTAGGGCTAAGGTGAAAAAGGAAATATCTTCCCATAAAAACTGGACAGAAGCATTCTCAGAAACTTGTTTATGCTGTATCTACTCAACTAACAAAGTTGAACCTTTCTTTTGATAGAGCAGTTTTGAAATGGTCTTTTTGTGGAATCTGCAAGTGGATATTTGGCTAGTTTTGAGGATTTCGTTGGAAGCGGGAATTCATACAAATTGCAGACTGCAGCGTTCTGAGAAACATCTTTGTGATGTTTTTATTCAGGACACAGAGTTGAACATTCCCTGTCCTAGAGCAGGTTGGAATCACTCCTTTTGTAGTATCTGGAAGTGGACATTTGGAGCGCTTTCAGGCCTATTTTGGAAAGGGAAATATCTTCCCATAACAACTATGCAGAAGCATTCTCAGAAACTTGTTTGTGATGTGTGCCCTCTACTGACAGATTTGAACCTTTCTTTTCATAGAGCAGTTTTGAAACACTCTTTTTGTAGAATCTGCAAGAGGATATTTGCATAGCTTTGAGGATTTCGTGGGAAACGGGATTGTCTTCAGGTAAAATCTAGACAGAAGGATTCTCAGAAACTTCTTTGGGATGTTTGCATTCAAGTCACAGAGTAGAACATTCCCTTTGGTAGAGCAGGTTTGAAACACTCTTTTTGTAGTATCTGGAAGTGGACATATGGAGCGCTTTCAGGCTCATGTTGGAAAGGGAAATATCTTCCCTTAACAACTAGGCAGAAGCATTCTCAGAAACTTATTTGAGATGTGTGTACTCAACTAAGAGAATTGAACCACCGTTTTGAAGGAGCAGTTTTGAAACACTCTTTTTCTGGATTCTGCAAGAATATATTTGCCTAGCCTTGAGGATTTCGTTGGAAACTGGATTGTCTTCAGATAAAATCTAGACAGAAGCATTCTCAGAAACTTCTTTGGGATGTTTGCATTCAAGTCACAGAGTAGAACATTCTCTTTGGTAGAGCAGGTTTGAAACAATCTTTTTTTAGTATATGGAAGTGGACATTTGGAGCGCTTTCAGGCCTACGTTGGAGAAGGAAATATCTTCCCATAACAACTAGACCGAAGCATTCTCAGAAACTAGTTTCTGATGTGTGTCCTCAACTAACACAGTTGTACATTTCTTTAGACAGAACAGTTATGAAACACTCTTTTTGTGGAATCTGCAAGTGGATATTTGGCTAGATTTGAGGATTTCGTTGGAAACGGGATTACATATAAAAAGCAGTCAGCAGCATTCTCAGATAGTTCTTTGTGATGATTGCATTCAAGTCACAGAATTGAAAATTCCCTTTCACAGAGCAGGTTTGAAACACTCTTTTTGTAGTGTGTGTAAGTGGACATTTGGAGCGCTTTCTGGCCTAAGGTGAAAAAGGAAATATCTTCCCATAAAAACTAGACAGAAGCATTCTCAGAAACTTACTCGTGATGTGTGTCCTCAACTAAAGGAGTAGAACCTTTCTTTTCATAGAGAAGTTTTGAAACGCTCTTTTTGTGGAATCTGCACGTGGATATTTGGCTAGTTTTGAGGATTTCGTTGGAAGCGGGAATTCATACAAATTGCAGACTGCAGCGTTCTGAGAAACATCTTTGTGATGTTTGTATTCAGGACACAGAGATGAACATTCCCTATCATACAGCAGGTTGAAATCACTCCTTTTGTAGTATCTGGAAGTGGACATTTGGAGCGCTTTCAGGCCTATGTTGAAAAAGGAAATATCTTCCCATAACAACTAGACACAAGCATTCTCAGAAACTTGTTTGTGATGTGTGCCCTCTGCTGACAGAGTTGAACCTTTCTTTTCATAGAGCAGTTTTGAAACACTCTTTTTGTAGAATCTGCAAGAGGATATTTGCATAGCTTTGAGGATTTTGGGGGAAACGGGATTGTCTTCAGGTAAAATCTAGACAGAAGCATTCTCAGAAACTTCTTTGGGATGTTTGCATTCAAGTCACAGAGTAGAACATTCCCTTTGGTAGAGCAGGTTTGAAACCCTCTTTTTGTAGTATCTGGAAGTGGACATTTGGAGCGCTTTCAGGCCCATGTTGGAAAGGGAAATATCTTCCCGTAACAACTAGGCAGAAGCATTCTCAGAAACTTATTTGAGATGTGTGTACTCAACTAAGAGAATTGAACCACCGTTTTGAAGGAGCAGTTTTGAAACACTCTTTTTCTGGAATCTGCAAGAGTATATTTGCCTAGCCTTGAAGATTTCGTTGGAAACGGGATTGTCTTCAGATAAAATCAAGACAGAAGCATTCTCAGAAACTTCTTTGGGATGTTTGCATTCAAGTCACAGAGTAGAACATTCCCTTTGGTAGAGCAGGTTTGAAACACTCTTTTTTTAGTATATGGAAGTGGAGATTTGGAGCGCTTTCAGGTCTACGTTGGAAAAGGAAATATCTTCCCATAACAACTAGACAGAAGCATTCTCAGAAACTAGTTTCTGATGTGTGTCCTCAACTAACACAGTTGAACATTTCTTTAGACAGAACAGTTTTGAAACACTCTTTTTGTGGAATCTGCAAGTGGCTATTTGGCTAGATTTGAGGATTTCGTTGGAAACGGGATTACATATAAAAAGCAGTCAGCACCATTCTCAGAAAGTTCTTTGTGATGATTGCATTCAAGTCACAGAATTGAACATTCCCTTTCACAGAGCAGGTTTGAAACACTCTTTTTGTAGTGTGTGTAAGTGGACATTTGGAGCACTTTCCGGCCTAAGGTGAAAAAGGAAATATCTTCCCATAAAAACTAGACAGAAGCACTCTCAGAAACTTACTCGTGATGTGTGTCCTCAACTAAAGGAGTAGAACCTTCCTTTTCATAGAGAAGTTTTGAAACGCTCTTTTTGTGGAATCTGCAAGTGGATATTTGGCTAGTTTGGAGGATTTCGTTGGAAGCGGGAATTCATACAAATTGCAGACTGCAGCGTTCTGAGAAACTGCTTTCTGATGTTTGCATTCAAGTCAAAAGTTGAACACTCCCTTTCATAGAGCAGTCTTGAAACACCCCTTTTGTAGTATCTGGAACTGGACTTTTGGAGCGATTTCAGGGCTAAGGTGAAAAAGGAAATATCTTCCCATAAAAACTGGACAGAAGCATTCTCAGAAACTTGTTTATGCTGTATCTACTCAACTAACAAAGTTGAACCTTTCTTTTGATAGAGCAGTTTTGAAATGGTCTTTTTGTGGAATCTGCAAGTGGATATTTGGCTAGTTTTGAGGATTTCGTTGGAAGCGGGAATTCATACAAATTGCAGACTGCAGCGTTCTGAGAAACATCTTTGTGATGTTTGTATTCAGGACACAGAGTTGAACATTCCCTATCATAGAGCAGGTTGGAATCACTCCTTTTGTAGTATCTGGAAGTGGACATTTGGAGCGCTTTCAGGCCTATTTTGGAAAGGGAAATATCTTCCCGTAACAACTATGCAGAAGCATTCTCAGAAACTTGTTTGTGATGTGTGCCCTCTACTGACAGAGTTGAACCTTTCTTTTCATAGAGCAGTTTTGAAACACTCTTTTTGTAGAATCTGCAAGAGGATATTTGCATAGCTTTGAGGATTTCGTGGGAAACGGGATTGTCTTCAGGTAAAATCTAGACAGAAGCATTCTCAGAAACTTCTTTGGGATGTTTGCATTCAAGTCACAGAGTAGAACATTCCCTTTGGTAGAGCAGGTTTGAAACACTCTTTTTGTAGTATCTGGAAGTGGACATTTGGAGCGCTTTCAGGCCCATGTTGGAAAGGGAAATATCTTCCCGTAACAACTAGGCAGAAGCATTCTCAGAAACTTATTTGAGATGTGTGTACTCAACTAAGAGAATTGAACCACCGTTTTGAAGGAGCAGTTTTGAAACACTCTTTTTCTGGAATCTGCAAGAGTATATTTGCCTAGCCTTGAGGATTTCGTTGGAAACGGGATTGTCTTCAGAGAAAATCTAGACAGAAGCATTCTCAGAAACTTCTTTGGGATGTTTGCATTCAAGTCACAGAGTAGAACATTCCCTTTGGTAGAGCAGGTTTGAAACACTCTTTTTTTAGTATATGGAAGTGGACATTTGGATCGCTTTCAGGCCTACGTTGGAAAAGGAAATATCTTCCCATAACAACTAGACAGAAGCATTCTCAGAAACTAGTTTCTGATGTGTGTCCTCAACTAACACAGTTGAACATTTCTTTAGACAGAACAGTTTTGAAACACTCTTTTTGTGGAATCTGCAAGTGGCTATTTGGCTAGATTTGAGGATTTCGTTGGAAACGGGATTACATATAAAAAGCAGTCAGCAGCATTCTCAGAAAGTTCTTTGTGATGATTGCATTCAAGTCACAGAATTGAACATTCCCTTTCACAGAGCAGGTTTGAAACACTCTTTTTGTAGTGTGTGTAAGTGGACATTTGGAGCACTTACCGGCCTAAGGTGAAAAAGGAAATATCTTCCCATAAAAACTAGACAGAAGCATTCTCAGAAACTTACTCGTGATGTGTGTCCTCAACTAAAGGAGTAGAACCTTTCTTTTCATAGAGAAGTTTTGAAACGCTCTTTTTGTGGAATCTGCAAGTGGATATTTGGCTAGTTTTGAGGATTTCGTTGGAAGCGGGAATTCATACAAATTGCAGACTGCAGCGTTCTGAGAAACATCTTTGTGATGTTTGTATTCAGGACACAGAGTTGAACATTCCCTATCATAGAGCAGGTTTGAATCACTCCTTTTGTAGTATCTGGAAGTGGACATTTGGAGCGCTTTCAGGCCTATGTTGGAAAAGGAAATATCTTCCCATAACAACTAGACAGAAGCATTCTCAGAAACTTATTTGAGATGTGTGTACTCAACTAAGAGAATTGAACCACCGTTTTGAAGGAGCAGTTTTGAAACTCTCTTTTTCTGGAATCTGCAAGTGGATATTTGGCTAGCTTTGGGGATTTCGCTGGAAGCGGGAATACATATAAAAAGCACACAGCAGCGTTCTGAGAAACTGCTTTCTGATGTTTGCATTCAAGTCAAAAGTTGAACACTCCCTTTCATAGAGCAGTCTTGAAACACCCCTTTTGTAGTATCTGGAACTGGACTTTTGGAGCGATTTCAGGGCTAAGGTGAAAAAGGAAATATCTTCCCATAAAAACTGGACAGAAGCATTCTCAGAAACTTGTTTATGCTGTATCTACTCAACTAACAAAGTTGAACCTTTCTTTTGATAGAGCAGTTTTGAAATGGTCTTTTTGTGGAATCTGCAAGTGGATATTTGGCTAGTTTTGAGGATTTCGTTGGAAGCGGGAATTCATACAAATTGCAGACTGCAGCGTTCTGAGAAACATCTTTGTGATGTTTGTATTCAGGACACAGAGTTGAACATTCCCTATCATAGAGCAGGTTGGAATCACTCCTTTTGTAGTATCTGGAAGTGGACATTTGGAGCGCTTTCAGGCCTATTTTGGAAAGGGAAATATCTTCCCGTAACAACTATGCAGAAGCATTCTCAGAAACTTGTTTGTGATGTGTGCCCTCTACTGACAGAGTTGAACCTTTCTTTTCATAGAGCAGTTTTGAAACACTCTTTTTGTAGAATCTGCAAGAGGATATTTGCATAGCTTTGAGGATTTCGTGGGAAACGGGATTGTCTTCAGGTAAAATCTAGACAGAAGCATTCTCAGAAACTTCTTTGGGATGTTTGCATTCAAGTCACAGAGTAGAACATTCCCTTTGGTAGAGCAGGTTTGAAACACTCTTTTTGTAGTATCTGGAAGTGGACATTTGGAGCGCTTTCAGGCCCATGTTGGAAAGGGAAATATCTTCCCGTAACAACTAGGCAGAAGCATTCTCAGAAACTTATTTGAGATGTGTGTACTCAACTAAGAGAATTGAACCACCGTTTTGAAGGAGCAGTTTTGAAACACTCTTTTTCTGGAATCTGCAAGAGTATATTTGCCTAGCCTTGAGGATTTCGTTGGAAACGGGATTGTCTTCAGAGAAAATCTAGACAGAAGCATTCTCAGAAACTTCTTTGGGATGCTTGCATTCAAGTCACAGAGTAGAACATTCCCTTTGGTAGAGCAGGTTTGAAACACTCTTTTTTTAGTATCTGGAAGTGGACATTTGGAGCGCTTTCAGGCCTACGTTGGAAAAGGAAATATCTTCCCATAACAACTAGACAGAAGCATTCTCAGAAACTAGTTTCTGATGTGTGTCCTCAACTAACACAGTTGAACATTTCTTTAGACAGAACAGTTTTGAAACACTCTTTTTGTGGAATCTGCAAGTGGCTATTTGGCTAGATTTGAGGATTTCGTTGGAAACGGGATTACATATAAAAAGCAGTCAGCCAGCATTCTCAGAACGTTCTTTGTTATGATTGCATTCAAGTCACAGAATTGAACATTCCCTTTCACAGAGCAGTTTTGAAACACTCTTTTTGTAGTGTGTGTAAGTGGACATTTGGAGCACTTTCCGGCCTAAGGTGAAAAAGGAAATATCTTCCCATAAAAACTAGACAGAGCATTCTCAGAAACTTACTCGTGATGTGTGTCCTCAACTAAAGGAGTAGAACCTTTCTTTTCATAGAGAAGTTTTGAAACGCTCTTTTTGTGGAATCTGCAAGTGGATATTTGGCTAGTTTTGAGGATTTCGTTGGAAGCGGGAATTCATACAAATTGCAGACTGCCAGCGTTCTGAGCAAACATCTTTGTGATGTTTGTATTCAGGACACAGCAGTTGAACATTCCCTATCATAGAGCAGGTTGGAATCACTCCTTTTGTAGTATCTGGAAGTGGACATTTGGAGCGCTTTCAGGCCTATGTTGGAAAAGGAAATATCTTCCCATAACAACTAGACAGAGCATTCTCAGAAACTTGTTGGTGATGTGTTTCCTCTACTGACAGAGTTGAACCTTTCTTTTCATAGAGCAGTTTCGAAACACTCTTTTTGTAGAATCTGCAAGAGGATATTTGCATAGCTCTGAGGATTTCGTGGGAAACGGGATTGTCTTCAGGTAAAATCTAGACAGAAGCATTCTCAGAAACTTCTTTGGGATGTTTGCATTCAAGTCACAGAGTAGAACATTCCCTTTGGTAGAGCAGGTTTGAAACACTCTTTTTGTAGTATCTGGAAGTGGACATTTGGAGCGCTTTCAGGCCCATGTTGGAAAGGGAAATATCTTCCCGTAACAACTAGGCAGAAGCATTCTCAGAAACTTATTTGAGATGTGTGTACTCAACTAAGAGAATTGAACCACCGTTTTGAAGGAGCAGTTTTGAAACACTCTTTTTCTGGAATCTGCAAGAGTATATTTGCCTAGCCATGAGGATTTCGTTGGAAACCGGATTGTCTTCAGAGAAAATCTAGACAGAAGCATTCTCAGAAACTTCTTTGGGATGTTTGCATTCAAGTCACAGAGTAGAACATTCCCTTTGGTAGAGCAGGTTTGAAACACTCTTTTTTTAGTATATGGAAGTGGACATTTGGAGCGCTTTCAGGCCTACGTTGGAAAAGGAAATATCTTCCCATAACAACTAGACAGAAGCATTCTCAGAAACTAGTTTCTGATGTGTGTCCTCAACTAACACAGTTGAACATTTCTTTAGACAGAACAGTTTTGAAACACTCTTTTTGTGGAATCTGCAAGTGGCTATTTGGCTAGATTTGAGGATTTCGTTGGAAACGGGATTACATATAAAAAAACAGACAGCAGCATTCTCAGATAGTTCTTTGTGATGATTGCATTCAAGTCACAGAATTGAACATTCCCTTTCACAGAGCAGGTTTGAAACACTCTTTTTGTAGTGTGTGTAAGTGGACATTTGGAGCGCTTTCCGGCCTAAGGTGAAAAAGGAAATATCTTCCCATAAAAACTAGACAGAAGCATTCTCAGAAACTTACTCGTGATGTGTGTCCTCAACTAAAGGAGTAGAACCTTTCTTTTCATAGAGAAGTTTTGAAACGCTCTTTTTGTGGAATCTGCAAGTGGATATTTGGCTAGTTTGGAGGATTTCGTTGGAAGCGGGAATTCATACAAATTGCAGACTGCAGCGTTCTGAGAAACATCTTTGTGATGTTTGTATTCAGGACACAGAGTTGAACATTCCCTATCATAGAGCAGGTTGGAATCACTCCTTTTGTACTATCTGGAAGTGGACATTTGGAGCGCTTTCAGGCCTATGTTGAAAAAGGAAATATCTTCCCATAACAACTAGACAGAAGCATTCTCAGAAACTTTTTTGAGATGTGTGCCCTCTACTGACACTGTTGAACCTTTCTTTTCATAGAGCAGTTTCGAAACACTCTTTTTGTAGAATCTGCAAGAGGATATTTGCATAGCTTTGAGGATTTCGTGGGAAACGGGATTGTCTTCAGGTAAAATCTAGACAGAAGCATTCTCAGAAACTTCTTTGGGATGTTTGCATTCAAGTCACAGAGTAGAACATTCCCTTTGGTAGAGCAGGTTTGAAACACTCTTTTTGTAGTGTGTGTAAGTGGACATTTGGAGCGCTTTCAGGCCTACGTTGGAAAAGGAAATATCTTCCCATAACAACTAGACAGAAGCATTCTCAGAAACTAGTTTCTGATGTGTGTCCTCAACTAACACAGTTGAACATTTCTTTAGACAGAACAGTTTTGAAACACTCTTTTTGTGGAATCTGCAAGTGGATATTTGGCTAGATTTGAGGATTTCGTTGGAAACGGGATTACATATAAAAAGCAGACAGCAGCATTCTCAGAAACTTCTTTGTGATGATTGCATTCAAGTCACAGAATTGAACATTCCCTTTCACAGAGCAGGTATGAAACACTCTTTTTCTAGTGTGTGTAAGTGGACATTTGGAGCGCTTTCCGGCCTAAGGTGAACAAGGAAATATCTTCCCATAAAAACTAGACTGAAGCATTCTCAGAAACTTACTCGTGATGTGTGTCCTCAACTAAAGGAGTAGAACCTTTCTTTTCATAGAGAAGTTTTGAAACGCTCTTTTTGTGGAATCTGCAAGTGGATATTTGGCTAGTTTGGAGGATTTCGTTGGAAGCGGGAATTCATACAAATTGCAGACTGCAGCGTTCTGAGAAACATCTTTGTGATGTTTGTATTCAGGACACAGAGTTGAACATTCCCTATCATAGAGCAGGTTTGAATCACTCCTTTTGTAGTATCTGGAAGTGGACATTTGGAGCGCTTTCAGGCCTATGTTGGAAAAGGAAATATCTTCCCATAACAACTAGACAGAAGCATTCTCAGAAACTTATTTGAGATGTGTGTACTCAACTAAGAGAATTGAACCACCGTTTTGAAGGAGCAGTTTTGAAACACTCTTTTTCTGGAATCTGCAAGTGGATATTTGGCTAGCTTTGGGGATTTCGCTGGAGGCGGGAATACATATAAAAAGCACACAGCAGCGTTCTGAGAAACTGCTTTCTGATGTTTGCATTCAAGTCAAAAGTTGAACACTCCCTTTCATAGAGCAGTCCTGAAACACTCCTTTTGTAGTATCTGGAACTGGACTTTTGGAGCGCTTTCAGGGCTAAGGTGAAAAAGGAAATATCTTCCCATAAAAACTGGACAGAAGCATTCTCAGAAACTTGTTTATGCTGTATCTACTCAACTAACAAAGTTGAACCTTTCTTTTGATAGAGCAGTTTTGAAATGCTCTTTTTGTGGAATCTGCAAGTGGATATTTGGCTAGTTTTGAGGATTTCGTTGGAAGCGGGAATTCATACAAATTGCAGACTGCAGCGTTCTGAGAAACATCTTTGTGATGTTTGTATTCAGGACACAGAGTTGAACATTCCCTATCATAGAGCAGGTTGGAATCACTCCTTTTGTAGTATCTGGAAGTGGACATTTGGAGCGCTTTCAGGCCTATTTTGGAAAGGGAAATATCTTCCCGTAACAACTATGCAGAAGCATTCTCAGAAACTTGTTTGTAATGTGTGCCCTCTACTGACAGAGTTGAACCTTTCTTTTCATAGAGCAGTTTTGAAACACTCTTTTTGTAGAATCTGCAAGAGGATATTTGCATAGCTTTGAGGATTTCGTGGGAAACGGGATTGTCTTCCGGTAAAATCTAGACAGAAGCATTCTCAGAAACTTCTTTGGGATGTTTGCATTCAAGTCACAGAGTAGAACATTCCCTTTGGTAGAGCAGGTTTGAAACACTCTTTTTGTAGTATCTGGAAGTGGACATTTGGAGCGCTTTCAGGCCCATGTTGGAAAGGGAAATATCTTCCCGTAACAACTAGGCAGAAGCATTCTCAGAAACTTATTTGAGATGTGTGGACTCAACTAAGAGAATTGAACCACCGTTTTGAAGGAGCAGTTTTGAAACACTCTTTTTCTGGAATCTGCAAGAGTATATTTGCCTAGCCTTGAGGATTTCGTTGGAAACGGGATTGTCTTCAGATAAAATCTAGACAGAAGCATTCTCAGAAACTTCTTTGGGATGTTTGCATTCAAGTCACAGAGTAGAACATTCCCTTTGGTAGAGCAGGTTTGAAACACTCTTTTTTTAGTATATGGAAGTGGACATTTGGAGCGCTTTCAGGCCTACGTTGGAAAAGGAAATATCTTCCCATAACAACTAGACAGAAGCATTCTCAGAAACTAGTTTCTGATGTGTGTCCTCAACTAACACAGTTGAACTTTTCTTTAGACAGAACAGTTTTGAAACACTCTTTTTGTGGAATCTGCAAGTGGATATTTGGCTAGATTTGAGGATTTCGTTGGAAACGGGATTACATATAAAAAGCAGACTGTAGCATTCTCAGAAAGTTCTTTGTGATGATTGCATTCAAGTCACAGAATTGAACATTCCCTTTCACAGAGCAGGTTTGAAACACTCTTTTTGTAGTGTGTGTAAGTGGACATTTGGAGCGCTTTCCGGCCTAAGGTGAAAAAGGAAATATCTTCCCATAAAAACTGGACAGAAGCATTCTCAGAAACTTGTTTATGCTGTATCTACTCAACTAACAAAGTTGAACCTTTCTTTTGATAGAGCAGTTTTGAAATGGTCTTTTTGTGGAATCTGCAAGTGGATATTTGGCTAGTTTTGAGGATTTCGTTGGAAGCGGGAATTCATACAAATTGCAGACTGCAGCGTTCTGAGAAACATCTTTGTGATGTTTGTATTCAGGACACAGAGTTGAACATTCCCTATCATAGAGCAGGTTGGAATCACTCCTTTTGTAGTATCTGGAAGTGGACATTTGGAGCGCTTTCAGGCCTATTTTGGAAAGGGAAATATCTTCCCGTAACAACTATGCAGAAGCATTCTCAGAAACTTGTTTGTGATGTGTGCCCTCTACTGACAGAGTTGAACCTTTCTTTTCATAGAGCAGTTTTGAAACACTCTTTTTGTAGAATCTGCAAGAGGATATTTGCATAGCTTTGAGGATTTCGTGGGAAACGGGATTGTCTTCAGGTAAAATCTAGACAGAAGCATTCTCAGAAACTTCTTTGGGATGTTTGCATTCAAGTCACAGAGTAGAACATTCCCTTTGGTAGAGCAGGTTTGAAACACTCTTTTTGTAGTATCTGGAAGTGGACATTTGGAGCGCTTTCAGGCCCATGTTGGAAAGGGAAATATCTTCCCGTAACAACTAGGCAGAAGCATTCTCAGAAACTTATTTGAGATGTGTGTACTCAACTAAGAGAATTGAACCACCGTTTTGAAGGAGCAGTTTTGAAACTCTCTTTTTCTGGAATCTGCAAGTGGATATTTGGCTAGCTTTGGGGATTTCGCTGGAAGCGGGAATACATATAAAAAGCACACAGCAGCGTTCTGAGAAACTGCTTTCTGATGTTTGCATTCAAGTCAAAAGTTGAACACTCCCTTTCATAGAGCAGTCTTGAAACACCCCTTTTGTAGTATCTGGAACTGGACTTTTGGAGCGATTTCAGGGCTAAGGTGAAAAAGGAAATATCTTCCCATAAAAACTGGACAGAAGCATTCTCAGAAACTTGTTTATGCTGTATCTACTCAACTAACAAAGTTGAACCTTTCTTTTGATAGAGCAGTTTTGAAATGGTCTTTTTGTGGAATCTGCAAGTGGATATTTGGCTAGTTTTGAGGATTTCGTTGGAAGCGGGAATTCATACAAATTGCAGACTGCAGCGTTCTGAGAAACATCTTTGTGATGTTTGTATTCAGGACACAGAGTTGAACATTCCCTATCATAGAGCAGGTTGGAATCACTCCTTTTGTAGTATCTGGAAGTGGACATTTGGAGCGCTTTCAGGCCTATTTTGGAAAGGGAAATATCTTCCCGTAACAACTATGCAGAAGCATTCTCAGAAACTTGTTTGTGATGTGTGCCCTCTACTGACAGAGTTGAACCTTTCTTTTCATAGAGCAGTTTTGAAACACTCTTTTTGTAGAATCTGCAAGAGGATATTTGCATAGCTTTGAGGATTTCGTGGGAAACGGGATTGTCTTCAGGTAAAATCTAGACAGAAGCATTCTCAGAAACTTCTTTGGGATGTTTGCATTCAAGTCACAGAGTAGAACATTCCCTTTGGTAGAGCAGGTTTGAAACACTCTTTTTGTAGTATCTGGAAGTGGACATTTGGAGCGCTTTCAGGCCCATGTTGGAAAGGGAAATATCTTCCCGTAACAACTAGGCAGAAGCATTCTCAGAAACTTATTTGAGATGTGTGTACTCAACTAAGAGAATTGAACCACCGTTTTGAAGGAGCAGTTTTGAAACACTCTTTTTCTGGAATCTGCAAGAGTATATTTGCCTAGCCTTGAGGATTTCGTTGGAAACGGGATTGTCTTCAGAGAAAATCTAGACAGAAGCATTCTCAGAAACTTCTTTGGGATGCTTGCATTCAAGTCACAGAGTAGAACATTCCCTTTGGTAGAGCAGGTTTGAAACACTCTTTTTGTAGTATCTGGAAGTGGACATTTGGAGCGCTTTCAGGCCTACGTTGGAAAAGGAAATATCTTCCCATAACAACTAGACAGAAGCATTCTCAGAAACTAGTTTCTGATGTGTGTCCTCAACTAACACAGTTGAACATTTCTTTAGACAGAACAGTTTTGAAACACTCTTTTTGTGGAATCTGCAAGTGGCTATTTGGCTAGATTTGAGGATTTCGTTGGAAACGGGATTACATATAAAAAGCAGTCAGCGGCATTCTCAGAAAGTTCTTTGTGATGATTGCATTCAAGTCACAGAATTGAACATTCCCTTTCACAGAGCAGGTTTGAAACACTCTTTTTGTAGTGTGTGTAAGTGGACATTTGGAGCACTTACCGGCCTAAGGTGAAAAAGGAAATATCTTCCCATAAAAACTAGACAGAAGCATTCTCAGAAACTTACTCGTGATGTGTGTCCTCAACTAAAGGGGTAGAACCTTTCTTTTCATAGAGAAGTTTTGAAACGCTCTTTTTGTGGAATCTGCAAGTGGATATTTGGCTAGTTTTGAGGATTTCGTTGGAAGCGGGAATTCATACAAATTGCAGACTGCAGCGTTCTGAGAAACATCTTTGTGATGTTTGTATTCAGGACACAGAGTTGAACATTCCCTATCATAGAGCAGGTTTGAATCACTCCTTTTGTAGTATCTGGAAGTGGACATTTGGAGCGCTTTCAGGCCTATGTTGGAAAAGGAAATATCTTCCCATAACAACTAGACAGAAGCATTCTCAGAAACTTATTTGAGATGTGTGTACTCAACTAAGAGAATTGAACCACCGTTTTGAAGGAGCAGTTTTGAAACACTCTTTTTCTGGAATCTGCAAGTGGATATTTGGCTAGCTTTGGGGATTTCGCTGGAAGCGGGAATACATATAAAAAGCACACAGCAGCGTTCTGAGAAACTGCTTTCTGATGTTTGCATTCAAGTCAAAAGTTGAACACTCCCTTTCATAGAGCAGTCCTGAAACACCCCTTTTGTAGTATCTGGAACTGGACTTTTGGAGCGCTTTCAGGGCTAAGGTGAAAAAGGAAATATCTTCCCATAAAAACTGGACAGAAGCATTCTCAGAAACTTGTTTATGCTGTATCTACTCAACTAACAAAGTTGAACCTTTCTTTTGATAGAGCAGTTTTGAAATGCTCTTTTTGTGGAATCTGCAAGTGGATATTTGGCTAGTTTTGAGGATTTCGCTGGAAGCGGGAATTCATACAAATTGCAGACTGCAGCGTTCTGAGAAACATCTTTGTGATGTTTGTATTCAGGACACAGAGTTGAACATTCCCTATCATAGAGCAGGTTGGAATCACTCCTTTTGTAGTATCTGGAAGTGGACATTTGGAGCGCTTTCAGGCCTATGTTGGAAAAGGAAATATCTTCCCATAACAACTAGACAGAAGCATTCTCAGAAACTTATTTGAGATGTGTGTACTCAACTAAGAGAATTGAACCACCGTTTTGAAGGAGCAGTTTTGAAACACTCTTTTTCTGGAATCTGCAAGTGGATATTTGGCTAGCTTTGGGGATTTCGCTGGAAGCGGGAATACATATAAAAAGCACACAGCAGCGTTCTGAGAAACTGCTTTCTGATGTTTGCATTCAAGTCAAAAGTTGAACACTCCCTTTCATAGAGCAGTCTTGAAACACCCCTTTTGTAGTATCTGGAACTGGACTTTTGGAGCGATTTCAGGGCTAAGGTGAAAAAGGAAATATCTTCCCATAAAAACTGGACAGAAGCATTCTCAGAAACTTGTTTATGCTGTATCTACTCAACTAACAAAGTTGAACCTTTCTTTTGATAGAGCAGTTTTGAAATGGTCTTTTTGTGGAATCTGCAAGTGGATATTTGGCTAGTTTTGAGGATTTCGTTGGAAGCGGGAATTCATACAAATTGCAGACTGCAGCGTTCTGAGAAACATCTTTGTGATGTTTGTATTCAGGACACAGAGTTGAACATTCCCTATCATAGAGCAGGTTGGAATCACTCCTTTTGTAGTATCTGGAAGTGGACATTTGGAGCGCTTTCAGGCCTATTTTGGAAAGGGAAATATCTTCCCGTAACAACTATGCAGAAGCATTCTCAGAAACTTGTTTGTGATGTGTGCCCTCTACTGACAGAGTTGAACCTTTCTTTTCATAGAGCAGTTTTGAAACACTCTTTTTGTAGAATCTGCAAGAGGATATTTGCATAGCTTTGAGGATTTCGTGGGAAACGGGATTGTCTTCAGGTAAAATCTAGACAGAAGCATTCTCAGAAACTTCTTTGGGATGTTTGCATTCAAGTCACAGAGTAGAACATTCCCTTTGGTAGAGCAGGTTTGAAACACTCTTTTTGTAGTATCTGGAAGTGGACATTTGGAGCGCTTTCAGGCCCATGTTGGAAAGGGAAATATCTTCCCGTAACAACTAGGCAGAAGCATTCTCAGAAACTTATTTGAGATGTGTGTACTCAACTAAGAGAATTGAACCACCGTTTTGAAGGAGCAGTTTTGAAACACTCTTTTTCTGGAATCTGCAAGAGTATATTTGCCTAGCCTTGAGGATTTCGTTGGAAACGGGATTGTCTTCAGATCAAATCTAGACAGAAGCATTCTCAGAAACTTCTTTGGGATGTTTGCATTCAAGTCACAGAGTAGAACATTCCCTTTGGTAGAGCAGGTTTGAAACACTCTTTTTGTAGTATCTGGAAGTGGACATTTGGAGCGCTTTCAGGCCTACGTTGGAAAAGGAAATATCTTCCCATAACAACTAGGCAGAAGCATTCTCAGAAACTAGTTTCTGATGTGTGTCCTCAACTAACACAGTTGAACATTTCTTTAGACAGAACAGTTTTGAAACACTGTTTTTGTGGAATCTGCAAGTGGATATTTGGCTAGATTTGAGGATTTCGTTGGAAACGGGATTACATATAAAAAACAGTCAGCAGCATTCTAAGAAAGTTCTTTGTGATGATTGCATTCAAGTCACAGAATTGAACATTCCCTTTCACAGAGCAGGTTTGAAACAATCTTTTTGTAGTGTGTGTAAGTGGACATTTGGAGCGCTTTCTGGCCTAAGGTGAAAAAGGAAATATCTTCCCATAAAAACTAGACAGAAGCATTCTCAGAAACTTACTCGTGATGTGTGTCCTCAACTAAAGGAGTAGAACCTTTCTTTTCATAGAGAAGTTTTGAAACGCTCTTTTTGTGGAATCTGCAAGTGGATATTTGGCTAGTTTGGAGGATTTCGTTGGAAGCGGGAATTCATACAAATTGCAGACTGCAGCGTTCTGAGAAACATCTTTGTGATGTTTGTATTCAGGACAGAGAGTTGAACATTCCCTATCATAGACCAGGTTGGAATCCCTCCTTTTGTAGTATCTGGAAGTGGACATTTGGAGCGCTTTCAGGCCTATGTTGGAAAAGGAAATATCTTCCCATAACAACTAGACACAAGCATTCTCAGAAACTTGTTTGTGATGTGTGCCCTCTACTGACAGAGTTGAACCTTTCTTTTCATAGAGCAGTTTTGAAACACTCTTTTTGTAGAATCTGCAAGAGGATATTTGCATAGCTTTGAGGATTTCGTGGGAAACGGGATTGTCTTCAGGAAAAATCTAGACAGAAGCATTCTCAGAAACTTCTTTGGGATGTTTGCATTCAAGTCACAGAGTAGAACATTCCGTTTGGTAGAGCAGGTTTGAAACTCTCTTTTTGTAGTATCTGGAAGTGGACATTTGGAGCGCTTTCAGGCCAATGTTGGAAAGGGAAATATCTTCCCTTAACAACTAGGCAGAAGCATTCTCAGAAACTTATTTGAGATGTGTGTACTCAACTAAGAGAATTGAACCACCGTTTTGAAGGACCAGTTTTGAAACACACTTTTTCTGGAATCTGCTAGAGGATATTTGCCTAGCTTTGAGGATTTCGTTGGAAACGGGATTGTCTTCAGATAAAATCTAGACAGAAGCATTCTCAGAAACTTCTTTGGGATGTTTGCATTCAAGTCACAGAGTAGAACATTCCCTTTGGTAGAGCAGGTTTGAAACACTCTTTTTGTAGTATCTGGAAGTGGACATTTGGAGCGCTTTCAGGCCCATGTTGGAAAGGGAAATATCTTCCCGTAACAACTAGGCAGAAGCATTCTCAGAAACTTATTTGAGATGTGTGTACTCAACTAAGAGAATTGAACCACCGTTTTGAAGGAGCAGTTTTGAAACACTCTTTTTCTGGAATCTGCAAGAGTATATTTGCCTAGCCTTGAGGATTTCGTTGGAAACGGGATTGTCTTCAGAGAAAATCTAGACAGAAGCATTCTCAGAAACTTCTTTGGGATGTTTGCATTCAAGTCACAGAGTAGAACATTCCCTTTGGTAGAGCAGGTTTGAAACACTCTTTTTTTAGTATATGGAAGTGGACATTTGGAGCGCTTTCAGGCCTACGTTGGAAAAGGAAATATCTTCCCATAACAACTAGACAGAAGCATTCTCAGAAACTAGTTTCTGATGTGTGTCCTCAACTAACACAGTTGAACATTTCTTTAGACAGAACAGTTTTGAAACACTCTTTTTGTGGAATCTGCAAGTGGCTATTTGGCTAGATTTGAGGATTTCGTTGGAAACGGGATTACATATAAAAAGCAGTCAGCAGCATTCTCAGAAAAGTTCTTTGTGATGATTGCATTCAAGTCACAGAATTGAACATTCCCTTTCACAGAGCAGGTTTGAAACACTCTTTTTGTAGTGTGTGTAAGTGGACATTTGGAACCCTTACCGGCCTAAGGTGAAAAAGGAAATATCTTCCCATAAAAACTAGACAGAAGCATTCTCAGAAACTTACTCGTGATGTGTGCCCTCAACTAAAGGAGTAGAACCTTTCTTTTCATAGAGAAGTTTTGAAACGCTCTTTTTGTGGAATCTGCAAGTGGATATTTGGCTAGTTTTGAGGATTTCGTTGGAAGCGGGAATTCATACAAATTGCAGACTGCAGCGATCTGAGAAACATCTTTGTGATGTTTGTATTCAGGACACAGATTTGAACATTCCCTATCATAGAGCAGGTTTGAATCACTCCTTTTGTAGTATCTGGAAGTGGACATTTGGAGCGCTTTCAGGCCTATGTTGGAAAAGGAAATATCTTCCCATAACAACTAGACAGAAGCATTCTCAGAAACTTATTTGAGATGTGTGTACTCAACTAAGAGAATTGAACCACCGTTTTGAAGGAGCAGTTTTGAAACACTCTTTTTCTGGAATCTGCAAGTGGATATTTGGCTAGCTTTGGGGATTTCGCTGGAAGCGGGAATACATATAAAAAGCACACAGCAGCGTTCTGAGAAACTGCTTTCTGATGTTTGCATTCAAGTCAAAAGTTGAACACTCCCTTTCATAGTGCAGTCTGAAACACTCCTTTTGTAGTATCTGGAACTGGACTTTTGGAGCGCTTTCAGGGCTAAGGTGAAAAAGGAAATATCTTCCCATAAAAACTGGACAGAAGCATTCTCAGAAACTTGTTTATGCTGTATCTACTCAACTAACAAAGTTGAACCTTTCTTTTGATAGAGCAGTTTTGAAATGCTCTTTTTGTGGAATCTGCAAGTGGATATTTGGCTAGTTTTGAGGATTTCGTTGGAAGCGGGAATTCATACAAATTGCAGACTGCAGCGTTCTGAGAAACATCTTTGTGATGTTTGTATTCAGGACAGAGAGTTGAACATTCCCTATCATAGAGCAGGTTGGAATCACTCCTTTTGTAGTATCTGGAAGTGGACATTTGGAGCGCTTTCTGGCCTATGTTGAAAAAGGAAATATCTTCCCATAACAACTAGACACAAGCATTCTCAGAAACTTGTTTGTGATGTGTGCCCTCTACTGACAGAGTTGAACCTTTCTTTTCATAGAGCAGTTTTGAAACACTCTTTTTGTAGAATCTGCAAGAGGATATTTGCATAGCTTTGAGGATTTCGTGGGAAACGGGATTGTCTTCAGGTAAAATCTAGACAGAAGCATTCTCAGAAACTTCTTTGGGATGTTTGCATTCAAGTCACAGAGTAGAACATTCCCTTTGGTAGAGCAGGTTTGAAACACTCTTTTTGTAGTATCTGGAAGTGGACATTTGGAGCGCTTTCAGGCCCATGTTGGAAAGGGAAATATCTTCCCGTAACAACTAGGCAGAAGCATTCTCAGAAACTTATTTGAGATGTGTGTACTCAACTAAGAGAATTGAATCACCGTTTTGAAGGAACAGTTTTGAAACACTCTTTTTCTGGAATCTGCAAGAGGATATTTGCCTAGCCTTGAGGATTTCGTTGGAAACGGGATTGTCTTCAGATCAAATCTAGACAGAAGTATTCTCAGAAACTTCTTTGGGATGCTTGCATTCAAGTCACAGAGTAGGAACATTCCCTTTGGTAGAGCAGGTTTGAAACACTCTTTTTGTAGTATCTGGAAGTGGACATTTGGAGCGCTTTCAGGCCTACGTTGGAAAAGGAAATATCTTCCCATAACAACTAGACAGAAGCATTCTCAGAAACTAGTTTCTGATGTGTGTCCTCAACTAACACAGTTGAACATTTCTTTAGACAGAACAGTTTTGAAACACTCTTTTTGTGGAATCTGCAAGTGGCTATTTGGCTAGATTTGAGGATTTCGTTGGAAACGGGATTACATATAAAAAGCAGTCAGCAGCATTCTCAGAAAGTTCTTTGTGATGATTGCATTCAAGTCACAGAATTGAACATTCCCTTTCACAGAGCAGGTTTGAAACACTCTTTTTGTAGTGTGTGTAAGTGGACATTTGGAGCACTTACCGGCCTAAGGTGAAAAAGGAAATATCTTCCCATAAAAACTAGACAGAAGCATTCTCAGAAACTTACTCGTGATGTGTGTCCTCAACTAAAGGAGTAGAACCTTTCTTTTCATAGAGAAGTTTTGAAACGCTCTTTTTGTGGAATCTGCAAGTGGATATTTGGCTAGTTTTGAGGATTTCGTTGGAAGCGGGAATTCATACAAATTGCAGACTGCAGCGTTCTGAGAAACATCTTTGTGATGTTTGTATTCAGGACACAGAGTTGAACATTCCCTATCATAGAGCAGGTTTGAATCACTCCTTTTGTAGTATCTGGAAGTGGACATTTGGAGCGCTTTCAGGCCTATGTTGGAAAAGGAAATATCTTCCCATAACAACTAGACAGAAGCATTCTCAGAAACTTATTTGAGATGTGTGTACTCAACTAAGAGAATTGAACCACCGTTTTGAAGGAGCAGTTTTGAAACACTCTTTTTCTGGAATCTGCAAGTGGATATTTGGCTAGCTTTGGGGATTTCGCTGGAAGCGGGAATACATATAAAAAGCACACAGCAGCGTTCTGAGAAACTGCTTTCTGATGTTTGCATTCAAGTCAAAAGTTGAACACTCCCTTTCATAGAGCAGTCCTGAAACACCCCTTTTGTAGTATCTGGAACTGGACTTTTGGAGCGATTTCAGGGCTAAGGTGAAAAAGGAAATATCTTCCCATAAAAACTGGACAGAAGCATTCTCAGAAACTTGTTTATGCTGTATCTACTCAACTAACAAAGTTGAACCTTTCTTTTGATAGAGCAGTTTTGAAATGCTCTTTTTGTGGAATCTGCAAGTGGATATTTGGCTAGTTTTGAGGATTTGGTTGGAAGCGGGAATTCATACAAATTGCAGACTGCAGCGTTCTGAGAAACATCTTTGTGATGTTTGTATTCAGGACACAGAGTTGAACATTCCCTATCATAGAGCAGGTTGGAATCACTCCTTTTGTACTATCTGGAAGTGGACATTTGGAGCGCTTTCAGGCCTATGTTGAAAAAGGAAATATCTTCCCATAACAACTAGACAGAAGCATTCTCAGAAACTTGTTTGTGATGTGTGCCCTCTACTGACACAGTTGAATCTTTCTTTTCATAGAGCAGTTTCGAAACACTCTTTTTGTAGAATCTGCAAGAGGATATTTGCATAGCTTTGAGGATTTCGTGGGAAACGGGATTGTCTTCAGGTAAAATCTAGACAGAAGCATTCTCAGAAACTTCTTTGGGATGTTTGCATTCAAGTCACAGAGTAGAACATTCCCTTTGGTAGAGCAGGTTTGAAACACTCTTTTTGTAGTGTGTGTAAGTGGACATTTGGAGCGCTTTCAGGCCTACGTTGGAAAAGGAAATATCTTCCCATAACAACTAGACAGAAGCATTCTCAGAAACTAGTTTCTGATGTGTGTCCTCAACTAACACAGTTGAACATTTCTTTAGACAGAACAGTTTTGAAACACTCTTTTTGTGGAATCTGCAAGTGGATATTTGGCTAGATTTGAGGATTTCGTTGGAAACGGGATTACATATAAAAAGCAGACAGCAGCATTCTCAGAAACTTCTTTGTGATGATTGCATTCAAGTCACAGAATTGAACATTCCCTTTCACAGAGCAGGTTTGAAACACTCTTTTTCTAGTGTGTGTAAGTGGACATTTGGAGCGCTTTCCAGCCTAAGGTGAACAAGGAAATATCTTCCCATAAAAACTAGACAGAAGCATTCTCAGAAACTTACTCGTGATGTGTGTCCTCAACTAAAGGAGTAGAACCTTTCTTTTCATAGAGAAGTTTTGAAACGCTCTTTTTGTGGAATCTGCAAGTGGATATTTGGCTAGTTTTGAGGATTTCGTTGGAAGCGGGAATTCATACAAATTGCAGACTGCAGCGTTCTGAGAAACATCTTTGTGATGTTTGTATTCAGGACACAGAGTTGAACATTCCCTATCATAGAGCAGGTTTGAATCACTCCTTTTGTAGTATCTGGAAGTGGACATTTGGAGCGCTTTCAGGCCTATGTTGGAAAAGGAAATATCTTCCCATAACAACTAGACACAAGCATTCTCAGAAACTTATTTGAGATGTGTGTACTCAACTAAGAGAATTGAACCACCGTTTTGAAGGAGCAGTTTTGAAACACTCTTTTTCTGGAATCTGCAAGTGGATATTTGGCTAGCTTTGGGGATTTCGCTGGAAGCGGGAATACATATAAAAAGCACACAGCAGCGTTCTGAGAAACTGCTTTCTGATGTTTGCATTCAAGTCAAAAGTTGAACACTCCCTTTCATAGAGCAGTCTTGAAACACCCCTTTTGTAGTATCTGGAACTGGACTTTTGGAGCGATTTCAGGGCTAAGGTGAAAAAGGAAATATCTTCCCATAAAAACTGGACAGAAGCATTCTCAGAAACTTGTTTATGCTGTATCTACTCAACTAACAAAGTTGAACCTTTCTTTTGATAGAGCAGTTTTGAAATGGTCTTTTTGTGGAATCTGCAAGTGGATATTTGGCTAGTTTTGAGGATTTCGTTGGAAGCGGGAATTCATACAAATTGCAGACTGCAGCGTTCTGAGAAACATCTTTGTGATGTTTGTATTCAGGACACAGAGTTGAACATTCCCTATCATAGAGCAGGTTGGAATCACTCCTTTTGTAGTATCTGGAAGTGGACATTTGGAGCGCTTTCAGGCCTATGTTGGAAAAGGAAATATCTTCCCATAACAACTAGACAGAAGCATTCTCAGAAACTTATTTGAGATGTGTGTACTCAACTAAGAGAATTGAACCACCGTTTTGAAGGAGCAGTTTTGAAACACTCTTTTTCTGGAATCTGCAAGTGGATATTTGGCTAGCTTTGGGGATTTCGCTGGAAGCGGGAATACATATAAAAAGCACACAGCAGCGTTCTGAGAAACTGCTTTCTGATGTTTGCATTCAAGTCAAAAGTTGAACACTCCCTTTCATAGAGCAGTCTTGAAACACCCCTTTTGTAGTATCTGGAACTGGACTTTTGGAGCGATTTCAGGGCTAAGGTGAAAAAGGAAATATCTTCCCATAAAAACTGGACAGAAGCATTCTCAGAAACTTGTTTATGCTGTATCTACTCAACTAACAAAGTTGAACCTTTCTTTTGATAGAGCAGTTTTGAAATGGTCTTTTTGTGGAATCTGCAAGTGGATATTTGGCTAGTTTTGAGGATTTCGTTGGAAGCGGGAATTCATACAAATTGCAGACTGCAGCGTTCTGAGAAACATCTTTGTGATGTTTGTATTCAGGACACAGAGTTGAACATTCCCTATCATAGAGCAGGTTGGAATCACTCCTTTTGTAGTATCTGGAAGTGGACATTTGGAGCGCTTTCAGGCCTATTTTGGAAAGGGAAATATCTTCCCGTAACAACTATGCAGAAGCATTCTCAGAAACTTGTTTGTGATGTGTGCCCTCTACTGACAGAGTTGAACCTTTCTTTTCATAGAGCAGTTTTGAAACACTCTTTTTGTAGAATCTGCAAGAGGATATTTGCATAGCTTTGAGGATTTCGTGGGAAACGGGATTGTCTTCAGGTAAAATCTAGACAGAAGCATTCTCAGAAACTTCTTTGGGATGTTTGCATTCAAGTCACAGAGTAGAACATTCCCTTTGGTAGAGCAGGTTTGAAACACTCTTTTTGTAGTATCTGGAAGTGGACATTTGGAGCGCTTTCAGGCCTATGTTGGAAAGGGAAATATCTTCCCGTAACAACTAGGCAGAAGCATTCTCAGAAACTTATTTGAGATGTGTGTATTCAACTAAGAGAATTGAACCACCGTTTTGAAGGAGCAGTTTTGAAACACTCTTTTTCTGGAATCTGAAAGAGGATATTTGCCTAGCCTTGAGGATTTCGTTGGAAACGGGATTGTCTTCAGATCAAATCTATACAGAAGCATTCTCAGAAACTTCCTTGGGATGTTTGCATTCAAGTCACAGAGTAGAACATTCCCTTTGGTAGAGCAGGTTTGAAACACTCTTTTTTTAGTATATGGAAGTGGACATTTGGAGCGCATTCAGGCCTACGTTGGAAAAGGAAATATCTTCCCATAACAACTAGACAGAAGCATTCTCAGAAACTAGTTTCTGATGTGTGTCCTCAACTAACACAGTTGAACATTTCTTTAGACAGAACAGTTTTGAAACACTCTTTTTGTGGAATCTGCAAGTGGATATTTGGCTACATTTGAGGATTTCGTTGGAAACGGGATTACATATAAAAAGCAGACAGCAGCATTCTCAGAAACTTCTTTGTGATGATTGCATTCAAGTCACAGAATTGAACATTCCCTTTCACAGAGCAGGTTTGAAACACTCTTTTTGTAGTGTGTGTAAGTGGACATTTGGAGCGCTTTCCGGCCTAAGGTGAACAAGGAAATATCTTCCCATAAAAACTAGACAGAAGCATTCTCAGAAACTTACTCGTGATGTGTGTCCTCAACTAAAGGAGTAGAACCTTTCTTTTCATAGAGAAGTTTTGAAACGCTCTTTTTGTGGAATCTGCAAGTGGATATTTGGCTAGTTTGGAGGATTTCGTTGGAAGCGGGAATTCATACAAATTGCAGACTGCAGCGTTCTGAGAAACATCTTTGTGATGTTTGTATTCAGGACACAGAGATGAACATTCCCTATCATAGAGCAGGTTGGAATCACTCCTTTTGTAGTATCTGGAAGTGGACATTTGGAGCGCTTTCAGGCCTATGTGAAAAAGGAAATATCTTCCCATAACAACTAGACACAAGCATTCTCAGAAACTTATTTGAGATGTGTGTACTCAACTAAGAGAATTGAACCACCGTTTTGAAGGAGCAGTTTTGAAACACTCTTTTTCTGGAATCTGCAAGTGGATATTTGGCTAGCTTTGGGGATTTCGCTGGAAGCGGGAATACATATAAAAAGCACACAGCAGCGTTCTGAGAAACTGCTTTCTGATGTTTGCATTCAAGTCAAAAGTTGAACACTCCCTTTCATAGAGCAGTCTTGAAACACCCCTTTTGTAGTATCTGGAACTGGACTTTTGGAGCGATTTCAGGGCTAAGGTGAAAAAGGAAATATCTTCCCATAAAAACTGGACAGAAGCATTCTCAGAAACTTGGTTATGCTGTATCTACTCAACTAACAAAGTTGAACCTTTCTTTTGATAGAGCAGTTTTGAAATGGTCTTTTTGTGGAATCTGCAAGTGGATATTTGGCTAGTTTTGAGGATTTCGTTGGAAGCGGGAATTCATACAAATTGCAGACTGCAGCGTTCTGAGAAACATCTTTGTGATGTTTGTATTCAGGACACAGAGTTGAACATTCCCTATCATAGAGCAGGTTGGAATCACTCCTTTTGTAGTATCTGGAAGTGGACATTTGGAGCGCTTTCAGGCCTATTTTGGAAAGGGAAATATCTTCCCGTAACAACTATGCAGAAGCATTCTCAGAAACTTGTTTGTGATGTGTGCCCTCTACTGACAGAGTTGAACCTTTCTTTTCATAGAGCAGTTTTGAAACACTCTTTTTGTAGAATCTGCAAGAGGATATTTGCATAGCTTTGAGGATTTCGTGGGAAACGGGATTGTCTTCAGGTAAAATCTAGACAGAAGCATTCTCAGAAACTTCTTTGGGATGTTTGCATTCAAGTCACAGAGTAGAACATTCCCTTTGGTAGAGCAGGTTTGAAACACTCTTTTTGTAGTATCTGGAAGTGGACATTTGGAGCGCTTTCAGGCCCATGTTGGAAAGGGAAATATCTTCCCGTAACAACTAGGCAGAAGCATTCTCAGAAACTTATTTGAGATGTGTGTACTCAACTAAGAGAATTGAACCACCGTTTTGAAGGAGCAGTTTTGAAACACTCTTTTTCTGCAATCTGCAAGAGTATATTTGCCTAGCCTTGAGGATTTCGTTGGAAACGGGATTGTCTTCAGAGAAAATCTAGACAGAAGCATTCTCAGAAACTTCTTTGGGATGCTTGCATTCAAGTCACAGAGTAGAACATTCCCTTTGGTAGAGCAGGTTTGAAACACTCTTTTTGTAGTATCTGGAAGTGGACATTTGGAGCGCTTTCAGGCCTACGTTGGAAAAGGAAATATCTTCCCATAACAACTAGACAGAAGCATTCTCAGAAACTAGTTTCTGATGTGTGTCCTCAACTAACAGAGTTGAACATTTCTTTAGACAGAACAGTTTTGAAACACTCTTTTTGTGGAATCTGCAAGTGGCTATTTGGCTAGATTTGAGGATTTCGTTGGAAACGGGATTACATATAAAAAGCAGTCAGCGGCATTCTCAGAAAGTTCTTTGTGATGATTGCATTCAAGTCACAGAATTGAACATTCCCTTTCACAGAGCAGGTTTGAAACACTCTTTTTGTAGTGTGTGTAAGTGGACATTTGGAGCACTTACCGGCCTAAGGTGAAAAAGGAAATAATCTTCCCATAAAAACTAGACAGAAGCATTCTCAGAAACTTACTCGTGATGTGTGTCCTCAACTAAAGGAGTAGAACCTTTCTTTTCATAGAGAAGTTTTGAAACGCTCTTTTTGTGGAATCTGCAAGTGGATATTTGGCTAGTTTTGAGGATTTCGTTGGAAGCGGGAATTCATACAAATTGCAGACTGCAGCGTTCTGAGAAACATCTTTGTGATGTTTGTATTCAGGACACAGAGTTGAACATTCCCTATCATAGAGCAGGTTTGAATCACTCCTTTTGTAGTATCTGGAAGTGGACATTTGGAGCGCTTTCAGGCCTATGTTGGAAAAGGAAATATCTTCCCATAACAACTAGACAGAAGCATTCTCAGAAACTTATTTGAGATGTGTGTACTCAACTAAGAGAATTGAACCACCGTTTTGAAGGAGCAGTTTTGAAACTCTCTTTTTCTGGAATCTGCAAGTGGATATTTGGCTAGCTTTGGGGATTTCGCTGGAAGCGGGAATACATATAAAAAGCACACAGCAGCGTTCTGAGAAACTGCTTTCTGATGTTTGCATTCAAGTCAAAAGTTGAACACTCCCTTTCATAGAGCAGTCTTGAAACACCCCTTTTGTAGTATCTGGAACTGGACTTTTGGAGCGATTTCAGGGCTAAGGTGAAAAAGGAAATATCTTCCCATAAAAACTGGACAGAAGCATTCTCAGAAACTTGGTTATGCTGTATCTACTCAACTAACAAAGTTGAACCTTTCTTTTGATAGAGCAGTTTTGAAATGGTCTTTTTGTGGAATCTGCAAGTGGATATTTGGCTAGTTTTGAGGATTTCGTTGGAAGCGGGAATTCATACAAATTGCAGACTGCAGCGTTCTGAGAAACATCTTTGTGATGTTTGTATTCAGGACACAGAGTTGAACATTCCCTATCATAGAGCAGGTTGGAATCACTCCTTTTGTAGTATCTGGAAGTGGACATTTGGAGCGCTTTCAGGCCTATTTTGGAAAGGGAAATATCTTCCCGTAACAACTATGCAGAAGCATTCTCAGAAACTTATTTGAGATGTGTGTACTCAACTAAGAGAATTGAACCACCGTTTTGAAGGAGCAGTTTTGAAACACTCTTTTTCTGGAATCTGCAAGTGGATATTTGGCTAGCTTTGGGGATTTCGCTGGAAGCGGGAATACATATAAAAAGCACACAGCAGCGTTCTGAGAAACTGCATTCTGATGTTTGCATTCAAGTCAAAAGTTGAACACTCCCTTTCATAGAGCAGTCCTGAAACACTCCTTTTGTAGTATCTGGAACTGGACTTTTGGAGCGCTTTCAGGGCTAAGGTGAAAAAGGAAATATCTTCCCATAAAAACTGGAGAGAATCATTCTCAGAAACTTGTTTATGCTGTATCTACTCAACTAACATAGTTGAACCTTTCTTTTGATAGAGCAGTTTTGAAATGCTCTTTTTGTGGAATCTGCAAGTGGATATTTGGCTAGTTTGGAGGATTTCGTTGGAAGCGGGAATTCATACAAATTGCAGACTGCAGCGTTATGAGAAACATCTTTGTGATGTTTGTATTCAAGACACAGAGATGAACATTCCCTATCATAGAGCAGGTTGGAATCACTCCTTTTGTAGTATCTGGAAGTGGACATTTGGAGCGCTTTCAGGCCTATGTTGAAAAAGGAAATATCTTCCCATAACAACTAGACACAAGCATTCTCAGAAACTTGTTTGTGATGTGTGCCCTCTACTGACAGAGTTGAACCTTTCTTTTCATAGAGCAGTTTTGAAACACTCTTTTTGTAGAATCTGCAAGAGGATATTTTCATAGCTTTGAGGATTTCGTGGGAAACGGGATTGTCTTCAGGTAAAATCTAGACAGGAGCATTCTCAGAAACTTCTTTGGGATGTTTGCATTCAAGTCACAGTAGTAGAACATTCCCTTTGGTAGAGCAGGTTTGAAACCCTCTTTTTGTAGTATCTGGAAGTGGACATTTGGAGCGCTTTCAGGCCCATGTTGGAAAGGGAAATATCTTCCCGTAACAACTAGGCAGAAGCATTCTCAGAAACTTATTTGAGATGTGTGTACTCAACTAAGAGAATTGAACCACCGTTTTGAAGGAGCAGTTTTGAAACACTCTTTTTCTGGATTCTGCAAGAATATATTTGCCTAGCCTTGAGGATTTCGTTGGAAACGGGATTGTCTTCAGATAAAATCTAGACAGAAGCATTCTCAGAAACTTCTTTGGGATGTTTGCATTCAAGTCACAGAGTAGAACATTCCCTTTGGTAGAGCAGGTTTGAAACACTCTTTTTGTAGTGTGTGTAAGTGGACATTTGGAGCGCTTTCAGGCCTACGTTGGAAAAGGAAATATCTTCCCATAACAACTAGACAGAAGCATTCTCAGAAACTAGTTTCTGATGTGTGTCCTCAACTAACACAGTTGAACATTTCTTTAGACAGAACAGTTTTGAAACACTCTTTTTGTGGAATCTGCAAGTGGATATTTGGCTAGATTTGAGGATTTCGTTGGAAACGGGATTACATATAAAAAGCAGACAGCAGCATTCTCAGAAACTTCTTTGTGATGATTGCATTCAAGTCACAGAATTGAACATTCCCTTTCACAGAGCAGGTTTGAAACACTCTTTTTGTAGTGTGTGTAAGTGGACATTTGGAGCGCTTTCCGGCCTAAGGTGAACAAGGAAATATCTTCCCATAAAAACTAGACAGAAGCATTCTCAGAAACTTACTCGTGATGTGTGTCCTCAACTAAAGGAGTAGAACCTTTCTTTTCATAGAGAAGTTTTGAAACGCTCTTTTTGTGGAATCTGCAAGTGGATATTTGGCTAGTTTGGAGGATTTCGTTGGAAGCGGGAATTCATACAAATTGCTGACTGCAGCGTTCTGAGAAACATCTTTGTGATGTTTGTATTCAGGACACAGAGTTGAACATTCCCTATCATAGAGCAGGTTGGAATCACTCCTTTTGTAGTATCTGGAAGTGGACATTTGGAGCGCTTTCAGGCCTATGTTGGAAAACGAAATATCTTCCCATAACAACTAGACAGAAGCATTCTCAGAAACTTATTTGAGATGTGTGTACTCAACTAAGAGAATTGAACCACCGTTTTGAAGGAGCAGTTTTGAAACACTCTTTTTCTGGAATCTGCAAGTGGATATTTGGCTAGCTTTGGGGATTTCGCTGGAAGCGGGAATACATATAAAAAGCACACAGCAGCGTTCTGAGAAACTGCTTTCTGATGTTTGCATTCAAGACAAAAGTTGAACACTCCCTTTCATAGAGCAGTCTTGAAACACCCCTTTTGTAGTATCTGGAACTGGACATTTGGAGCGCTTTCAGGGCTAAGGTGAAAAAGGAAATATCTTCCCATAAAAACTGGACAGAAGCATTCTCAGAAACTTGTTTATGCTGTATCTACTCAACTAACAAAGTTGAACCTTTCTTTTGATAGAGCAGTTTTGAAATGCTCTTTTTGTGGAATCTGCAAGTGGATATTTGGCTAGGTTTGAGGATTTCGTTGGAAGCGGGAATTCATACAAATTGCAGACTGCAGCGTTCTGAGAAACATCTTTGTGATGTTTGTATTCAGGACACAGAGATGAACATTCCCTATCATAGAGCAGGTTGGAATCACTCCTTTTGTAGTATCTGGAAGTGGACATTTGGAGCGCTTTCAGGCCTATGTTGAAAAAGTAAATATCTTCCCATAACAACTAGACACAAGCATTCTCAGAAACTTGTTTGTGATGTGTGCCCTCTACTGACAGAGTTGAACCTTTCTTTTCATAGAGCAGTTTTGAAACACTCTTTTTGTAGAATCTGCAAGAGGATATTTGCATAGCTTTGAGGATTTCGTGGGAAACGGGATTGTCTTCAGGTAAAATCTAGACAGAAGCATTCTCAGAAACTTCTTTGGGATGTTTGCATTCAAGTCACAGAGTAGAACATTCCCTTTGGTAGAGCAGGTTTGAAACACTCTTTTTGTAGTATCTGGAAGTGGACATTTGGAGCGCTTTCAGGCCTATGTTGGAAAGGGAAATATCTTCCCGTAACAACTAGGCAGAAGCATTCTCAGAAACTTATTTGAGATGTGTGTACTCAACTAAGAGAATTGAACCACCGTTTTGAAGGAGCAGTTTTGAAACACTCTTTTTCTGGAATCTGCAAGAGTATATTTGCCTAGCCTTGAGGATTTCGTTGGAAACGGGATTGTCTTCAGATAAAATCTAGACAGAAGCATTCTCAGAAACTTCTTTGGGATGTTTGCATTCAAGTCACAGAGTAGAACATTCCCTTTGGTAGAGCAGGTTTGAAACACTCTTTTTTTAGTATATGGAAGGACATTTGGAGCGCTTTCAGGCCTACGTTGGAAAAGGAAATATCTTCCCATAACAACTAGACAGAAGCATTCTCAGAAACTATTTTCTGATATGTGTCCTCAACTAACACAGTTGAACTTTTCTTTAGACAGAACAGTTTTGAAACACTCTTTTTGTGGAATCTGCAAGTGGATATTGGGCTAGATTTGAGGATTTCGTTGGAAACGGGATTACATATAAAAAGCAGACAGCAGCATTCTCAGAAAGTTCTTTGTGATGATTGCATTCAAGTCACAGAATTGAACATTCCCTTTCACAGAGCAGGTTTGAAACACTCTTTTTGTAGTGTGTGTATTTGGACATTTGGAGCGCTTTCCGGCCTAAGGTGAAAAAGGACATATCTTCCCATAAAAACTAGACAGAAGCATTCTCAGAAACTTACTCGTGATGTGTGTCCTCAACTAAAGGAGTAGAACCTTTCTATTCATAGAGAAGTTTTGAAACGCTCTTTTTGTGGAATCTCCAAGTGGATATTTGGCTAGTTTTGAGGATTTCGTTGGAAGCGGGAATTCATCCAAATTGCAGACTGCAGCGTTCTGAGAAACATCTTTGTGATGTTTGTATTCAAGACACAGAGATGAACATTCCCTATCATAGAGCATGTTGGAATCACTCCTTTTGTAGTATCTGGAAGTGGACATTTGGACCGCTTTCAGGCCTATGTTGAAAAAGGAAATATCTTCCCATAACAACTAGACACAAGCATTCTCAGAAACTTGTTTGTGATGTGTGCCCTCTACTGACAGAGTTGAACCTTTCTTTTCATAGAGCAGTTTTGAAACACTCTTTTTGTAGAATCTGCAAGAGGATATTTGCATAGCTTTGAGGATTTCGTGGGAAACGGGATTGTCTTCAGGTAAAATCTAGACAGAAGCATTCTCAGAAACTTCTTTGGGATGTTTGCATTCAAGTCACAGAGTAGAACATTCCCTTTGGTAGAGCAGGTTTGAAACACTCTTTTTGTAGTATCTGGAAGTGGACATTTGGAGCGCTTTCAGGCCCATGTTGGAAAGGGAAATATCTTCCCGTAACAACTAGGCAGAAGCATTCTCTGAAACTTTTTTGAGATGTGTGTACTCAACTAAGAGAATTGAACCACCGTTTTGAAGGAGCAGTTTTGAAACACTCTTTTTCTGGAATCTGCTAGAGGATATTTGCCTAGCTTTGAGGATTTCGTTGGAATCCGGATTGTCTTCAGATAAAATCTAGACAGAAGCATTCTCAGAAACTTCTTTGGGATGTTTGCATTCAAGTCACAGAGTAGAACATTCCCTTTGGTAGAGCAGGTTTGAAACACTCTTTTTTTAGTATATGGAAGTGGACATTTGGAGCGCTTTCGGGCCTACGTTGGAAAAGGAAATATCTTCCCATAACAACTAGACCGAAGCATTCTCAGAAACTAGTTTCTGATGTGTGTCCTCAACTAACACAGTTGTACATTTCTTTAGACAGAACAGTTATGAAACACTCTTTTTGTGGAATCTGCAAGTGGATATTTGGCTAGATTTGAGGATTTCGTTGGAAACGGGATTACATATAAAAAGCAGTCAGCAGCATTCTCAGATAGTTCTTTGTGATGATTGCATTCAAGTCACAGGAATTGAAAATTCCCTTTCACAGAGCAGGTTTGAAACACTCTTTTTGTAGTGTGTGTAAGTGGACATTTGGAGCGCTTTCTGGCCTAAGGTGAAAAAGGAAATATCTTCCCATAAAAACTAGACAGAAGCATTCTCAGAAACTTACTCGTGATGTGTGTCCTCAACTAAAGGAGTAGAACCTTTCTTTTCATAGAGAAGTTTTGAAACGCTCTTTTTGTGGAATCTGCAAGTGGATATTTGGCTAGTTTTGAGGATTTCGTTGGAAGCGGGAATTCATACAAATTGCAGACTGCAGCGTTCTGAGAAACATCTTTGTGATGTTTGTATTCAGGACACAGAGTTGAACATTCCCTATCATAGAGCAGGTTTGAATCACTCCTTTTGTAGTATCTGGAAGTGGACATTTGGAGCGCTTTCAGGCCTATGTTGGAAAAGGAAATATCTTCCCATAACAACTAGACAGAAGCATTCTCAGAAACTTATTTGAGATGTGTGTACTCAACTAAGAGAATTGAACCACCGTTTTGAAGGAGCAGTTTTGAAACTCTCTTTTTCTGGAATCTGCAAGTGGATATTTGGCTAGCTTTGGGGATTTCGCTGGAAGCGGGAATACATATAAAAAGCCCACAGCAGCGTTCTGAGAAACTGCTTTCTGATGTTTGCATTCAAGTCAAAAGTTGAACACTCCCTTTCATAGAGCAGTCTTGAAACACCCCTTTTGTAGTATCTGGAACTGGACTTTTGGAGCGATTTCAGGGCTAAGGTGAAAAAGGAAATATCTTCCCATAAAAACTGGACAGAAGCATTCTCAGAAACTTGTTTATGCTGTATCTACTCAACTAACAAAGTTGAACCTTTCTTTTGATAGAGCAGTTTTGAAATGGTCTTTTTGTGGAATCTGCAAGTGGATATTTGGCTAGTTTTGAGGATTTCGTTGGAAGCGGGAATTCATACAAATTGCAGACTGCAGCGTTCTGAGAAACATCTTTGTGATGTTTGTATTCAGGACAGAGAGTTGAACATTCCCTATCATAGAGCAGGTTGGAATCACTCCTTTTGTAGTATCTGGAAGTGGACATTTGGAGCGCTTTCAGGCCTATGTTGAAAAAGGAAATATCTTCCCATAACAACTAGACACAAGCATTCTCAGAAACTTGTTTGTGATGTGTGCCCTCTACTGACAGAGTTGAACCTTTCTTTTCATAGAGCAGTTTTGAAACACTCTTTTTGTAGAATCTGCAAGAGGATATTTGCATAGCTTTGAGGATTTCGTGGGAAACGGGATTGTCTTCAGGTAAAATCTAGACAGAAGCATTCTCAGAAACTTCTTTGGGATGTTTGCATTCAAGTCACAGAGCAGAACATTCCCTTTGGTAGAGCAGGTTTGAAACACTCTTTTTGTAGTATCTGGAAGTGGACATTTGGAGCGCTTTCAGGCCTATGTTGGAAAGGGAAATATCTTCCCGTAACAACTAGGCAGAAGCATTCTCAGAAACTTATTTGAGATGTGTGTACTCAACTAAGAGAATTGAACCACCGTTTTGAAGGAGCAGTTTTGAAACACTCTTTTTCTGGAATCTGCAAGAGGATATTTGCCTAGCCTTGAGGATTTCGTTGGAAACGGGATTGTCTTCAGATCAAATCTAGACAGAAGCATTCTCAGAAACTTCTTTGGGATGTTTGCATTCAAGTCACAGAGTAGAACATTCCCTTTGGTAGAGCAGGTTTGAAACACTCTTTTTTTAGTATATGGAAGTGGACATTTGGAGCGCTTTCAGGCCTACGTTGGAAAAGGAAATATCTTCCCATAACAACTAGACAGAAGCATTCTCAGAAACTAGTTTCTGATGTGTGTCCTCAACTAACACAGTTGAACATTTCTTTAGACAGAACAGTTTTGAAACACTCTTTTTGTGGAATCTGCAAGTGGCTATTTGGCTAGATTTGAGGATTTCGTTGGAAACGGGATTACATATAAAAAGCAGACAGCAGCATTCTCAGAAAGTTCTTTGTGATGATTGCATTCAAGTCACAGAATTGAACATTCCCTTTCACAGAGCAGGTTTGAAACACTCTTTTTGTAGTGTGTGTAAGTGGACATTTGGAGCACTTTCCGGCCTAAGGTGAAAAAGGAAATATCTTCCCTTAAAAACTAGACAGAAGCATTCTCAGAAACTTACTCGTGATGTGTGTCCTCAACTAAAGGAGTAGAACCTTTCTTTTCATAGAGAAGTTTTGAAACGCTCTTTTTGTGGAATCTGCAAGTGGATATTTGGCTAGTTTTGAGGATTACGTTGGAAGCTGGAATTCATACAAATTGCAGACTGCAGCGTTCTGAGAAACATCTTTGTGATGTTTGTATTCAGGACAGAGAGTTGAACATTCCCTATCATAGAGCAGGTTGGAATCACTCCTTTTGTAGTATCTGGAAGTGGACATTTGGAGCGCTTTCAGGCCTATGTTGAAAAAGGAAATATCTTCCCATAACAACTAGACACAAGCATTCTCAGAAACTTATTTGAGATGTGTGTACTCAACTAAGAGAATTGAACCACCGGTTTGAAGGAGCAGTTTTGAAACACTCTTTTTCTGGAATCTGCAAGTGGATATTTGGCTAGCTTTGGGGATTTCGCTGGAAGCGGGAATACATATAAAAAGCACACAGCAGCGTTCTGAGAAACTGCTTTCTGATGTTTGCATTCAAGTCAAAAGTTGAACACTCCCTTTCATAGAGCAGTCCTGAAACACTCCTTTTGTAGTATCTGGAACTGGACTTTTGGAGCGCTTTCAGGGCTAAGGTGAAAAAGGAAATATCTTCCCATAAAAACTGGACAGAAGCATTCTCAGAAACTTGTTTATGCTGTATCTACTCTACTAAAAAAGTTGAACCTTTCTTTTGATAGAGCAGTTTTGAAATGCTCTTTTTGTGGAATCTGCAAGTGGATATTTGGCTAGATTTGAGGATTTCGTTGGAAGCTGGAATACATACAAATTGCAGACTGCAGCGTTCTGAGAAACATCTTTGTGATGTTTGTATTCAGGACACAGAGTGGAACATTCCCTATCATAGAGCAGGTTGGAATCACTCCTTTTGTAGTATCTGGAAGTGGACATTTGGAGCGCTTTCAGGCCTATGTTGAAAAAGGAAATATCTTCCCATAACAACTAGACACAAGCATTCTCAGAAACTTATTTGAGATGTGTGTACTCAACTAAGAGAATTGAACCACCGTTTTGAAGGAGCAGTTTTGAAACACTCTTTTTCTGGAATCTGCAAGTGGATATTTGGCTAGCTTTGGGGATTTCGCTGGAAGCGGGAATACATATAAAAAGCACACAGCAGCGTTCTGAGAAACTGCTTTCTGATGTTTGCATTCAAGTCAAAAGTTGAACACTCCCTTTCATAGAGCAGTCTTGAAACACCCCTTTTGTAGTATCTGGAACTGGACTTTTGGAGCGATTTCAGGGCTAAGGTGAAAAAGGAAATATCTTCCCATAAAAACTGGACAGAAGCATTCTCAGAAACTTGGTTATGCTGTATCTACTCAACTAACAAAGTTGAACCTTTCTTTTGATAGAGCAGTTTTGAAATGGTCTTTTTGTGGAATCTGCAAGTGGATATTTGGCTAGTTTTGAGGATTTCGTTGGAAGCGGGAATTCATACAAATTGCAGACTGCAGCGTTCTGAGAAACATCTTTGTGATGTTTGTATTCAGGACACAGAGTTGAACATTCCCTATCATAGAGCAGGTTGGAATCACTCCTTTTGTAGTATCTGGAAGTGGACATTTGGAGCGCTTTCAGGCCTATTTTGGAAAGGGAAATATCTTCCCGTAACAACTATGCAGAAGCATTCTCAGAAACTTGTTTGTGATGTGTGCCCTCTACTGACAGAGTTGAACCTTTCTTTTCATAGAGCAGTTTTGAAACACTCTTTTTGTAGAATCTGCAAGAGGATATTTGCATAGCTTTGAGGATTTCGTGGGAAACGGGATTGTCTTCAGGTAAAATCTAGACAGAAGCATTCTCAGAAACTTCTTTGGGATGTTTGCATTCAAGTCACAGAGTAGAACATTCCCTTTGGTAGAGCAGGTTTGAAACACTCTTTTTGTAGTATCTGGAAGTGGACATTTGGAGCGCTTTCAGGCCCATGTTGGAAAAGGAAATATCTTCCCGTAACAACTAGGCAGAAGCATTCTCAGAAACTTATTTGAGATGTGTGTACTCAACTAAGAGAATTGAACCACCGTTTTGAAGGAGCAGTTTTGAAACACTCTTTTTCTGGAATCTGCAAGAGTATATTTGCCTAGCCTTGAGGATTTCGTTGGAAACGGGATTGTCTTCAGAGAAAATCTAGACAGAAGCATTCTCAGAAACTTCTTTGGGATGTTTGCATTCAAGTCACAGAGTAGAACATTCCCTTTGGTAGAGCAGGTTTGAAACACTCTTTTTTTAGTATATGGAAGTGGACATTTGGAGCGCTTTCAGGCCTACGTTGGAAAAGGAAATATCTTCCCATAACAACTAGACAGAAGCATTCTCAGAAACTAGTTTCTGCTGTGTGTCCTCAACTAACACAGTTGAACATTTCTATAGACAGAACAGTTTTGAAACACTCTTTTTGTGGAATCTGCAAGTGGCTATTTGGCTAGATTTGAGGATTTCGTTGGAAACGGGATTACATATAAAAAGCAGTCAGCAGCATTCTCAGAAAGTTCTTTGTGATGATTGCATTCAAGTCACAGAATTGAACATTCCCTTTCACAGAGCAGGTTTGAAACACTCTTTTTGTAGTGTGTGTAAGTGGACATTTGGAACCCTTACCGGCCTAAGGTGAAAAAGGAAATATCTTCCCATAAAAACTAGACAGAAGCATTCTCAGAAACTTACTCGTGATGTGTGCCCTCAACTAAAGGAGTAGAACCTTTCTTTTCATAGAGAAGTTTTGAAACGCTCTTTTTGTGGAATCTGCAAGTGGATATTTGGCTAGTTTTGAGGATTTCGTTGGAAGCGGGAATTCATACAAATTGCAGACTGCAGCGTTCTGAGAAACATCTTTGTGATGTTTGTATTCAGGACACAGAGTTGAACATTCCCTATCATAGAGCAGGTTTGAATCACTCCTTTTGTAGTATCTGGAAGTGGACATTTGGAGCGCTTTCAGGCCTATGTTGGAAAAGGAAATATCTTCCCATAACAACTAGACAGAAGCATTCTCAGAAACTTATTTGAGATGTGTGTACTCAACTAAGAGAATTGAACCACCGTTTTGAAGGAGCAGTTTTGAAACACTCTTTTTCTGGAATCTGCAAGTGGATATTTGGCTAGCTTTGGGGATTTCGCTGGAAGCGGGAATACATATAAAAAGCACACAGCAGCGTTCTGAGAAACTGCTTTCTGATGTTTGCATTCAAGTCAAAAGTTGAACACTCCCTTTCATAGAGCAGTCCTGAAACACTCCTTTTGTAGTATCTGGAACTGGACTTTTGGAGCGCTTTCAGGGCTAAGGTGAAAAAGGAAATATCTTCCCATAAAAACTGGACAGAAGCATTCTCAGAAACTTACTCGTATTGTGTGTCCTCAACTAAAGGAGTAGAACCTTTCTTTTCATAGAGAAGTTTTGAAACGCTCTTTTTGTGGAATCTGCAAGTGGATATTTGGCTAGTTTTGAGGATTTCGTTGGAAGCGGGAATTCATACAAATTGCAGACTGCAGCGTTCTGAGAAACTGCTTTCTGATGTTTGCATTCAAGTCAAAAGTTGAACACTCCCTTTCATAGAGCAGTCTTGAAACACCCCTTTTGTAGTATCTGGAACTGGACTTTTGGAGCGATTTCAGGGCTAAGGTGAAAAAGGAAATATCTTCCCATAAAAACTGGACAGAAGCATTCTCAGAAACTTGGTTATGCTGTATCTACTCAACTAACAAAGTTGAACCTTTCTTTTGATAGAGCAGTTTTGAAATGGTCTTTTTGTGGAATCTGCAAGTGGATATTTGGCTAGTTTTGAGGATTTCGTTGGAAGCGGGAATTCATACAAATTGCAGACTGCAGCGTTCTGAGAAACATCTTTGTGATGTTTGTATTCAGGACACAGAGTTGAACATTCCCTATCATAGAGCAGGTTGGAATCACTCCTTTTGTAGTATCTGGAAGTGGACATTTGGAGCGCTTTCAGGCCTATTTTGGAAAGGGAAATATCTTCCCGTAACAACTATGCAGAAGCATTCTCAGAAACTTGTTTGTGATGTGTGCCCTCTACTGACAGAGTTGAACCTTTCTTTTCATAGAGCAGTTTTGAAACACTCTTTTTGTAGAATCTGCAAGAGGATATTTGCATAGCTTTGAGGATTTCGTGGGAAACGGGATTGTCTTCAGGTAAAATCTAGACAGAAGCATTCTCAGAAACTTCTTTGGGATGTTTGCATTCAAGTCACAGAGTAGAACATTCCCTTTGGTAGAGCAGGTTTGAAACACTCTTTTTGTAGTATCTGGAAGTGGACATTTGGAGCGCTTTCAGGCCCATGTTGGAAAGGGAAATATCTTCCCGTAACAACTAGGCAGAAGCATTCTCAGAAACTTATTTGAGATGTGTGTACTCAACTAAGAGAATTGAACCACCGTTTTGAAGGAGCAGTTTTGAAACACTCTTTTTCTGGAATCTGCAAGAGTATATTTGCCTAGCCTTGAGGATTTCGTTGGAAACGGGATTGTCTTCAGAGAAAATCTAGACAGAAGCATTCTCAGAAACTTCTTTGGGATGTTTGCATTCAAGTCACAGAGTAGAACATTCCCTTTGGTAGAGCAGGTTTGAAACACTCTTTTTTTAGTATATGGAAGTGGACATTTGGATCGCTTTCAGGCCTACGTTGGAAAAGGAAATATCTTCCCATAACAACTAGACAGAAGCATTCTCAGAAACTAGTTTCTGATGTGTGTCCTCAACTAACACAGTTGAACATTTCTTTAGACAGAACAGTTTTGAAACACTCTTTTTGTGGAATCTGCAAGTGGCTATTTGGCTAGATTTGAGGATTTCGTTGGAAACGGGATTACATATAAAAAGCAGTCAGCAGCATTCTCAGAAAGTTCTTTGTGATGATTGCATTCAAGTCACAGAATTGAACATTCCCTTTCACAGAGCAGGTTTGAAACACTCTTTTTGTAGTGTGTGTAAGTGGACATTTGGAGCACTTACCGGCCAAAGGTGAAAAAGGAAATATCTTCCCATAAAAACTAGACAGAAGCATTCTCAGAAACTTACTCGTGATGTGTGCCCTCAACTAAAGGAGTAGAACCTTTCTTTTCATAGAGAAGTTTTGAAACGCTCTTTTTGTGGAATCTGCAAGTGGATATTTGGCTAGTTTTGAGGATTTCGTTGGAAGCGGGAATTCATACAAATTGCAGACTGCAGCGTTCTGAGAAACATCTTTGTGATGTTTGTATTCAGGACACAGATTTGAACATTCCCTATCATAGAGCAGGTTTGAATCACTCCTTTTGTAGTATCTGGAAGTGGACATTTGGAGCGCTTTCAGGCCTATGTTGGAAAAGGAAATATCTTCCCATAACAACTAGACAGAAGCATTCTCAGAAACTTATTTGAGATGTGTGTACTCAACTAAGAGAATTGAACCACCGTTTTGAAGGAGCAGTTTTGAAACACTCTTTTTCTGGAATCTGCAAGTGGATATTTGGCTAGCTTTGGGGATTTCGCTGGAAGCGGGAATACATATAAAAAGCACACAGCAGCGTTCTGAGAAACTGCTTTCTGATGTTTGCATTCAAGTCAAAAGTTGAACACTCCCTTTCATAGTGCAGTCTGAAACACTCCTTTTGTAGTATCTGGAACTGGACTTTTGGAGCGCTTTCAGGGCTAAGGTGAAAAAGGAAATATCTTCCCATAAAAACTGGACAGAAGCATTCTCAGAAACTTGTTTATGCTGTATCTACTCAACTAACAAAGTTGAACCTTTCTTTTGATAGAGCAGTTTTGAAATGCTCTTTTTGTGGAATCTGCAAGTGGATATTTGGCTAGTTTTGAGGATTTCGTTGGAAGCGGGAATTCATACAAATTGCAGACTGCAGCGTTCTGAGAAACATCTTTGTGATGTTTGTATTCAGGACACAGAGTTGAACATTCCCTATCATAGAGCAGGTTGGAATCACTCCTTTTGTAGTATCTGGAAGTGGACATTTGGAGCGCTTTCAGGCCTATTTTGGAAAGGGAAATATCTTCCCGTAACAACTATGCAGAAGCATTCTCAGAAACTTGTTTGTGATGTGTGCCCTCTACTGACAGAGTTGAACCTTTCTTTTCATAGAGCAGTTTTGAAACACTCTTTTTGTAGAATCTGCAAGAGGATATTTGCATAGCTTTGAGGATTTCGTGGGAAACGGGATTGTCTTCAGGTAAAATCTAGACAGAAGCATTCTCAGAAACTTCTTTGGGATGTTTGCATTCAAGTCACAGAGTAGAACATTCCCTTTGGTAGAGCAGGTTTGAAACACTCTTTTTGTAGTATCTGGAAGTGGACATTTGGAGCGCTTTCAGGCCCATGTTGGAAAGGGAAATATCTTCCCGTAACAACTAGGCAGAAGCATTCTCAGAAACTTATTTGAGATGTGTGTACTCAACTAAGAGAATTGAACCACCGTTTTGAAGGAGCAGTTTTGAAACACTCTTTTTCTGGAATCTGCAAGAGTATATTTGCCTAGCCTTGAGGATTTCGTTGGAAACGGGATTGTCTTCAGAGAAAATCTAGACAGAAGCATTCTCAGAAACTTCTTTGGGATGTTTGCATTCAAGTCACAGAGTAGAACATTCCCTTTGGTAGAGCAGGTTTGAAACACTCTTTTTTTAGTATATGGAAGTGGACATTTGGATCGCTTTCAGGCCTACGTTGGAAAAGGAAATATCTTCCCATAACAACTAGACAGAAGCATTCTCAGAAACTAGTTTCTGATGTGTGTCCTCAACTAACACAGTTGAACATTTCTTTAGACAGAACAGTTTTGAAACACTCTTTTTGTGGAATCTGCAAGTGGCTATTTGGCTAGATTTGAGGATTTCGTTGGAAACGGGATTACATATAAAAAGCAGTCAGCAGCATTCTCAGAAAGTTCTTTGTGATGATTGCATTCAAGTCACAGAATTGAACATTCCCTTTCACAGAGCAGGTTTGAAACACTCTTTTTGTAGTGTGTGTAAGTGGACATTTGGAGCACTTACCGGCCTAAGGTGAAAAAGGAAATATCTTCCCATAAAAACTAGACAGAAGCATTCTCAGAAACTTACTCGTGATGTGTGTCCTCAACTAAAGGAGTAGAACCTTTCTTTTCATAGAGAAGTTTTGAAACGCTCTTTTTGTGGAATCTGCAAGTGGATATTTGGCTAGTTTTGAGGATTTCGTTGGAAGCGGGAATTCATACAAATTGCAGACTGCAGCGTTCTGAGAAACATCTTTGTGATGTTTGTATTCAGGACACAGAGTTGAACATTCCCTATCATAGAGCAGGTTGGAATCACTCCTTTTGTAGTATCTGGAAGTGGACATTTGGAGCGCTTTCAGGCCTATGTTGGAAAAGGAAATATCTTCCCATAACAACTAGACAGAAGCATTCTCAGAAACTTATTTGAGATGTGTGTACTCAACTAAGAGAATTGAACCACCGTTTTGAAGGAGCAGTTTTGAAACTCTCTTTTTCTGGAATCTGCAAGTGGATATTTGGCTAGCTTTGGGGATTTCGCTGGAAGCGGGAATACATATAAAAAGCACACAGCAGCGTTCTGAGAAACTGCTTTCTGATGTTTGCATTCAAGTCAAAAGTTGAACACTCCCTTTCATAGAGCAGTCTTGAAACACCCCTTTTGTAGTATCTGGAACTGGACTTTTGGAGCGATTTCAGGGCTAAGGTGAAAAAGGAAATATCTTCCCATAAAAACTGGACAGAAGCATTCTCAGAAACTTGGTTATGCTGTATCTGCTCAACTAACAAAGTTGAACCTTTCTTTTGATAGAGCAGTTTTGAAATGGTCTTTTTGTGGAATCTGCAAGTGGATATTTGGCTAGTTTTGAGGATTTCGTTGGAAGCGGGAATTCATACAAATTGCAGACTGCAGCGTTCTGAGAAACATCTTTGTGATGTTTGTATTCAGGACACAGAGTTGAACATTCCCTATCATAGAGCAGGTTTGAATCACTCCTTTTGTAGTATCTGGAAGTGGACATTTGGAGCGCTTTCAGGCCTATGTTGGAAAAGGAAATATCTTCCCATAACAACTAGACAGAAGCATTCTCAGAAACTTATTTGAGATGGGTGTACTCAACTAAGAGAATTGAACCACCGTTTTCAAGGAGCAGTTTTGAAACGCTCTTTTTCTGGAATCTGCAAGTGGATATTTGGCTAGGTTTGGGGATTTCGCTGGAAGCGGGAATACATATAAAAAACACACAGCAGCATTCTCAGAAACTTATTTGAGATGTGTGTACTCAACTAAGAGAATTGAACCACCGTTTTGAAGGAGCAGTTTTGAAACTCTCTTTTTCTGGAATCTGCAAGTGGATATTTGGCTAGCTTTGGGGATTTCGCTGGAAGCGGGAATACATATAAAAAGCACACAGCAGCGTTCTGAGAAACTGCTTTCTGATGTTTGCATTCAAGTCAAAAGTTGAACACTCCCTTTCATAGAGCAGTCCTGAAACACCCCTTTCGTAGTATCTGGAACTGGACTTTTGGAGCGATTTCAGGGCTAAGGTGAAAAAGGAAATATCTTCCCATAAAAACTGGACAGAAGCATTCTCAGAAACTTGTTTATGCTGTATCTACTCAACTAACAAAGTTGAACCTTTCTTTTGATAGAGCAGTTTTGAAATGGTCTTTTTGTGGAATCTGCAAGTGGATATTTGGCTAGTTTTGAGGATTTCGTTGGAAGCGGGAATTCATACAAATTGCAGACTGCAGCGTTCTGAGAAACATCTTTGTGATGTTTGTATTCAGGACACAGAGTTGAACATTCCCTATCATAGAGCAGGTTTGAATCACTCCTTTTCTAGTATCTGGAAGTGGACATTTGGAGCGCTTTCAGGCCTATGTTGGAAAAGGAAATATCTTCCCATAACAAATAGACAGAAGCATTCTCAGAAACTTATTTGAGATGTGTGTACTCAACTAAGAGAATTGAACCACCGTTTTGAAGGAGCAGTTTTGAAACACTCTTTTCCTGGAATCTGCAAGTGGATATTTGGCTAGCTTTGGGGATTTCGCTGGAAGCGGGAATACATATAAAAAGCACACAGCAGCGTTCTGAGAAACTGCTTTCTGATGTTTGCATTCAAGTCAAAAGTTGAACACTCCCTTTCATAGTGCAGTCCTGAAACACTCCTTTTGTAGTATCTGGAACTGGACTTTTGGAGCGCTTTCAGGGCTAAGGTGAGAAAGGAAATATCTTCCCATAAAAACTGGACAGAAGCATTCTCAGAAACTTGTTTATGCTGTATCTACTCAACTAACAAAGTTGAACCTTTCTTTTGATAGAGCAGTTTTGAAATGCTCTTTTTGTGGAATCTGCAAGTGGATATTTGGCTAGTTTTGAGGATTTCGTTGGAAGCGGGAATTCATACAAATTGCAGACTGCAGCGTTCTGAGAAACATCTTTGTGATGTTTGTATTCAGGACAGAGAGTTGAACATTCCCTATCATAGAGCAGGTTGGAATCACTCCTTTTGTAGTATCTGGAAGTGGACATTTGGAGCGCTTTCAGGCCTATGTTGAAAAAGGAAATATCTTCCCATAACAACTAGACACAAGCATTCTCAGAAACTTGTTTGTGATGTGTGCCCTCTACTGACAGAGTTGAACCTTTCTTTTCATAGAGCAGTTTTGAAACACTCTTTTTGTAGAATCTGCAAGAGGATATTAGCATAGCTTTGAGGATTTCGTGGGAAACGGGATTGTCTTCAGGTAAAATCTAGACAGAAGCATTCTCAGAAACTTCTTTGGGATGTTTGCATTCAAGTCACAGAGTAGAACATTCCCTTTGGTAGAGCAGGTTTGAAACACTCTTTTTGTAGTATCTGGAAGTGGACATTTGGAGCGCTTTCAGGCCCATGTTGGAAAGGGAAATATCTTCCCGTAACAACTAGGCAGAAGCATTCTCAGAAACTTATTTGAGATGTGTGTACTCAACTAAGAGAATTGAACCACCGTTTTGAAGGAGCAGTTTTGAAACACTCTTTTTCTGGAATCTGCAAGAGTATATTTGCCTAGCCTTGAGAATTTCGTTGGAAACGGGATTGTCTTCAGATAAAATCTAGACAGAAGCATTCTCAGAAACTTCTTTGGGATGTTTGCATTCAAGTCACAGAGTAGAACATTCCCTTTGGTAGAGCAGGTTTGAAACACTCTTTTTTTAGTATATGGAAGTGGACATTTGGAGCGCTTTCAGGCCTACGTTGGAAAAGGAAATATCTTCCCATAACAACTAGACAGAAGCATTCTCAGAAACTAGTTTCTGATGGGTGTCCTCAACTAACACAGTTGTACATTTCTTTAGACAGAACAGTTTTGAAACACTCTTTTTGTGGAATCTGCAAGTGGATACTGGGCTAGATTTGAGTATTTCGTTGGAAACGGGATTACATATAAAAAGCAGACAGCCAGCATTCTCAGAAAGTTCTTTGTGATGATTGCATTCAAGTCACAGAATTGAACATTCCCTTTCACAGAGCAGGTTTGAAACACTCTTTTTGTAGTGTGTGTAAGTGGACATTTGGAGCACTTACCGGCCTAAGGTGAAAAAGGAAATAATCTTCCCATAAAAACTAGACAGAGCATTCTCAGAAACTTACTCGTGATGTGTGTCCTCAACTAAAGGAGTAGAACCTTTCTTTTCATAGAGAAGTTTTGAAACGCTCTTTTTGTGGAATCTGCAAGTGGATATTTGGCTAGTTTTGAGGATTTCGTTGGAAGCGGGAATTCATACAAATTGCAGACTGCAGCGTTCTGAGAAACATCTTTGTGATGTTTGTATTCAGGACACAGAGTTGAACATTCCCTATCATAGAGCAGGTTGGAATCACTCCTTTTGTAGTATCTGGAAGTGGACATTTGGAGCGCTTTCAGGCCTATGTTGGAAAAGGAAATATCTTCCCATAACAACTAGACAGAAGCATTCTCAGAAACTTATTTGAGATGTGTGTACTCAACTAAGAGAATTGAACCACCGTTTTGAAGGAGCAGTTTTGAAACACTCTTTTTCTGGAATCTGCAAGTGGATATTTGGCTAGCTTTGGGGATTTCGCTGGAAGCGGGAATACATATAAAAAGCACACAGCAGCGTTCTGAGAAACTGCTTTCTGATGTTTGCATTCAAGTCAAAAGTTGAACACTCCCTTTCATAGAGCAGTCTTGAAACACCCCTTTTGTAGTATCTGGAACTGGACTTTTGGAGCGATTTCAGGGCTAAGGTGAAAAAGGAAATATCTTCCCATAAAAACTGGACAGAAGCATTCTCAGAAACTTGTTTATGCTGTATCTACTCAACTAACAAAGTTGAACCTTTCTTTTGATAGAGCAGTTTTGAAATGGTCTTTTTGTGGAATCTGCAAGTGGATATTTGGCTAGTTTTGAGGATTTCGTTGGAAGCGGGAATTCATACAAATTGCAGACTGCAGCGTTCTGAGAAACATCTTTGTGATGTTTGTATTCAGGACAGAGAGTTGAACATTCCCTATCATAGAGCAGGTTGGAATCACTCCTTTTGTAGTATCTGGAAGTGGACATTTGGAGCGCTTTCAGGCCTATTTTGGAAAGGGAAATATCTTCCCGTAACAACTATGCAGAAGCATTCTCAGAAACTTGTTTGTGATGTGTGCCCTCTACTGACAGAGTTGAACCTTTCTTTTCATAGAGCAGTTTTGAAACACTCTTTTTGTAGAATCTGCAAGAGGATATTTGCATAGCTTTGAGGATTTCGTGGGAAACGGGATTGTCTTCAGGTAAAAATCTAGACAGAAGCATTCTCAGAAACTTCTTTGGGATGTTTGCATTCAAGTCACAGAGTAGAACATTCCCTTTGGTAGAGCAGGTTTGAAACACTCTTTTTATAGTATCTGGAAGTGGACATTTGGAGCGCTTTCAGGCCTATGTTGGAAAGGGAAATATACTTCCCGTAACAACTAGGCAGAAGCATTCTCAGAAACTTATTTGAGATGTGTGTACTCAACTAAGAGAATTGAACCACCGTTTTGAAGGAGCAGTTTTGAAACACTCTTTTTCTGGAATCTGCAAGAGTATATTTGCCTAGCCTTGAGGATTTCGTTGGAAACGGGATTGTCTTCAGAGAAAATCTAGACAGAAGCATTCTCAGAAACTTCTTTGGGATGCTTGCATTCAAGTCACAGAGTAGAACATTCCCTTTGGTAGAGCAGGTTTGAAACACTCTTTTTGTAGTATCTGGAAGTGGACATTTGGAGCGCTTTCAGGCCTACGTTGGAAAAGGAAATATCTTCCCATAACAACTAGACAGAAGCATTGTCAGAAACTAGTTTCTGATGTGTGTCCTCAACTAACACAGTTGAACATTTCTTTAGACAGAACAGTTTTGAAACACTCTCTTTGTGGAATCTGCAAGTGGATATTTGGCTAGATTTGAGCATTTCGTTGGAAACGGGATTACATAGAAAAAGCAGACAGCGGCATTCTCAGAAAGTTCTTTGTGATGATTGCATTCAAGTCACAGAATTGAACATTCCCTTTCACAGAGCAGGTTTGAAACACTCTTTTTGTAGTGTGTGTAAGCGGACATTTGGAGCGCTTTCCGGCCTAAGGTGAAAAAGGAAATATCTTCCCATAAAAACTAGACAGAAGCATTCTCAGGAACTTACTCGTGATGTGTGTACTCAACTAAAGGAGTAGAAACTTTCTTTTCATAGAGAAGTTTTGAAACGCTCTTTTTGTGGAATCTGCAAGTGGATATTTGGCTAGTTTTGAGGATTTCGTTGGAAGCGGGAATTCATACAAATTGCAGAATGCAGCGTTCTGAGAAACTTCTTTGTGATGTTTGTATTCAGGACACAGAGTTGAACATTCCCTATCATAGAGCAGGTTTGAATCACTCCTTTTGTAGTATCTGGAAGTGGACATTTGGAGCGCTTTCAGGCCTATGTTGGAAAAGGAAATATCTTCCCATAACAAATAGACAGAAGCATTCTCAGAAACTTATTTGAGATGTGTCTACTCAACTAAGAGAATTGAACCACCGTTTTGAAGGAGCAGTTTTGAAACACTCTTTTTCTGGAATCTGCAAGTGGATATTTGGCTAGCTTTTGGGATTTCGCTGGAAGCGGGAATACATATAAAAAGCACACAGCAGCGTTCTGAGAAACTGCTTTCTGATGTTTGCATTCAAGTCAAAAGTTGAACACTCCCTTTCATAGAGCAGTCTTGAAACACCCCTTTTGTAGTATCGGGAACTGGACATTTGGAGCGCTTTCAGGGCTAAGGTGAAAAAGGAAATATCTTCCCATAAAAACTGGACAGAAGCATTCTCAGAAACTTGTTTATGCTGTATCTACTCAACTAACAAAGTTGAACCTTTCTTTTGATAGAGCAGTTTTGAAATGGTCTTTTTGTGGAATCTGCAAGTGGATATTTGGCTAGTTTTGAGGATTTCGTTGGAAGCGGGAATTCATACAAATTGCAGACTGCAGCGTTCTGAGAAACATCTTTGTGATGTTTGTATTCAGGACACAGAGTTGAACATTCCCTATCATAGAGCAGGTTGGAATCACTCCTTTTGTAGTATCTGGAAGTGGACATTTGGAGCGCTTTCAGGCCTATTTTGGAAAGGGAAATATCTTCCCGTAACAACTATGCAGAAGCATTCTCAGAAACTTGTTTGTGATGTGTGCCCTCTACTGACAGAGTTGAACCTTTCTTTTCATAGAGCAGTTTTGAAACACTCTTTTTGTAGAATCTGCAAGAGGATATTTGCATAGCTTTGAGGATTTCGTGGGAAACGGGATTGTCTTCAGGTAAAATCTAGACAGAAGCATTCTCAGAAACTTCTTTGGGATGTTTGCATTCAAGTCACAGAGTAGAACATTCCCTTTGGTAGAGCAGGTTTGAAACACTCTTTTTGTAGTATCTGGAAGTGGACATTTGGAGCGCTTTCAGGCCTATGTTGGAAAGGGAAATATCTTCCCGTAACAACTAGGCAGAAGCATTCTCAGAAACTTATTTGAGATGTGTGTACTCAACTAAGAGAATTGAATCACCGTTTTGAAGGAGCAGTTTTGAAACACTCTTTTTCTGGAATCTGCAAGAGGATATTTGCCTAGCCTTGAGGATTTCGTTGGAAACGGGATTGTCTTTAGATCAAATCTAGACAGAAGCATTCTCAGAAACTTCTTTGGGATGTTTGCATTCAAGTCACAGAGTAGAACATTCCCTTTGGTAGAGCAGGTTTGAAACACTCTTTTTTTAGTATATGGAAGTGGACATTTGGAGCGCTTTCAGGCCTACGTTGGAAAAGGAAATATCTTCCCATAACAACTAGACAGAAAGCATTCTCAGAAACTAGTTTCTGATGTGTGTCCTCAACTAACACAGTTGAACTTTTCTTTAGACAGAACAGTTTTGAAACACTCTTTTTGTGGAATCTGCAAGTGGATATTGGGCTAGATTTGAGGATTTCGTTGGAAACGGGATTACATATAAAAAGCAGACAGCAGCATTCTCAGAAAGTTCTTTGTGATGATTGCATTCAAGTCACAGAATTGAACATTCCCTTTCACAGAGCAGGTTTGAAACACTCTTTTTGTAGTGTGTGTAAGTGGACATTTGGAGCGCTTTCCGGCCTAAGGTGAAAAAGGACATATCTTCCCATAAAAACTAGACAGAAGCATTCTCAGAAACTTACTCGTGATGTGTGTCCTCAACTAAAGGAGTAGAACCTTTCTTTTCATAGAGAAGTTTTGAAACGCTCTTTTTGTGGAATCTGCAAGTGGATATTTGGCTAGTTTTGAGGATTTCGTTGGAAGCGGGAATTCATACAAATTGCAGACTGCAGCGTTCTGAGAAACATCTTTGTGATGTTTGTATTCAGGACACAGAGTTGAACATTCCCTATCATAGAGCAGGTTTGAATCACTCCTTTTGTAGTATCTGGAAGTGGACATTTGGAGCGCTTTCAGGCCTATGTTGGAAAAGGAAATATCTTCCCATAACAACTAGACAGAAGCATTCTCAGAAACTTATTTGAGATGTGTGTACTCAACTAAGAGAATTGAACCACCGTTTTGAAGGAGCAGTTTTGAAACTCTCTTTTTCTGGAATCTGCAAGTGGATATTTGGCTAGCTTTGGGGATTTCGCTGGAAGCGGGAATACATATAAAAAGCACACAGCAGCGTTCTGAGAAACTGCTTTCTGATGTTTGCATTCAAGTCAAAAGTTGAACACTCCCTTTCATAGAGCAGTCTTGAAACACCCCTTTTGTAGTATCTGGAACTGGACTTTTGGAGCGATTTCAGGGCTAAGGTGAAAAAGGAAATATCTTCCCATAAAAACTGGACAGAAGCATTCTCAGAAACTTGTTTATGCTGTATCTACTCAACTAACAAAGTTGAACCTTTCTTTTGATAGAGCAGTTTTGAAATGGTCTTTTTGTGGAATCTGCAAGTGGATATTTGGCTAGTTTTGAGGATTTCGTTGGAAGCGGGAATTCATACAAATTGCAGACTGCAGCGTTCTGAGAAACATCTTTGTGATGTTTGTATTCAGGACACAGAGTTGAACATTCCCTATCATAGAGCAGGTTGGAATCACTCCTTTTGTAGTATCTGGAAGTGGACATTTGGAGCGCTTTCAGGCCTATTTTGGAAAGGGAAATATCTTCCCGTAACAACTATGCAGAAGCATTCTCAGAAACTTGTTTGTGATGTGTGCCCTCTACTGACAGAGTTGAACCTTTCTTTTCATAGAGCAGTTTTGAAACACTCTTTTTGTAGAATCTGCAAGAGGATATTTGCATAGCTTTGAGGATTTCGTGGGAAACGGGATTGTCTTCAGGTAAAATCTAGACAGAAGCATTCTCAGAAACTTCTTTGGGATGTTTGCATTCAAGTCACAGAGTAGAACATTCCCTTTGGTAGAGCAGGTTTGAAACACTCTTTTTGTAGTATCTGGAAGTGGACATTTGGAGCGCTTTCAGGCCTATGTTGGAAAGGGAAATATCTTCCCGTAACAACTAGGCAGAAGCATTCTCAGAAACTTATTTGAGATGTGTGTACTCAACTAAGAGAATTGAACCACCGTTTTGAAGGAGCAGTTTTGAAACACTCTTTTTCTGGAATCTGCAAGAGTATATTTGCCTAGCCTTGAGGATTTCGTTGGAAACGGGATTGTCTTCAGAGAAAATCTAGACAGAAGCATTCTCAGAAACTTCTTTGGGATGTTTGCATTCAAGTCACAGAGTAGAACATTCCCTTTGGTAGAGCAGGTTTGAAACACTCTTTTTTTAGTATATGGAAGTGGACATTTGGAGCGCTTTCAGGCCTACGTTGGAAAAGGAAATATCTTCCCATAACAACTAGACAGAAGCATTCTCAGAAACTAGTTTCTGATGTGTGTCCTCAACTAACACAGTTGAACTTTTCTTTAGACAGAACAGTTTTGAAACACTCTTTTTGTGGAATCTGCAAGTGGCTATTTGGCTAGATTTGAGGATTTCGTTGGAAACGGGATTACATATAAAAAGCAGACAGCAGCATTCTCAGAAAGTTCTTTGTGATGATTGCATTCAAGTCACAGAATTGAACATTCCCTTTCACAGAGCAGGTTTGAAACACTCTTTTTGTAGTGTGTGTAAGTGGACATTTGGAGCGCTTTCCGGCCTAAGGTGAAAAAGGACATATCTTCCCATAAAAACTAGACAGAAGCATTCTCAGAAACTTACTCGTGATGTGTGTCCTCAACTAAAGGAGTAGAACCTTTCTATTCATAGAGAAGTTTTGAAACGCTCTTTTTGTGGAATCTCCAAGTGGATATTTGGCTAGTTTTGAGGATTTCGTTGGAAGCGGGAATTCATACAAATTGCAGACTGCAGCGTTCTGAGAAACATCTTTGTGATGTTTGTATTCAGGACACAGAGATGAACATTCCCTATCATAGAGCAGGTTGGAATCACTCCTTTTGTAGTATCTGGAAGTGGACATTTGGAGCGCTTTCAGGCCTATGTTGAAAAAGGAAATGTCTTCCCATAACAACTAGACACAAGCATTCTCAGAAACTTGTTTGTGATGTGTGCCCTCTACTGACAGAGTTGAACCTTTCTTTTCATAGAGCAGTTTTGAAACACTCTTTTTGTAGAATCCGCAAGAGGATATTTGCATAGCTTTGAGGATTTCGTGGGAAACGGGATTGTCTTCAGGTAAAATCTAGACAGAAGCATTCTCAGAAACTTCTTTGGGATGTTTGCATTCAAGTCACAGAGTAGAACATTCCCTTTGGTAGAGCAGGTTTGAAACACTCTTTTTCTAGTATCTGGAAGTGGACATTTGGAGCGCTTTCAGGCCCATGTTGGAAAGGGAAATATCTTCCCGTAACAACTAGGCAGAAGCATTCTCAGAAACTTATTTGAGATGTGTGGACTCAACTAAGAGAATTGAACCACCGTTTTGAAGGAGCAGTTTTGAAACCCTCTTTTTCTGGAATCTGCAAGAGTATATTTGCCTAGCCTTGAGGATTTCGCTGGAAACGGGATTGTCTTCAGATAAAATCTAGACAGAAGCATTCTCAGAAACTTCTTTGGGATGTTTGCATTCAAGTCACTGAGTAGAACATTCCCTTTGGTAGAGCAGGTTTGAAACACTCTTTTTTTAGTATATGGAAGTGGACATTTGGAGCGCTTTCAGGCCTACGTTGGAAAAGGAAATATCTTCCCATAACAACTAGACAGAAGCATTCTCAGAAACTAGTTTCTGATGTGTGTCCTCAATTACCACAGTTGTACATTTCTTTACACAGAACAGTTTTGAAACACTCTTTTTGTGGAATCTGCAAGTGGATATTGGGCTAGATTTGAGGATTTCGTTGGAAACGGGATTACATATAAAAAGCAGTCAGCAGCATTCTCAGAAAGTTCTTTGTGATGATTGCATTCAAGTCACAGAATTGAACATTCCCTTTCCAGAGCAGGTTTGAAACACTCTTTTTGTAGTGTGTGTAAGTGGACATTTGGAGCGCTCTCCGGCCTAAGGTGAAAAAGGACATATCTTCCCATAAAAACTAGACAGAAGCATTCTCAGAAACTTACTCGTGATGTGTGTCCTCAACTAAAGGAGTAGCACCTTTCTATTCATAGAGAAGTTTTGAAACGCTCTTTTTGTGGAATCTCCAAGTGGATATTTGGCTAGTTTTGAGGATTTCGTTGGAAGCGGGAATTCATACAAATTGCAGACTGCAGCGTTCTGAGAAACATCTTTGTGATGTTTGTATTCAGGACACAGAGATGAACATTCCCTATCATAGAGCAGGTTGGAATCACTCCTTTTGTAGTATCTGGAAGTGGACATTTGGAGCGCTTTCAGGCCTATGTTGAAAAAGGAAATATCTTCCCATAACAACTAGACACAAACATTCTCAGAAACTTGTTTGTGATGTGTGCCCTCTACTGACAGAGTTGAACCTTTCTTTTCATAGAGCAGTTTTGAAACACTCTTTTTGTAGAATCTGCAAGAGGATATTTGCATAGCTTTGAGGATTTCGTGGGAAACGGGATTGTCTTCAGGTAAAATCTAGACAGAAGCATTCTCAGAAACTTCTTTGGGATGTTTGCATTCAAGTCACAGAGTAGAACATTCCCTTTGGTAGAGCAGGTTTGAAACACTCTTTTTGTAGTATCTGGAAGTGGACATTTGGAGCGCTTTCAGGCCCATGTTGGAAAGGGAAATATCTTCCCGTAACAACTAGGCAGAAGCATTCTCTGAAACTTTTTTGAGATGTGTGTACTCAACTAAGAGAATTGAACCACCGTTTTGAAGGAGCAGTTTTGAAACACTCTTTTTCTGGAATCTGCTAGAGGATATTTGCCTAGCTTTGAGGATTTCGTTGGAAACCGCATTGTCTTCAGATAAAATCTAGACAGAAGCATTCTCAGAAACTTCTTTGGGATGTTTGCATTCAAGTCACAGAGTAGAACATTCCCTTTGGTAGAGCAGGTTTGAAACACTCTTTTTTTAGTATATGGAAGTGGACATTTGGAGCGCTTTCAGGCCTACGTTGGAAAAGGAAATATCTTCCCATAACAACTAGACAGAAGCATTCTCAGAAACTAGTTTCTGATGTGTGTCCTCAACTAACACAGTTGAACTTTTCTTTAGACAGAACAGTTTTGAAACACTCTTTTTGTGGAATCTGCAAGTGGATATTGGGCTAGATTTGAGGATTTCGTTGGAAACGGGATTACATATAAAAAGCAGACAGCAGCATTCTCAGAAAGTTCTTTGTGATGATTGCATTCAAGTCACAGAATTGAACATTCCCTTTCACAGAGCAGGTTTGAAACACTCTTTTTGTAGTGTGTGTAAGTGGACATTTGGAGCGCTTTCCGGCCTAAGGTGAAAAAGGACATATCTTCCCATAAAAACTAGACAGAAGCATTCTCAGAAACTTACTCGTGATGTGTGTCCTCAACTAAAGGAGTAGAACCTTTCTATTCATAGAGAAGTTTTGAAACCCTCTTTTTGTGGAATCTCCAAGTGGATATTTGGCTAGTTTTGAGGATTTCGTTGGAAGCGGGAATTCATACAAATTGCAGACTGCAGCGTTCAGAGAAACATCTTTGTGATGTTTGTATTCAAGACACAGAGATGAACATTCCCTATCATAGAGCATGTTGGAATCACTCCTTTTGTAGTATCTGGAAGTGGACATTTGGAGCGCTTTCAGGCCTATGTTGAAAAAGGAAATATCTTCCCATAACAACTAGACACAAGCATTCTCAGAAACTTGTTTGTGATGTGTGCCCTCTACTGACAGAGTTGAACCTTTCTTTTCATAGAGCAGTTTTGAAACACTCTTTTTGTAGAATCCGCAAGAGGATATTTGCATAGCTTTGAGGATTTCGTGGGAAACGGGATTGTCTTCAGGTAAAATCTAGACAGAAGCATTCTCAGAAACTTCTTTGGGATGTTTGCATTCAAGTCACAGAGTAGAACATTCCCTTTGGTAGAGCAGGTTTGAAACACTCTTTTTGTAGTATCTGGAAGTGGACATTTGGAGCGCTTTCAGGCCCATGTTGGAAAGGGAAATATCTTCCCGTAACAACTAGGCAGAAGCATTCTCAGAAACTTATTTGAGATGTGTGTACTCAACTAAGAGAACTGAACCACCGTTTTGAAGGAGCAGTTTTGAAACCCTCATTTCTGGAATCTGCAAGAGTATATTTGCCTAGCCTTGAGGATTTCGTTGGAAACGGGATTGTCTTCAGATCAAATCTAGACAGAAGCATTCTCAGAAACTTCTTTGGGATGTTTGCATTCAAGTCACAGAGTAGAACATTCCCTTTGGTAGAGCAGGTTTGAAACACTCTTTTTTTAGTATATGGAAGTGGACATTTGGAGCGCTTTCAGGCCTACGTTGGAAAAGGAAATATCTTCCCATAACAACTAGACAGAAGCATTCTCAGAAACTAGTTTGTGATGTGTGTCCTCAACTAACACAGTTGTACATTTCTTTAGACAGAACAGTTTTGAAACACTCTTTTTGTGGAATCTGCAAGTGGATATTGGGCTAGATTTGAGTATTTCGTTGGAAACGGGATTACATATAAAAAGCAGTCAGCAGCATTCTCAGAAAGTTCTTTGTGATGATTGCATTCAAGTCACAGAATTGAACATTCCCTTTCACAGAGCAGGTTTGAAACACTCTTTCTGTAGTGTGTGTAAGTGGACATTTGGAGCGCTTTCCGGCCTAAGGTGAAAAAGGACATATCTTCCCATAAAAACTAGACAGAAGCATTCTCAGAAACTTACTCGTGATGTGTGTCCTCAACTAAAGGAGTAGAACCTTTCTTTTCATAGAGAAGTTTTGAAACGCTCTTTTTGTGGAATCTGCAAGTGGATATTTGGCTAGTTTTGAGGATTTCGTTGGAAGCGGGAATTCATACAAATTGCAGACTGCAGCGTTCTGAGAAACATCTTTGTGATGTTTGTATTCAGGACACAGAGTTGAACATTCCCTATCATAGAGCAGGTTTGAATCACTCCTTTTGTAGTATCTGGAAGTGGACATTTGGAGCGCTTTCAGGCCTATGTTGGAAAAGGAAATATCTTCCCATAACAACTAGACAGAAGCATTCTCAGAAACTTATTTGAGATGTGTGTACTCAACTAAGAGAATTGAACCACCGTTTTGAAGGAGCAGTTTTGAAACTCTCTTTTTCTGGAATCTGCAAGTGGATATTTGGCTAGCTTTGGGGATTTCGCTGGAAGCGGGAATACATATAAAAAGCACACAGCAGCGTTCTGAGAAACTGCTTTCTGATGTTTGCATTCAAGTCAAAAGTTGAACACTCCCTTTCATAGAGCAGTCCTGAAACACCCCTTTTGTAGTATCTGGAACTGGACTTTTGGAGCGATTTCAGGGCTAAGGTGAAAAAGGAAATATCTTCCCATAAAAACTGGACAGAAGCATTCTCAGAAACTTGTTTATGCTGTATCTACTCAGCTAACAAAGTTGAACCTTTCTTTTGATAGAGCAGTTTTGAAATGCTCTTTTTGTGGAGTCTGCAAGTGGATATTTGGTTAGTTTTGAGGATTGCGTTGGAAGCGGGAATTCATACAAATTGCAGACTGCAGCGTTCTGAGAAACATATTTGTGATGTTTGTATTCAGGACACAGAGTTGAACATTCCCTATCATAGAGCAGGTTTGAATCACTCCTTTTGTAGTATCTGGAAGTGAACATTTGGAGCGCTTTCCGGCCTCAGGTGAAAAAGGAAATATCTTCCCATAAAAACTAGACAGAAGCATTCTCAGAAACTTGTTTGTGATGTGTGCCCTCTACTGACAGAGTTGAACCTTTCTTTTCATAGAGCAGTTTTGAAACACTCTTTTTGTAGAATCCGCAAGAGGATATTTGCATAGCTTTGAGGATTTCGTGGGAAACGGGATTGTCTTCAGGTAAAATCTAGACAGAAGCATTCTCAGAAACTTCTTTGGGATGTTTGCATTCAAGTCACAGAGTAGAACATTCCCTTTGGTAGAGCAGGTTTCAAACACTCTTTTTGTAGTATCTGGAAGTGGACATTTGGAGCGCTTTCAGGCCCATGTTGGAAAGGGAAATATCTTCCCGTAACAACTAGGCAGAAGCATTCTCAGAAACTTATTTGAGATGTGTGTACTCAACTAAGAGAATTGAACCACCGTTTTGAAGGAGCAGTTTTGAAACACTCTTTTTCTGGAATCTGCAAGACGATATTTGCCTAGCCTTGAGGATTTCGTTGGAAACGGGATTGTCTTCAGATCAAATCTAGACAGAAGCATTCTCAGAAACTTCTTTGGGATGTTTGCATTCAAGTCACAGAGTAGAACATTCCCTTTGGTAGAGCAGGTTTGAAACACTCTTTTTTTAGTATATGGAAGTGGACATTTTGAGCGCTTTCAGGTCTACGTTGGAAAAGGAAATATCTTCCCATAACAACTAGACAGAAGCATTCTCAGAAACTAGTTTCTGATGTGTGTCCTCAACTAACACAGTTGTACATTTCTTTAGACAGAACAGTTTTGAAACACTCTTTTTGTGGAATCTGCAAGTGGATACTGGGCTAGATTTGAGGATTTCGTTGGAAACGGGATTACATATAAAAAGCAGTCAGCAGCATTCTCAGAAAGTTCTTTGTGATGATTGCATTCAAGTCACAGAATTGAACATTCCCTTTCACAGAGCAGGTTTGAAACACTCTTTTTGTAGTGTGTGTAAGTGGACATTTGGAGCGCTTTCCGGCCTAAGGTGAAAAAGGACATATCTTCCCATAAAAACTAGACAGAAGCATTCTCAGAAACTTACTCGTGATGTGTGTCCTCAACTAAAGGAGTAGAACCTTTCTATTCATAGAGAAGTTTTGAAACGCTCTTTTTGTGGAATCTCCAAGTGGATATTTGGCTAGTTTTGAGGATTTCGTTGGAAGCGGGAATTCATACAAATTGCAGACTGCAGCGTTCTGAGAAACATCTTTGAAATGTTTGTATTCAAGACACAGAGATGAACATTCACTATCATAGAGCAGGTTGGAATCACTCCTTTTGTAGTATCTGAAAGTGGACATTTGGAGCGCTTTCAGGCCTATGTTGAAAAAGGAAATATCTTCCCATAACAACTAGACACAAGCATTCTCAGAAACTTGTTTGTGATGTGTGCCCTCTACTGACAGAGTTGAACCTTTCTTTTCATAGAGCAGTTTTGAAACACTCTTTTATAGAATCCGCAAGAGGATATTTGCATAGCTTTGAGGATTTCGTGGGAAACGGGATTGTCTTCAGGTAAAATCTAGACAGAAGCATTCTCAGAAACTTCTTTGGGATGTTTGCATTCAAGTCACAGAGTAGAACATTCCCTTTGGTAGAGCAGGTTTGAAACACTCTTTTTGTAGTATCTGGAAGTGGACATTTGGAGCGCTTTCAGGCCCATGTTGGAAAGGGAAATATCTTCCCGTAACAACTAGGCAGAAGCATTCTCAGAAACTTATTTGAGATGTGTGTACTCAACTAAGAGAATTGAACCACCGTTTTGAAGGAGCAGTTTTGAAACACTCTTTTTGTGGAATCTGCAAGAGGATATTTGCCTAGCCTTGAGGATTTCGTTGGAAACGGGATTGTCTTCAGATCAAATCTAGACAGAAGTATTCTCAGAAACTTCTTTGGGATGTTTGCATTCAAGTCACAGAGTAGAACATTCCCTTTGGTAGAGCAGGTTTGAAACACTCTTTTTTTAGTATATGGAAGTGGACATTTGGAGCGCTTTCAGGCCTACGTTGGAAAAGGAAATATCTTCCCATAACAACTAGACAGAAGCATTCTCAGAAACTAGTTTCTGATGTGTGTCCTCAACTAACACAGTTGAACTTTTGTTTAGACAGAACAGTTTTGAAACACTCTTTTTGTGGAATCTGCAAGTGGATATTTGGCTAGATTTGAGGATTTCGTTGGAAACGGGATTACATATAAAAAGCAGACAGCAGCATTCTCAGAAAGTTCTTTGTGATGATTGCATTCAAGTCACAGAATTGAACATTCCCTTTCACAGAGCAGGTTTGAAACACTCTTTTTGTAGTGTGTGTAAGTGGACATTTGGAGCGCTTTCCGGCCTAAGGTGAAAAAGGAAATATCTTCCCATAAAAACTAGACAGAAGCATTCTCAGAAACTTACTCGTGATGTGTGTCCTCAACTAAAGGAGTAGAAGCTTTCTATTCATAGAGAAGTTTTGAAACGCTCTTTTTGTGGAATCTCCAAGTGGATATTTGGCTAGTTTTGAGGATTTCGTTGGAAGCGGGAATTCATACAAATTGCAGACTGCAGCGTTCTGAGAAACTGCTTTCTGATGTTTGCATTCAAGTCAAAAGTTGAACACTCCCTTTCATAGAGCAGTCCTGAAACACTCCTTTTGTAGTATCTGGAACTGGACTTTTGGAGCGCTTCAGGGCTAAGGTGAAAAAGGAAATATCTTCCCATAAAAACTGGACAGAAGCATTCTCAGAAACTTGTTTATGCTGTATCTACTCAACTAACAAAGTTGAACCTTTCTTTTGATAGAGCAGTTTTGAAATGCTCTTTTTGTGGAATCTGCAAGTGGATATTTGGCTAGTTTTGAGGATTTCGTTGGAAGCGGGAATTCATACAAATTGCAGACTGCAGCGTTCTGAGAAACATCTTTGTGATGTTTGTATTCAGGACACAGAGTTGAACATTCCCTATCATAGAGCAGGTTGGAATCACTCCTTTTGTAGTATCTGGAAGTGGACATTTGGAGCGCTTTCTGGCCTATGTTGAAAAAGGAAATATCTTCCCATAACAACTAGACACAAGCATTCTCAGAAACTTGTTTGTGATGTGTGCCCTCTACTGACAGAGTTGAACCTTTCTTTTCATAGAGCAGTTTTGAAACACTCTTTTTGTAGAATCTGCAAGAGGATATTTGCATAGCTTTGAGGATTTCGTGGGAAACGGGATTGTCTTCAGGTAAAATCTAGACAGAAAGCATTCTCAGAAAACTTCTTTGGGATGTTTGCATTCAAGTCACAGAGTAGAACATTCCCTTTGGTAGAGCAGGTTTGAAACCCTCCTTTTGTAGTATCTGGAAGTGGACATTTGGAGCGCTTTCAGGCCCATGTTGGAAAGGGAAATATCTTCCCGTAACAACTAGGCAGAAGCATTCTCAGAAACTTATTTGAGATGTGTGTACTCAACTAAGAGAATTGAACCACCGTTTTGAAGGAGCAGTTTTGAAACACTCTTTTTCTGGAATCTGCAAGAGGATATTTGCCTAGCCTTGAGGATTTCGTTGGAAACGGGATTGTCTTCAGATAAAATCTAGACAGAAGCATTCTCAGAAACTTCTTTGGGATGTTTGCATTCAAGTCACAGAGTAGAACATTCCCTTTGGTAGAGCAGGTTTGAAACACTCTTTTTTTAGTATATGGAAGTGGACATTTGGAGCGCTTTCAGGCCTACGTTGGAAAAGGAAATATCTTCCCATAACAACTAGACAGAAGCATTCTCAGAAACTAGTTTCTGATGTGTGTCCTCAACTAACACAGTTGAACTTTTCTTTAGACAGAACAGTTTTGAAACACTCTTTTTGTGGAATCTGCAAGTGGCTATTTGGCTAGATTTGAGGATTTCGTTGGAAACGGGATTACATATAAAAAGCAGACAGCAGCATTCTCAGAAAGTTCTTTGTGATGATTGCATTCAAGTCACAGAATTGAACATTCCCTTTCACAGAGCAGGTTTGAAACACTCTTTTTGTAGTGTGTGTAAGTGGACATTTGGAGCGCTTTCCGGCCTAAGGTGAAAAAGGAAATATCTTCCCATAAAAACTAGACAGAAGCATTCTCAGAAACTTACTCGTGATGTGTGTCCTCAACTAAAGGAGTAGAACCTTTCTATTCATAGAGAAGTTTTGAAACGCTGTTTTTGTGGAATCTCCAAGTGGATATTTGGCTAGTTTTGAGGATTTCGTTGGAAGCGGGAATTCATACAAATTGCAGACTGCAGCGTTCTGAGAAACATCTTTGTGATGTTTGTATTCAGGACACAGAGATGAACATTCCCTATCATAGAGCAGGTTGGAATCACTCCTTTTGTAGTATCTGGAAGTGGACATTTGGAGCGCTTTCAGGCCTATGTTGAAAAAGGAAATATCTTCCCATAACAACTAGACACAAGCATTCTCAGAAACTTGTTTGTGATGTGTGCCCTCTACTGACAGAGTTGAACCTTTCTTTTCATAGAGCAGTTTTGAAACACTCTTTTTGTAGAATCTGCAGGAGGATATTTGCATAGCTTTGAGGATTTCGTGGGAAACGGGATTGTCTTCAGGTAAAATCTAGACAGAAGCATTCTCAGAAACTTCTTTGGGATGTTTGCATTCAAGTCACAGAGTAGAACATTCCCTTTGGTAGAGCAGGTTTGAAACCCTCTTTTTGTAGTATCTGGAAGTGGACATTCGGAGCGCTATCAGGCCCATGTTGGAAAGGGAAATATCTTCCCGTAACAACTAGGCAGAAGCATTCTCAGAAACTTATTTGAGATGTGTGTACTCAACTAAGAGAATTGAACCACCGTTTTGAAGGAGCAGTTTTGAAACACTCTTTTTCTGGAATCTGCAAGAGTATATTTGCCTAGCCTTGAGGATTTCGTTGGAAACGGGATTGTCTTCAGAGAAAATCTAGACAGAAGCATTCTCAGAAACTTCTTTGGGATGTTTGCATTCAAGTCACAGAGTAGAACATTCCCTTTGGTAGAGCAGGTTTGAAACACTCTTTTTTTAGTATATGGAAGTGGACATTTGGAGCGCTTTCAGGCCTACGTTGGAAAAGGAAATATCTTCCCATAACAACTAGACAGAAGCATTCTCAGAAACTAGTTTCTGATGTGTGTCCTCAACTAACACAGTTGAACATTTCTTTAGACAGAACAGTTTTGAAACACTCTTTTTGTGGAATCTGCAAGTGGCTATTTGGCTAGATTTGAGGATTTCGTTGGAAACGGGATTACATATAAAAAGCAGTCAGCAGCATTCTCAGAAAGTTCTTTGTGATGATTGCATTCAAGTCACAGAATTGAACATTCCCTTTCACAGAGCAGGTTTGAAAGACTCTTTTTGTAGTGTGTGTAAGTGGACATTTGGAGCACTTACCGGCCTAAGGTGAAAAAGGAAATATCTTCCCATAAAAACTAGACAGAAGCATTCTCAGAAACTTACTCGTGATGTGTGTCCTCAACTAAAGGAGTAGAACCTTTCTTTTCATAGAGAAGTTTTGAAACGCTCTTTTTGTGGAATCTGCAAGTGGATATTTGGCTAGTTTGGAGGATTTCGTTGGAAGCGGGAATTCATACAAATTGCAGACTGCAGCGTTCTGAGAAACATCTTTGTGATGTTTGTATTCAGGACACAGAGTTGAACGTTCCCTATAATAGAGCAGGTTGGAATCACTCCTTTTGTAGTATCTGGAAGTGGACATTTGGAGCGCTTTCAGGCCTATGTTGAAAAAGGAAATATCTTCCCATAACAACTAGACAGAAGCATTCTCAGAAACTTATTTGAGATGTGTGTACTCAACTAAGAGAATTGAACCACCGTTTTGAAGGAGCAGTTTTGAAACACTCTTTTTCTGGAATCTGCAAGTGGATATTTGGCTAGCTTTGGGGATTTCGCTGGAAGCGGGAATACATATAAAAAGCACACAGCAGCGTTCTGAGAAACTGCTTTCTGATGTTTGCATTCAAGTCAAAAGTTGAACACTCCCTTTCATAGAGCAGTCTTGAAACACCCCTTTTGTAGTATCTGGAACTGGACATTTGGAGCGCCTTCAGGGCTAAGGTGAAAAAGGAAATATCTTCCCATAAAAACTGGACAGAAGCATTCTCAGAAACTTGTTTATGCTGTATCTACTCAACTAACAAAGTTGAACCTTTCTTTTGATAGAGCAGTTTTGAAATGCTCTTTTTGTGGAATCTGCAAGTGGATATTTGGCTAGTTTTGAGGATTTCGTTGGAAGCGGGAATTCATACAAATTGCAGACTGCAGCGTTCTGAGAAACATCTTTGTGATGTTTGTATTCAGGACACAGAGTTGAACATTCCCTATCATAGAGCAGGTTGGAATCACTCCTTTTGTAGTATCTGGAAGTGGACATTTGGAGCGCTTTCAGGCCTATGTTGAAAAAGGAAATATCTTCCCATAACAACTAGACACAAGCATTCTCAGAAACTTGTTTGTGATGTGTGCCCTCTACTGACAGAGTTGAACCTTTCTTTTCATAGAGCAGTTTTGAAACACTCTTTTTGTAGAATCTGCAAGAGGATATTTGCATAGCTTTGAGGATTTCGTGGGAAACGGGATTGTCTTCAGGTAAAATCTAGACAGAAGCATTCTCAGAAACTTCTTTGGGATGTTTGCATTCAAGTCACAGAGTAGAACATTCCCTTTGGTAGAGCAGGTTTGAAACACTCTTTTTGTAGTATCTGGAAGTGGACATTTGGAGCGCTTTCAGGCCTATGTTGGAAAGGGAAATATCTTCCGGTAACAACTAGGCAGAAGCATTCTCAGAAACTTATTTGAGATGTGTGTACTCAACTAAGAGAATTGAACCACCGTTTTGAAGGAGCAGTTTTGAAACACTCTTTTTCTGGAATCTGCAAGAGGATATTTGCCTAGCTTTGAGGATTTCGTTGGAAACGGGATTGTGTTCAGATCAAATCTAGACAGAAGCATTCTCAGAAACTTCTTTGGGATGTTTGCATTCAAGTCACAGAGTAGAACATTCCCTTTGGTAGAGCAGGTTTGAAACACTCTTTTTTTAGTATATGGAAGTGGACATTTGGAGCGCTTTCAGGCCTACGTTGGAAAAGGAAATATCTTCCCATAACAACTAGACAGAAGCATTCTCAGAAACTAGTTTCTGATGTGTGTCCTCAACTAACACAGTTGTACATTTCTTTAGACAGAACAGTTTTGAAACACTCTTTTTGTGGAATCTGCAAGTGGATACTGGGCTAGATTTGAGGATTTCGTTGGAAACGGGATTACATATAAAAAGCAGTCAGCAGCATTCTCAGAAAGTTCTTTGTGATGATTGCATTCAAGTCACAGAATTGAACATTCCCTTTCACAGAGCAGGTTTGAAACACTCTTTTTGTAGTGTGTGTAAGTGGACATTTGGAGCGCTTTCCGGCCTATGGTGAAAAAGGACATATCTTCCCATAAAAACTAGACAGAAGCATTCTCAGAAACTTACTCGTGATGTGTGTCCTCAACTAAAGGAGTAGAACCTTTCTTTTCATAGAGAAGTTTTGAAACGCTCTTTTTGTGGAATCTGCAAGTGGATATTTGGCTAGTTTTGAGGATTTCGTTGGAAGCGGGAATTCATACAAATTGCAGACTGCAGCGTTCTGAGAAACATCTTTGTGATGTTTGTATTCAGGACACAGAGTTGAACATTCCCTATCATAGAGCAGGTTGGAATCACTCCTTTTGTAGTATCTGGAAGTGGACATTTGGAGCGCTTTCAGGCCTATGTTGGAAAAGGAAATATCTTCCCATAACAACTAGACAGAAGCATTCTCAGAAACTTATTTGAGATGTGTGTACTCAACTAAGTAGAATTGAACCACCGTTTTGAAGGAGCAGTTTTGAAACTCTCTTTTTCTGGAATCTGCAAGTGGATATTTGGCTAGCTTTGGGGATTTCGCTGGAAGCGGGAATACATATAAAAAGCACACAGCAGCATTCTCAGAAACTTATTTGAGATGTGTGTACTCAACTAAGAGAATTGAACCACCGTTTTGAAGGAGCAGTTTTGAAACACTCTTTTTCTGGAATCTGCAAGTGGATATTTGGCTAGCTTTGGGGATTTCGCTGGAAGCGGGAATACATATAAAAAGCACACAGCAGCGTTCTGAGAAACTGCTTTCTGATGTTTGCATTCAAGTCAAAAGTTGAACACTCCCTTTCATAGAGCAGTCCTGAAACACTCCTTTTGTAGTATCTGGAACTGGACTTTTGGAGCGCTTTCAGGGCTAAGGTGAAAAAGGAAATATCTTCCCATAAAAACTGGACAGAAGCATTCTCAGAAACTTGTTTATGCTGTATCTACTCAACTAACAAAGTTGAACCTTTCTTTTGATAGAGCAGTTTTGAAATGCTCTTTTTGTGGAATCTGCAAGTGGATATTTGGCTAGTTTTGAGGATTTCGTTGGAAGCGGGAATTCATACAAATTGCAGACTGCAGCGTTCTGAGAAACATCTTTGTGATGTTTGTATTCAGGACACAGAGTTGAACATTCCCTATCATAGAGCAGGTTGGAATCACTCCTTTTGTAGTATCTGGAAGTGGACATTTGGAGCGCTTTCTGGCCTATGTTGAAAAAGGAAATATCTTCCCATAACAACTAGACACAAGCATTCTCAGAAACTTGTTTGTGATGTGTGCCCTCTACTGACAGAGTTGAACCTTTCTTTTCATAGAGCAGTTTTGAAACACTCTTTTTGTAGAATCTGCAAGAGGATATTTGCATAGCTTTGAGGATTTCGTGGGAAACGGGATTGTCTTCAGGTAAAATCTAGACAGAAGCATTCTCAGAAACTTCTTTGGGATGTTTGCATTCAAGTCACAGAGTAGAACATTCCCTTTGGTAGAGCAGGTTTGAAACACTCTTTTTTTAGTATATGGAAGTGGACATTTGGAGCGCTTTCAGGCCTACGTTGGAAAAGGAAATATCTTCCCATAACAACTAGACAGAAGCATTCTCAGAAACTAGTTTCTGATGTGTGTCCTCAACTAACACAGTTGAACATTTCTTTAGACAGAACAGTTTTGAAACACTCTTTTTGTGGTATCTACAAGTGGCTATTTGGCTAGATTTGAGGATTTCGTTGGAAACGGGATTACATATAAAAAGCAGACAGCAGCATTCTCAGAAACTTCTTTGTGATGATTGCATTCAAGTCACAGTATTGAACATTCCCTTTCACAGAGCAGGTTTGAAACACTCTTTGTATAGTGTGTGTAAGTGGACATTTGGAGCACTTTCCGGCCTAAGGTGAAAAAGGAAATATCTTCCCATAAAAACTAGACAGAAGCATTCTCAGAAACTTACTCGTGATGTGTGTCCTCAACTAAAGAAGTAGAACCTTTGTTTTCATAGAGAAGTTTTGAAACGCTCTTTTTGTGGAATCTGCAAGTGGATATTTGGCTAGTTTGGAGGATTTCGTTGGAAGCGGGAATTCATACAAATTGCAGACTGCAGCATTCTCAGAAACTTATTTGAGATGTGTCTACTCAACTAAGAGAATTGAACCACCGTTTTGAAGGAGCAGTTTTGAAACACTCTTTTTCTGGAATCTGCAAGTGGATATTTGGCTAGCTTTGGGGATTTCGCTGGAAGCGGGAATACATATAAAAAGCACACAGCAGGGTTCTGAGAAACTGCTTTCTGATGTTTGCATTCAAGTCAAAAGTTGAACACTCCCTTTCATAGAGCAGTCTTGAAACACCCCTTTTGTAGTATCTGGAACTGGACTTTTGGAGCGATTTTAGGGCTAAGGTGAAAAAGGAAATATCTTCCCATAAAAACTGGACAGAAGCATTCTCAGAAACTTATTTGAGATGTGTGTACTCAACTAAGAGAATTGAACCACCGTTTTGAAGGAGCAGTTTTGAAACACTCTTTTTCTGGAATCTGCAAGTGGATATTTGGCTAGCTTTGGGGATTTCGCTGGAAGCGGGAATACATATAAAAAGCACACAGCAGCGTTCTGAGAAACTGCTTTCTGATGTTTGCATTCAAGTCAAAAGTTGAACACTCCCTTTCATAGAGCAGTCCTGAAACACTCCTTTTGTAGTATCTGGAACTGGACTTTTGGAGCGCTTTCAGGGCTAAGGTGAAAAAGGAAATATCTTCCCATAAAAACTGGACAGAAGCATTCTCAGAAACTTGTTTATGCTGTATCTACTCAACTAACAAAGTTGAACCTTTCTTTTGATAGAGCAGTTTTGAAATGCTCTTTTTGTGGAATCTGCAAGTGGATATTTGGCTAGTTTTGAGGATTTCGTTGGAAGCGGGAATTCATACAAATTGCAGACTGCAGCGTTCTGAGAAACATCTTTGTGATGTTTGTATTCAGGACAGAGAGTTGAACATTCCCTATCATAGAGCAGGTTGGAATCACTCCTTTTGTAGTATCTGGAAGTGGACATTTGGAGCGCTTTCAGGCCTATGTTGAAAAAGGAAATATCTTCCCATAACAACTAGACACAAGCATTCTCAGAAACTTGTTTGTGATGTGTGCCCTCTACTGACAGAGTTGAACCTTTCTTTTCATAGAGCAGTTTTGAAACACTCTTTTTGTAGAATCTGCAAGAGGATATTTGCATAGCTTTGAGGATTTCGTGGGAAACGGGATTGTCTTCAGGTAAAATCTAGACAGAAGCATTCTCAGAAACTTCTTTGGGATGTTTGCATTCAAGTCACAGAGTAGAACATTCCCTTTGGTAGAGCAGGTTTGAAACACTCTTTTTGTAGTATCTGGAAGTGGACATTTGGAGCGCTTTCAGGCCTATGTTGGAAAGGGAAATATCTTCCCGTAACAACTAGGCAGAAGCATTCTCAGAAACTTATTTGAGATGTGTGTACTCAACTAAGAGAATTGAACCACCGTTTTGAAGGAGCAGTTTTGAAACACTCTTTTTCTGGAATCTGCAAGAGGATATTTGCCTAGCCTTGAGGATTTCGTTGGAAACGGGATTGTCTTCAGATCAAATCTAGACAGAAGCATTCTCAGAAACTTCTTTGGGATGTTTGCATTCAAGTCACAGAGTAGAACATTCCCTTTGGTAGAGCAGGTTTGAAACACTCTTTTTTTAGTATATGAAAGTGGACATTTGGGAGCGCTTTCAGGCCTACGTTGGAAAAGGAAATATCTTCCCATAACAACTAGACAGAAGCATTCTCAGAAACTAGTTTCTGATGTGTGTCCTCAACTAACACAGTTGAACATTTCTTTAGACAGAACAGTTTTGAAACACTCTTTTTGTGGAATCTGCAAGAGGCTATTTGGCTAGATTTGAGGATTTCGTTGGAAACGGGATTACATATAAAAAGCAGTCAGCAGCATTCTCAGAAAGTTCTTTGTGATGATTGCATTCAAGTCACAGAATTGAACATTCCCTTTCACAGAGCAGGTTTGAAACACTCTTTTTGTAGTGTGTGTAAGTGGACATTTGGAGCACTTACCGGCCTAAGGTGAAAAAGGAAATAATCTTCCCATAAAAACTAGACAGAAGCATTCTCAGAAACTTACTCGTGATGTGTGTCCTCAACTAAAGGAGTAGAACCTTTCTTTTCATAGAGAAGTTTTGAAACGCTCTTTTTGTGGAATCTGCAAGTGGATATTTGGCTAGTTTTGAGGATTTCGTTGGAAGCGGGAATTCATACAAATTGCAGACTGCAGCGTTCTGAGAAACATCTTTGTGATGTTTGTATTCAGGACACAGAGTTGAACATTCCCTATCATAGAGCAGGTTGGAATCACTCCTTTTGTAGTATCTGGAAGTGGACATTTGGAGCGCTTTCAGGCCTATGTTGGAAAAGGAAATATCTTCCCATAACAACTAGACAGAAGCATTCTCAGAAACTTATTTGAGATGTGTGTACTCAACTAAGAGAATTGAACCACCGTTTTGAAGGAGCAGTTTTGAAACACTCTTTTTCTGGAATCTGCAAGTGGATATTTGGCTAGCTTTGGGGATTTCGCTGGAAGCGGGAATACATATAAAAAGCACACAGCAAGCGTTCTGAGAAACTGCTTTCTGATGTTTGCATTCAAGTCAAAAGTTGAACACTCCCTTTCATAGAGCAGTCTTGAAACACCCCTTTTGTAGTATCTGGAACTGGACTTTTGGAGCGATTTCAGGGCTAAGGTGAAAAAGGAAATATCTTCCCATAAAAACTGGACAGAAGCATTCTCAGAAACTTGTTTATGCTGTATCTACTCAACTAACAAAGTTGAACCTTTCTTTTGATAGAGCAGTTTTGAAATGGTCTTTTTGTGGAATCTGCAAGTGGATATTTGGCTAGTTTTGAGGATTTCGTTGGAAGCGGGAATTCATACAAATTGCAGACTGCAGCGTTTTGAGAAACATCTTTGTGATGTTTGTATTCAGGACACAGAGATGAACATTCCCTATCATAGAGCAGGTTGGAATCACTCCTTTTGTAGTATCTGGAAGTGGACATTTGGAGCGCTTTCAGGCCTATGTTGAAAAAGGAAATATCTTCCCATAACAACTAGACACAAGCATTCTCAGAAACTTGTTTGTGATGTGTGCCCTCTACTGACAGAGTTGAACCTTTCTTTTCATAGAGCAGTTTTGAAACACTCTTTTTGTAGAATCTGCAAGAGGATATTTGCATAGCTTTGAGGATTTCGTGGGAAACGGGATTGTCTTCAGGTAAAATCTAGACAGAAGCATTCTCAGAAACTTCTTTGGGATGTTTGCATTCAAGTCACAGAGTAGAACATTCCCTTTGGTAGAGCAGGTTTGAAACACTCTTTTTGTAGTATCTGGAAGTGGACATTTGGAGCGCTTTCAGGCCCATGTTGGAAAGGGAAATATCTTCCCGTAACAACTAGGCAGAAGCATTCTCAGAAACTTATTTGAGATGTGTGTACTCAACTAAGAGAATTGAACCACCGTTTTGAAGGAGCAGTTTTGAAACACTCTTTTTCTGGAATCTGCAAGAGTATATTTGCCTAGCCTTGAGGATTTCGTTGGAAACGGGATTGTCTTCAGAGAAAATCTAGACAGAAGCATTCTCAGAAACTTCTTTGGGATGCTTGCATTCAAGTCACAGAGTAGAACATTCCCTTTGGTAGAGCAGGTTTGAAACACTCTTTTTGTAGTATCTGGAAGTGGACATTTGGAGCGCTTTCAGGCCTACGTTGGAAAAGGAAATATCTTCCCATAACAACTAGACAGAAGCATTCTCAGAAACTAGTTTCTGATGTGTGTCCTCAACTAACACAGTTGAACATTTCTTTAGACAGAACAGTTTTGAAACACTCTTTTTGTGGAATCTGCAAGTGGCTATTTGGCTAGATTTGAGGATTTCGTTGGAAACGGGATTACATATAAAAAGCAGTCAGCGGCATTCTCAGAAAGTTCTTTGTGATGATTGCATTCAAGTCACAGAATTGAACATTCCCTTTCACAGAGCAGGTTTGAAACACTCTTTTTGTAGTGTGTGTAAGTGGACATTTGGAGCACTTACCGGCCTAAGGTGAAAAAGGAAATATCTTCCCATAAAAACTAGACAGAAGCATTCTCAGAAACTTACTCGTGATGTGTGTCCTCAACTAAAGGAGTAGAACCTTTCTTTTCATAGAGAAGTTTTGAAACGCTCTTTTTGTGGAATCTGCAAGTGGATATTTGGCTAGTTTTGAGGATTTCGTTGGAAGCGGGAATTCATACAAATTGCAGACTGCAGCGTTCTGAGAAACATCTTTGTGATGTTTGTATTCAGGACACAGAGTTGAACATTCCCTATCATAGAGCAGGTTTGAATCACTCCTTTTGTAGTATCTGGAAGTGGACATTTGGAGCGCTTTCAGGCCTATGTTGGAAAAGGAAATATCTTCCCATAACAACTAGACAGAAGCATTCTCAGAAACTTATTTGAGATGTGTGTACTCAACTAAGAGAATTGAACCACCGTTTTGAAGGAGCAGTTTTGAAACTCTCTTTTTCTGGAATCTGCAAGTGGATATTTGGCTAGCTTTGGGGATTTCGCTGGAAGCGGGAATACATATAAAAAGCACACAGCAGCGTTCTGAGAAACTGCTTTCTGATGTTTGCATTCAAGTCAAAAGTTGAACACTCCCTTTCATAGGGCAGTCCTGAAACACCCCTTTTGTAGTATCTGGAACTGGACTTTTGGAGCGATTTCAGGGCTAAGGTGAAAAAGGAAATATCTTCCCATAAAAACTGGACAGAAGCATTCTCAGAAACTTGTTTATGCTGTATCTACTCAACTAACAAAGTTGAACCTTTCTTTTGATAGAGCAGTTTTGAAATGGTCTTTTTGTGGAATCTGCAAGTGGATATTTGGCTAGTTTTGAGGATTTCGTTGGAAGCGGGAATTCATACAAATTGCAGACTGCAGCGTTCTGAGAAACATCTTTGTGATGTTTGTATTCAGGACACAGAGTTGAACATTCCCTATCATAGAGCAGGTTGGAATCACTCCTTTTGTAGTATCTGGAAGTGGACATTTGGAGCGCTTTCAGGCCTATTTTGGAAAGGGAAATATCTTCCCGTAACAACTATGCAGAAGCATTCTCAGAAACTTGTTTGTGATGTGTGCCCTCTACTGACAGAGTTGAACCTTTCTTTTCATAGAGCAGTTTTGAAACACTCTTTTTGTAGAATCTGCAAGAGGATATTTGCATAGCTTTGAGGATTTCGTGGGAAACGGGATTGTCTTCAGGTAAAATCTAGACAGAAGCATTCTCAGCAAACTTCTTTGGGATGTTTGCATTCAAGTCACAGAGTAGAACATTCCCTTTGGTAGAGCAGGTTTGAAACACTCTTTTTGTAGTATCTGAAAGTGGACATTTGGAGCGCTTTCAGGCCCATGTTGGAAAGGGAAATATCTTCCCGTAACAACTAGGCAGAAGCATTCTCAGAAACTTATTTGAGATGTGTGTACTCAACTAAGAGAATTGAACCACCGTTTTGAAGGAGCAGTTTTGAAACACTCTTTTTCTGGAATCTGCAAGAGTATATTTGCCTAGCCTTGAGGATTTCGTTGGAAACGGGATTGTCTTCAGAGAAAATCTAGACAGAAGCATTCTCAGAAACTTCTTTGGGATGTTTGCATTCAAGTCACAGAGTAGAACATTCCCTTTGGTAGAGCAGGTTTGAAACACTCTTTTTGTAGTATCTGGAAGTGGACATTTGGAGCGCTTTCAGGCCTACGTTGGAAAAGGAAATATCTTCCCATAACAACTAGACAGAAGCATTCTCAGAAACTAGTTTCTGATGTGTGTCCTCAACTAACACAGTTGAACATTTCTTTAGACAGAACAGTTTTGAAACACTCTTTTTGTGGAATCTGCAAGTGGCTATTTGGCTAGATTTGAGGATTTCGTTGGAAACGGGATTACATATAAAAAGCAGTCAGCAGCATTCTCAGAAAGTTCTTTGTGATGATTGCATTCAAGTCACAGAATTGAACATTCCCTTTCACAGAGCAGGTTTGAAACACTCTTTTTGTAGTGTGTGTAAGTGGACATTTGGAGCACTTACCGGCCTAAGGTGAAAAAGGAAATATCTTCCCATAAAAACTAGACAGAAGCATTCTCAGAAACTTACTCGTGATGTGTGTCCTCAACTAAAGGAGTAGAACCTTTCTTTTCATAGAGAAGTTTTGAAACGCTCTTTTTGTGGAATCTGCAAGTGGATATTTGGCTAGTTTGGAGGATTTCGTTGGAAGCGGGAATTCATACAAATTGCAGACTGCAGCGTTCTGAGAAACATCTTTGTGATGTTTGTATTCAGGACACAGAGTTGAACATTCCCTATCATAGAGCAGGTTTGAATCACTCCTTTTGTAGTATCTGGAAGTGGACATTTGGAGCGCTTCAGGCCTATGTTGGAAAAGGAAATATCTTCCCATAACAACTAGACAGAAGCATTCTCAGAAACTTATTTGAGATGTGTGTACTCAACTAAGAGAATTGAACCACCGTTTTGAAGGAGCAGTTTTGAAACTCTCTTTTTCTGGAATCTGCAAGTGGATATTTGGCTAGCTTTGGGGATTTCGCTGGAAGCGGGAATACATATAAAAAGCACACAGCAGCGTTCGGAGAAACTGCTTTCTGATGTTTGCATTCAAGTCAAAAGTTGAACACTCCCTTTCATAGAGCAGTCTTGAAACACCCCTTTTGTAGTATCTGGAACTGGACTTTTGGAGCGATTTCAGGGCTAAGGTGAAAAAGGAAATATCTTCCCATAAAAACTGGACAGAAGCATTCTCAGAAACTTGTTTATGCTGTATCTACTCAACTAACAAAGTTGAACCTTTCTTTTGATAGAGCAGTTTTGAAATGGTCTTTTTGTGGAATCTGCAAGTGGATATTTGGCTAGTTTTGAGGATTTCGTTGGAAGCGGGAATTCATACAAATTGCAGACTGCAGCGTTCTGAGAAACATCTTTGTGATGTTTGTATTCAGGACACAGAGTTGAACATTCCCTATCATAGAGCAGGTTGGAATCACTCCTTTTGTAGTATCTGGAAGTGGACATTTGGAGCGCTTTCAGGCCTATTTTGGAAAGGGAAATATCTTCCCGTAACAACTATGCAGAAGCATTCTCAGAAACTTGTTTGTGATGTGTGCCCTCTACTGACAGAGTTGAACCTTTCTTTTCATAGAGCAGTTTTGAAACACTCTTTTTGTAGAATCTGCAAGAGGATATTTGCATAGCTTTGAGGATTTCATGGGAAACGGGATTGTCTTCAGGTAAAATCTAGACAGAAGCATTCTCAGAAACTTCTTTGGGATGTTTGCATTCAAGTCACAGAGTAGAACATTCCCTTTGGTAGAGCAGGTTTGAAACACTCTTTTTGTAGTATCTGGAAGTGGACATTTGGAGCGCTTTCAGGCCCATGTTGGAAAGGGAAATATCTTCCCGTAACAACTAGGCAGAAGCATTCTCAGAAACTTATTTGAGATGTGTGTACTCAACTAAGAGAATTGAACCACCGTTTTGAAGGAGCAGTTTTGAAACACTCTTTTTCTGGAATCTGCAAGAGTATATTTGCCTAGCCTTGAGGATTTCGTGGGAAACGGGATTGTCTTCAGGTAAAATCTAGACAGAAGCATTCTCAGAAACTTCTTTGGGATGTTTGCATTCAAGTCACAGAGTAGAACATTCCCTTTGGTAGAGCAGGTTTGAAACACTCTTTTTGTAGTATCTGGAAGTGGACATTTGGAGCGCTTTCAGGCCCATGTTGGAAAGGGAAATATCTTCCCGTAACAAATAGGCAGAAGCATTCTCAGAAACTTATTTGAGATGTGTGTACTCAACTAAGAGAATTGAACCACCGTTTTGAAGGAGCAGTTTTGAAACACTCTTTTTCTGGAATCTGCAAGAGTATATTTGCCTAGCCTTGAGGATTTCGTTGGAAACGGGATTGTCTTCAGATCAAATCTAGACAGAAGCATTCTCAGAAACTTCTTTGGGATGTTTGCATTCAAGTCACAGAGTAGAACATTCCCTTTGGTAGAGCAGGTTTGAAACACTCTTTTTTTAGTATATGGAAGTGGACATTTGGAGCGCTTTCAGGCCTACGTTGGAAAAGGAAATATCTTCCCATAACAACTAGACAGAAGCATTCTCAGAAACTAGTTTCTGATGTGTGTCCTCAACTAACACAGTTGAACATTTCTTTAGACAGAACAGTTTTGAAACTCTCTTTTTGTGGAATCTGCAAGTGGCTATTTGGCTAGATTTGAGGATTTCGTTGGAAACGGGATTACATATAAAAAGCAGTCAGCAGCATTCTCAGAAAGTTCTTTGTGATGATTGCATTCAAGTCACAGAATTGAACATTCCCTTTCACAGAGCAGGTTTGAAACACTCTTTTTGTAGTGTGTGTAAGTGGACATTTGGAGCACTTTCCGGCCTAAGGTGAAAAAGGAAATATCTTCTCATAAAAACTAGACAGAAGCATTCTCAGAAACTTACTCGTGATGTGTGTCCTCAACTAAAGGAGTAGAACCTTTCTTTTCATAGAGAAGTTTTGAAACGCTCTTTTTGTGGAATCTGCAAGTGGATATTTGGCTAGTTTTGAGGATTTCGTTGGAAGCGGGAATTCATACAAATTGCAGACTGCAGCGTTCTGAGAAACATCTTTGTGATGTTTGTATTCAGGACACAGAGTTGAACATTCCCTATCTTAGAGCAGGTTTGAATCACTCCTTTTGTAGTATCTGGAAGTGGACATTTGGAGCGCTTTCAGGCCTATGTTGGAAAAGGAAATATCTTCCCATAACAACTAGACAGAAGCATTCTCAGAAACTTATTTGAGATGTGTGTACTCAACTAAGAGAATTGAACCACCGTTTTGAAGGAGCAGTTTTGAAACACTCTTTTTCTGGAATCTGCAAGTGGATATTTGGCTAGCTTTGGGGATTTCGCTGGAAGCGGGAATACATATAAAAAGCACACAGCAGCGTTCTGAGAAACTGCTTTCTGATGTTTGCATTCAAGTCAAAAGTTGAACACTCCCTTTCATAGAGCAGTCTTGAAACACCCCTTTTGTAGTATCTGGAACTGGACTTTTGGAGCGATTTCAGGGCTAAGGTGAAAAAGGAAATATCTTCCCATAAAAACTGGACAGAAGCATTCTCAGAAACTTGTTTATGCTGTATCTACTCAACTAACAAAGTTGAACCTTTCTTTTGATAGAGCAGTTTTGAAATGGTCTTTTTGTGGAATCTGCAAGTGGATATTTGGCTAGTTTTGAGGATTTCGTTGGAAGCGGGAATTCATACAAATTGCAGACTGCAGCGTTCTGAGAAACATCTTTGTGATGTTTGTATTCAGGACACAGAGTTGAACATTCCCTATCATAGAGCAGGTTGGAATCACTCCTTTTGTAGTATCTGGAAGTGGACATTTGGAGCGCTTTCAGGCCTATGTTGGAAAAGGAAATATCTTCCCATAACAACTAGACAGAAGCATTCTCAGAAACTTATTTGAGATGTGTGTACTCAACTAAGAGAATTGAACCACCGTTTTGAAGGAGCAGTTTTGAAACTCTCTTTTTCTGGAATCTGCAAGTGGATATTTGGCTAGCTTTGGGGATTTCGCTGGAAGCGGGAATACATATAAAAAGCACACAGCAGCGTTCTGAGAAACTGCTTTCTGATGTTTGCATTCAAGTCAAAAGTTGAACACTCCCTTTCATAGAGCAGTCTTGAAACACCCCTTTTGTAGTATCTGGAACTGGACTTTTGGAGCGATTTCAGGGCTAAGGTGAAAAAGGAAATATCTTCCCATAAAAACTGGACAGAAGCATTCTCAGTAAACTTGTTTATGCTGTATCTACTCAACTAACAAAGTTGAACCTTTCTTTTGATAGAGCAGTTTTGAAATGGTCTTTTTGTGGAATCTGCAAGTGGATATTTGGCTAGTTTTGAGGATTTCGTTGGAAGCGGGAATTCATACAAATTGCAGACTGCAGCATTCTCAGAAACTTATTTGAGATGTGTGTACTCAACTAAGAGAATTGAACCACCGTTTTGAAGGAGCAGTTTTGAAACACTCTTTTTCTGGAATCTGCAAGTGGATATTTGGCTAGCTTTGGGGATTTCGCTGGAAGCGGGAATACATATAAAAAGCACACAGCAGCGTTCTGAGAAACTGCTTTCTGATGTTTGCATTCAAGTCAAAAGTTGAACAATCCCTTTCATAGAGCAGTCTTGAAACACCCCTTTTGTAGTATCAGGAACTGGACATTTGGAGCGCTTTCAGGGCTAAGGTGCAAAAGGAAATATCTTCCCATAAAAACTGGACAGAAGCATTCTCAGAAACTTGTTTATGCTGTATCTACTCAACTAACAAAGTTGAACCTTTCTTTTGATAGAGCAGTTTTGAAATGCTCTTTTTGTGGAATCTGCAAGTGGATATTTGGCTAGGTTTGAGGATTTCGTTGGAAGCGGGAATTCATACAAATTGCAGACTGCAGCGTTCTGAGAAACATCTTTGTGATGTTTGTATTCAGGACACAGAGATGAACATTCCCTATCATAGAGCATGTTGGAATCACTCCTTTTGTAGCATCTGGAAGTGGACATTTGGAGCGCTTTCAGGCCTATGTTGAAAAAGGAAATATCTTCCCATAAAAACTAGACACAAGCATTCTCAGAAACTTGTTTGTGATGTGTGCCCTCTACTGACAGAGTTGAACCTTTCTTTTCATAGAGCAGTTTTGAAACACTCTTTTTGTAGAATCTGCAAGAGGATATTTGCATAGCTTTGAGGATTTCGTGGGAAACGGGATTGTCTTCAGGTAAAATCTAGACAGAAGCATTCTCAGAAACTTCTTTGGGATGTTTGCATTCAAGTCACAGAGTAGAACATTCCCTTTGGTAGAGCAGGTTTGAAACACTCTTTTTGTAGTATCTGGAAGTGGACATTTGGAGCGCTTTCAGGCCTATGTTGGAAAGGGAAATATCTTCCCGTAACAACTAGGCAGAAGCATTCTCAGAAACTTATTTGAGATGTGTGTACTCAACTAAGAGAATTGAACCACCGTTTTGAAGGAGCAGTTTTGAAACACTCTTTTTCTGGAATCTGCAAGAGTATATTTGCCTAGCCTTGAGGATTTCGTTGGAAACGGGATTGTCTTCAGAGAAAATCTAGACAGAAGCATTCTCAGAAACTTCTTTGGGATGTTTGCATTCAAGTCACAGAGTAGAACATTCCCTTTGGTAGAGCAGGTTTGAAACACTCTTTTTTTAGTATATGGAAGTGGACATTTGGAGCGCTTTCAGGCCTACGTTGGAAAAGGAAATATCTTCCCATAACAACTAGACAGAAGCATTCTCAGAAACTAGTTTCTGATGTGTGTCCTCAACTAACACAGTTGAACATTTCTTTAGACAGAACAGTTTTGAAACACTCTTTTTGTGGAATCTGCAAGTGGCTATTTGGCTAGATTTGAGGATTTCGTTGGAAACGGGATTACATATAAAAAGCAGTCAGCAGCATTCTCAGAAAGTTCTTTGTGATGATTGCATTCAAGTCACAGAATTGAACATTCCCTTTCACAGAGCAGGTTTGAAACACTCTTTTTGTAGTGTGTGTAAGTGGACATTTGGAGCACTTACCGGCCTAAGGTGAAAAAGGAAATATCTTCCCATAAAAACTAGACAGAAGCATTCTCAGAAACTTACTCGTGATGTGTGTCCTCAACTAAAGGAGTAGAACCTTTCTTTTCATAGAGAAGTTTTGAAACGCTCTTTTTGTGGAATCTGCAAGTGGATATTTGGCTAGTTTTGAGGATTTCGTTGGAAGCGGGAATTCATACAAATTGCAGACTGCAGCGTTCTGAGAAACATCTTTGTGATGTTTGTATTCAGGACACAGAGTTGAACATTCCCTATCATAGAGCAGGTTGGAATCACTCCTTTTGTAGTATCTGGAAGTGGACATTTGGAGCGCTTTCAGGCCTATGTTGGAAAAGGAAATATCTTCCCATAACAACTAGACAGAAGCATTCTCAGAAACTTATTTGAGATGTGTGTACTCAACTAAGAGAATTGAACCACCGTTTTGAAGGAGCAGTTTTGAAACTCTCTTTTTCTGGAATCTGCAAGTGGATATTTGGCTAGCTTTGGGGATTTCGCTGGAAGCGGGAATACATATAAAAAGCACACAGCAGCGTTCGGAGAAACTGCTTTCTGATGTTTGCATTCAAGTCAAAAGTTGAACACTCCCTTTCATAGAGCAGTCTTGAAACACCCCTTTTGTAGTATCTGGAACTGGACTTTTGGAGCGATTTCAGGGCTAAGGTGAAAAAGGAAATATCTTCCCATAAAAACTGGACAGAAGCATTCTCAGAAACTTGGTTATGCTGTATCTACTCAACTAACAAAGTTGAACCTTTCTTTTGATAGAGCAGTTTTGAAATGGTCTTTTTGTGGAATCTGCAAGTGGATATTTGGCTAGTTTTGAGGATTTCGTTGGAAGCGGGAATTCATACAAATTGCAGACTGCAGCGTTCTGAGAAACATCTTTGTGATGTTTGTATTCAGGACACAGAGTTGAACATTCCCTATCATAGAGCAGGTTGGAATCACTCCTTTTGTAGTATCTGGAAGTGGACATTTGGAGCGCTTTCAGGCCTATTTTGGAAAGGGAAATATCTTCCCGTAACAACTATGCAGAAGCATTCTCAGAAACTTGTTTGTGATGTGTGCCCTCTACTGACAGAGTTGAACCTTTCTTTTCATAGAGCAGTTTTGAAACACTCTTTTTGTAGAATCTGCAAGAGGATATTTGCATAGCTTTGAGGATTTCGTGGGAAACGGGATTGTCTTCAGGTAAAATCTAGACAGAAGCATTCTCAGAAACTTCTTTGGGATGTTTGCATTCAAGTCACAGAGTAGAACATTCCCTTTGGTAGAGCAGGTTTGAAACACTCTTTTTGTAGTATCTGGAAGTGGACATTTGGAGCGCTTTCAGGCCCATGTTGGAAAGGGAAATATCTTCCCGTAACAACTAGGCAGAAGCATTCTCAGAAACTTATTTGAGATGTGTGTACTCAACTAAGAGAATTGAACCACCGTTTTGAAGGAGCAGTTTTGAAACACTCTTTTTCTGGAATCTGCAAGAGTATATTTGCCTAGCCTTGAGGATTTCGTTGGAAACGGGATTGTCTTCAGAGAAAATCTAGACAGAAGCATTCTCAGAAACTTCTTTGGGATGCTTGCATTCAAGTCACAGAGTAGAACATTCCCTTTGGTAGAGCAGGTTTGAAACACTCTTTTTGTAGTATCTGGAAGTGGACATTTGGAGCGCTTTCAGGCCTACGTTGGAAAAGGAAATATCTTCCCATAACAACTAGACAGAAGCATTCTCAGAAACTAGTTTCTGATGTGTGTCCTCAACTAACACAGTTGAACATTTCTTTAGACAGAACAGTTTTGAAACACTCTTTTTGTGGAATCTGCAAGTGGCTATTTGGCTAGATTTGAGGATTTCGTTGGAAACGGGATTACATATAAAAAGCAGTCAGCGGCATTCTCAGAAAGTTCTTTGTGATGATTGCATTCAAGTCACAGAATTGAACATTCCCTTTCACAGAGCAGGTTTGAAACACTCTTTTTGTAGTGTGTGTAAGTGGACATTTGGAGCACTTACCGGCCTAAGGTGAAAAAGGAAATATCTTCCCATAAAAACTAGACAGAAGCATTCTCAGAAACTTACTCGTGATGTGTGTCCTCAACTAAAGGAGTAGAACCTTTCTTTTCATAGAGAAGTTTTGAAACGCTCTTTTTGTGGAATCTGCAAGTGGATATTTGGCTAGTTTGGAGGATTTCGTTGGAAGCGGGAATTCATACAAATTGCAGACTGCAGCGTTCTGAGAAACATCTTTGTGATGTTTGTATTCAGGACACAGAGTTGAACATTCCCTATCATAGAGCAGGTTTGAATCACTCCTTTTGTAGTATCTGGAAGTGGACATTTGGAGCGCTTTCAGGCCTATGTTGGAAAAGGAAATATCTTCCCATAACAACTAGACAGAAGCATTCTCAGAAACTTATTTGAGATGTGTGTACTCAACTAAGAGAATTGAACCACCGTTTTGAAGGAGCAGTTTTGAAACTCTCTTTTTCTGGAATCTGCAAGTGGATATTTGGCTAGCTTTGGGGATTTCGCTGGAAGCGGGAATACATATAAAAAGCACACAGCAGCGTTCTGAGAAACTGCTTTCTGATGTTTGCATTCAAGTCAAAAGTTGAACACTCCCTTTCATAGGGCAGTCCTGAAACACCCCTTTTGTAGTATCTGGAACTGGACTTTTGGAGCGATTTCAGGGCTAAGGTGAAAAAGGAAATATCTTCCCATAAAAACTGGACAGAAGCATTCTCAGAAAGTTATTTGAGATGGGTGTACTCAACTAAGAGAATTGAACCACCGTTTTCAAGGAGCAGTTTTGAAACGCTCTTTTTCTGGAATCTGCAAGTGGATATTTGGCTAGCTTTGGGGATTTCGCTGGAAGCGGGAATACATATAAAAAACACACAGCAGCGTTCTGAGAAACTGCTTTCTGATGTTTGCATTCAAGTCAAAAGTTGAACACTCCCTTTCATAGAGCAGTCTTGAAACACCCCTTTTGTAGTATCTGGAACTGGACTTTTGGAGCGATTTCAGGGCTAAGGTGAAAAAGGAAATATCTTCCCATAAAAACTGGACAGAAGCATTCTCAGAAACTTGTTTATGCTGTATCTACTCAACTAAAAAAGTTGAACCTTTCTTTTGATAGAGCAGTTTTGAAATGGTCTTTTTGTGGAATCTGCAAGTGGATATTTGGCTAGTTTTGAGGATTTCGTTGGAAGCGGGAATTCATACAAATTGCAGACTGCAGCGTTCTGAGAAACATCTTTGTGATGTTTGTATTCAGGACACAGAGTTGAACATTCCCTATCATAGAGCAGGTTGGAATCACTCCTTTTGTAGTATCTGGAAGTGGACATTTGGAGCGCTTTCAGGCCTATTTTGGAAAGGGAAATATCTTCCCGTAACAACTATGCAGAAGCATTCTCAGAAACTTGTTTGTGATGTGTGCCCTCTACTGACAGAGTTGAACCTTTCTTTTCATAGAGCAGTTTTGAAACACTCTTTTTGTAGAATCTGCAAGAGGATATTTGCATAGCTTTGAGGATTTCGTGGGAAACGGGATTGTCTTCAGGTAAAATCTAGACAGAAGCATTCTCAGAAACTTCTTTGGGATGTTTGCATTCAAGTCACAGAGTAGAACATTCCCTTTGGTAGAGCAGGTTTGAAACACTCTTTTTTTAGTATCTGGAAGTGGACATTTGGAGCGCTTTCAGGCCTACGTTGGAAAAGGAAATATCTTCCCATAACAACTAGACAGAAGCATTCTCAGAAACTAGTTTCTGATGTGTGTCCTCAACTAACACAGTTGAACATTTCTTTAGACAGAACAGTTTTGAAACACTCTTTTTGTGGAATCTGCAAGTGGCTATTTGGCTAGATTTGAGGATTTCGTTGGAAACGGGATTACATATAAAAAGCAGTCAGCAGCATTCTCAGAAAGTTCTTTGTGATGATTGCATTCAAGTCACAGAATTGAACATTCCCTTTCACAGAGCAGGTTTGAAACACTCTTTTTGTAGTGTGTGTAAGTGGACATTTGGAGCACTTACCGGCCTAAGGTGAAAAAGGAAATATCTTCCCATAAAAACTAGACAGAAGCATTCTCAGAAACTTACTCGTGATGTGTGTCCTCAACTAAAGGAGTAGAACCTTTCTTTTCATAGAGAAGTTTTGAAACGCTCTTTTTGTGGAATCTGCAAGTGGATATTTGGCTAGTTTTGAGGATTTCGTTGGAAGCGGGAATTCATACAAATTGCAGACTGCAGCGTTCTGAGAAACATCTTTGTGATGTTTGTATTCAGGACACAGAGTTGAACATTCCCTATCATAGAGCAGGTTGGAATCACTCCTTTTGTAGTATCTGGAAGTGGACATTTGGAGCGCTTTCAGGCCTATTTTGGAAAGGGAAATATCTTCCCGTAACAACTATGCAGAAGCATTCTCAGAAACTTATTTGAGATGTGTGTACTCAACTAAGAGAATTGAACCACCGTTTTGAAGGAGCAGTTTTGACACACTCTTTTTCTGGAATCTGCAAGTGGATATTTGGCTAGCTTTGGGGATTTCGCTGGAAGCGGGAATACATATAAAAAGCACACAGCAGCATTCTCAGAAACTTATTTGAGATGTGTGTACTCAACTAAGAGAATTGAACCACCGTTTTGAAGGAGCAGTTTTGAAACACTCTTTTTCTGGAATCTGCAAGTGGATATTTGGCTAGCTTTGGGGATTTCGCTGGAAGCGGGAATACATATAAAAAGCACACAGCAGCGTTCTGAGAAACTGCTTTCTGATGTTTGCATTCAAGTCAAAAGTTGAACACTCCCTTTCATAGAGCAGTCCTGAAACACTCCTTTTGTAGTATCTGGAACTGGACTTTTGGAGCGCTTTCAGGGCTAAGGTGAAAAAGGAAATATCTTCCCATAAAAACTGGACAGAAGCATTCTCAGAAACTTGTTTATGCTGTATCTACTCAACTAACAAAGTTGAACCTTTCTTTTGATAGAGCAGTTTTGAAATGCTCTTTTTGTGGAATCTGCAAGTGGATATTTGGCTAGTTTTGAGGATTTCGTTGGAAGCGGGAATTCATACAAATTGCAGACTGCAGCGTTCTGAGAAACATCTTTGTGATGTTTCTATTCAGGACACAGAGATGAACATTCCCTATCATAGAGCAGGTTGGAATCACTCCTTTTGTAGTATCTGGAAGTGGACATTTGGAGCGCTTTCAGGCCTATGTTGAAAAAGGAAATATCTTCCCATAACAACTAGACACAAGCATTCTCAGAAACTTGTTTGTGATGTGTGCCCTCTACTGACAGAGTTGAACCTTTCTTTTCATAGAGCAGTTTTGAAACACTCTTTTTGTAGAATCCGCAAGAGGATATTTGCATAGCTTTGAGGATTTCGTGGGAAACGGGATTGTCTTCAGGTAAAATGTAGACAGAAGCATTCTCAGAAACTTCTTTGGGATGTTTGCATTCAAGTCACAGAGTAGAACATTCCCTTTGGTAGAGCAGGTTTGAAACACTCTTTTTGTAGTATCTGGAAGTGGACATTTGGAGCGCTTTCAGGCCCATGTTGGAAAGGGAAATATCTTCCCGTAACAACTAGGCAGAAGCATTCTCAGAAACTTATTTGAGATGTGTGTACTCAACTAAGAGAATTGAACCACCGTTTTGAAGGAGCAGTTTTGAAACCCTCTTTTTCTGGAATCTGCAAGAGTATATTTGCCTAGCCTTGAGGATTTCGTTGGAAACGGGATTGTCTTCAGATAAAATCTAGACAGAAGCATTCTCAGAAACTTCTTTGGGATGTTTGCATTCAAGTCACAGAGTAGAACATTCCCTTTGGTAGAGCAGGTTTGAAACACTCTTTTTTTAGTATATGGAAGTGGACATTTGGAGCGCTTTCAGGCCTACGTTGGAAAAGGAAATATCTTCCCATAACAACTAGACAGAAGCATTCTCAGAAACTAGTTTCTGATGTGTGTCCTCAACTAACACAGTTGTACATTTCTTTAGACAGAACAGTTTTGAAACACTCTTTTTGTGGAATCTGCAAGTGGATATTTGGCTAGATTTGAGGATTTCGTTGGAAACGGGATTACATATAAAAAGCAGACAGCAGCATTCTCCGAAAGTTCTTTGTGATGATTGCATTCAAGTCACAGAATTGAACATTCCCTTTCACAGAGCAGGTTTGAAACACTCTTTTTGTAGTGTGTGTAAGTGGACATTTGGAGCACTTACCGGCCTAAGGTGAAAAAGGAAATATCTTCCCATAAAAACTAGACAGAAGCATTCTCAGAAACTTACTCGTGATGTGTGTCCTCAACTAAAGGAGTAGAACCTTTCTTTTCATAGAGAAGTTTTGAAACGCTCTTTTTGTGGAATCTGCAAGTGGATATTTGGCTAGTTTGGAGGATTTCGTTGGAAGCGGGAATTCATACAAATTGCAGACTGCAGCGTTCTGAGAAACATCTTTGTGATGTTTGTATTCAGGACACAGAGTTGAACATTCCCTATCATAGAGCAGGTTGGAATCACTCCTTTTGTAGTATCTGGAAGTGGACATTTGGAGCGCTTTCAGGCCTATGTTGGAAAAGGAAATATCTTCCCATAACAACTAGACAGAAGCATTCTCAGAAACTTATTTGAGATGTGTGTACTCAACTAAGAGAATTGAACCACCGTTTTGAAGGAGCAGTTTTGAAACACTCTTTTTCTGGAATCTGCAAGTGGATATTTGGCTAGCTTTGGGGATTTCGCTGGAAGCGGGAATACATATAAAAAGCACACAGCAGCGTTCTGAGAAACTGCTTTCTGATGTTTGCATTCAAGTCAAAAGTTGAACACTCCCTTTCATAGAGCAGTCCTGAAACACTCCTTTTGTAGTATCTGGAACTGGACTTTTGGAGCGCTTTCAGGGCTAAGGTGAAAAAGGAAATATCTTCCCATAAAAACTGGACAGAAGCATTCTCAGAAACTTGTTTATGCTGTATCTACTCAACTAACAAAGTTGAACCTTTCTTTTGATAGAGCAGTTTTGAAATGCTCTTTTTGTGGAATCTGCAAGTGGATATTTGGCTAGTTTTGAGGATTTCGTTGGAAGCGGGAATTCATACAAATTGCAGACTGCAGCGTTCTGAGAAACATCTTTGTGATGTTTGTATTCAGGACACAGAGATGAACATTCCCTATCATAGAGCAGGTTGGAATCACTCCTTTTGTAGTATCTGGAAGTGGACATTTGGAGCGCTTTCAGGCCTATGTTGAAAAAGGAAATATCTTCCCATAACAACTAGACACAAGCATTCTCAGAAACTTGTTTGTGATGTGTGCCCTCTGCTGACAGAGTTGAACCTTTCTTTTCATAGAGCAGTTTTGAAACACTCTTTTTGTAGAATCTGCAAGAGGATATTTGCATAGCTTCGAGGATTTCGTGGGAAACGGGATTGTCTTCAGGTAAAATCTAGACAGAAGCATTCTCAGAAACTTCTTTGGGATGTTTGCATTCAAGTCACAGAGTAGAACATTCCCTTTGGTAGAGCAGGTTTGAAACCCTCTTTTTGTAGTATCTGGAAGTGGACATTTGGAGCGCTTTCAGGCCCATGTTGGAAAGGGAAATATCTTCCCGTAACAACGAGGCAGAAGCATTCTCAGAAACTTATTTGAGATGTGTGTACTCAACTAAGAGAATTGAACCACCGTTTTGAAGGAGCAGATTTGAAACACTCTTTTTCTGGAATCTGCAAGAGTATATTTGCCTAGCCTTGAAGATTTCGTTGGAAACGGGATTGTCTTCAGATAAAATCTAGACAGAAGCATTCTCAGAAACTTCTTTGGGATGTTTGCATTCAAGTCACAGAGTAGAACATTCCCTTTGGTAGAGCAGGTTTGAAACACTCTTTTTTTCGTATATGGAAGTGGACATTTGGAGCGCTTTCAGGCCTACGTTGGAAAAGGAAATATCTTCCCATAACAACTAGACAGAAGCATTCTCAGAAACTAGTTTCTGATGTGTGTCCTCAACTAACACAGTTGAACATTTCTTTAGACAGAACAGTTTTGAAACACTCTTTTTGTGGAATCTGCAAGTGGCTATTTGGCTAGATTTGAGGATTTCGTTGGAAACGGGATTACATATAAAAAGCAGCCAGCAGCATTCTCAGAAAGTTCTTTGTGATGATTGCATTCAAGTCACAGAATTGAACATTCCCTTTCACAGAGCAGGTTTGAAACACTCTTTTTGTAGTGTGTGTAAGTGGACATTTGGAGCACTTACCGGCCTAAGGTGAAAAAGGAAATAATCTTCCCATAAAAACTAGACAGAAGCATTCTCAGAAACTTACTCGTGATGTGTGTCCTCAACTAAAGGAGTAGAACCTTTCTTTTCATAGAGAAGTTTTGAAACGCTCTTTTTGTGGAATCTGCAAGTGGATATTTGGCTAGTTTTGAGGATTTCGTTGGAAGCGGGAATTCATACAAATTGCAGACTGCAGCGTTCTGAGAAACATCTTTGTGATGTTTGTATTCAGGACACAGAGTTGAACATTCCCTATCATAGAGCAGGTTTGAATCACTCCTTTTGTAGTATCTGGAAGTGGACATTTGGAGCGCTTTCAGGCCTATGTTGGAAAAGGAAATATCTTCCCATAACAACTAGACAGAAGCATTCTCAGAAACTTATTTGAGATGTGTGTACTCAACTAAGAGAATTGAACCACCGTTTTGAAGGAGCAGTTTTGAAACTCTCTTTTTCTGGAATCTGCAAGTGGATATTTGGCTAGCTTTGGGGATTTCGCTGGAAGCGGGAATACATATAAAAAGCACACAGCAGCGTTCTGAGAAACTGCTTTCTGATGTTTGCATTCAAGTCAAAAGTTGAACACTCCCTTTCATAGAGCAGTCTTGAAACACCCCTTTTGTAGTATCTGGAACTGGACTTTTGGAGCGATTTCAGGGCTAAGGTGAAAAAGGAAATATCTTCCCATAAAAACTGGACAGAAGCATTCTCAGAAACTTGGTTATGCTGTATCTACTCAACTAACAAAGTTGAACCTTTCTTTTGATAGAGCAGTTTTGAAATGGTCTTTTTGTGGAATCTGCAAGTGGATATTTGGCTAGTTTTGAGGATTTCGTTGGAAGCGGGAATTCATACAAATTGCAGACTGCAGCGTTCTGAGAAACATCTTTGTGATGTTTGTATTCAGGACAGAGAGTTGAACATTCCCTATCATAGAGCAGGTTGGAATCACTCCTTTTGTAGTATCTGGAAGTGGACATTTGGAGCGCTTTCAGGCCTATTTTGGAAAGGGAAATATCTTCCCGTAACAACTATGCAGAAGCATTCTCAGAAACTTGTTTGTGATGTGTGCCCTCTACTGACAGAGTTGAACCTTTCTTTTCATAGAGCAGTTTTGAAACACTCTTTTTGTAGAATCTGCAAGAGGATATTTGCATAGCTTTGAGGATTTCGTGGGAAACGGGATTGTCTTCAGGTAAAATCTAGACAGAAGCATTCTCAGAAACTTCTTTGGGATGTTTGCATTCAAGTCACAGAGTAGAACATTCCCTTTGGTAGAGCAGGTTTGAAACACTCTTTTTGTAGTATCTGGAAGTGGACATTTGGAGCGCTTTCAGGCCCATATTGGAAAGGGAAATATCTTCCCGTAACAACTAGGCAGAAGCATTCTCAGAAACTTATTTGAGATGTGTGTACTCAACTAAGAGAATTGAACCACCGTTTTGAAGGAGCAGTTTTGAAACACTCTTTTTCTGGAATCTGCAAGAGTATATTTGCCTAGCCTTGAGGATTTCGTTGGAAACGGGATTGTCTTCAGAGAAAATCTAGACAGAAGCATTCTCAGAAACTTCTTTGGGATGTTTGCATTCAAGTCACAGAGTAGAACATTCCCTTTGGTAGAGCAGGTTTGAAACACTCTTTTTGTAGTATCTGGAAGTGGACATTTGGAGCGCTTTCAGGCCTACGTTGGAAAAGGAAATATCTTCCCATAACAACTAGAAAGAAGCATTCTCAGAAACTAGTTTCTGATGTGTGTCCTCAACTAACACAGTTGAACATTTCTTTAGACAGAACAGTTTTGAAACACTCTTTTTGTGGAATCTGCAAGTGGCTATTTGGCTAGATTTGAGGATTTCGTTGGAAACGGGATTACATATAAAAAGCAGTCAGCAGCATTCTCAGAAACTTCTTTGTGATGATTGCATTCAAGTCACAGAATTGAACATTCCCTTTCACAGAGCAGGTTTGAAACACTCTTTTTGTAGTGTGTGTAAGTGGACATTTGGAGCACTTTCCGGCCTAAGGTGAAAAAGGAAATATCTTCCCATAAAAACTAGACAGAAGCATTCTCAGAAACTTACTCGTGATGTGTGTCCTCAACTAAAGGAGTAGAACCTTTCTTTTCATAGAGAAGTTTTGAAACGCTCTTTTTGTGGAATCTGCAAGTGGATATTTGGCTAGTTTGGAGGATTTCGTTGGAAGCGGGAATTCATACAAATTGCAGACTGCAGCGTTCTGAGAAACATCTTTGTGATGTTTGTATTCAGGACACAGAGTTGAACATTCCCTATCATAGAGCAGGTTTGAATCACTCCTTTTGTAGTATCTGGAAGTGGACATTTGGAGCGCTTTCAGGCCTATGTTGGAAAAGGAAATATCTTCCCATAACAACTAGACAGAAGCATTCTCAGAAACTTATTTGAGATGTATGTACTCAACTAAGAGAATTGAACCACCGTTTTGAAGGAGCAGTTTTGAAACACTCTTTTTCTGGAATCTGCAAGTGGATATTTGGCTAGCTTTGGGGATTTCGCTGGAAGCGGGAATACATATAAAAAGCACACAGCAGCGTTCTGAGAAACTGCTTTGTGATGTTTGCATTCAAGTCAAAAGTTGAACACTCCCTTTCATAGAGCAGTCCTGAAACACTCCTTTTGTAGTATCTGGAACTGGACTTTTGGAGCGCTTTCAGGGCTAAGGTGAAAAAGGAAATATCTTCCCATAAAAACTGGACAGAAGCATTCTCAGAAACTTGTTTATGCTGTATCTACTCAACTAACAAAGTTGAACCTTTCTTTTGATAGAGCAGTTTTGAAATGCTCTTTTTGTGGAATCTGCAAGTGGATATTTGGCTAGTTTTGAGGATTTCGTTGGAAGCGGGAATTCATACAAATTGCAGACTGCAGCGTTCTGAGAAACATCTTTGTGATGTTTGTATTCAGGACAGAGAGTTGAACATTCCCTATCATAGAGCAGGTTGGAATCACTCCTTTTGTAGTATCTGGAAGTGGACATTTGGAGCGCTTTCAGGCCTATGTTGAAAAAGGAAATATCTTCCCATAGCAACTAGACACAAGCATTCTCAGAAACTTGTTTGTGATGTGTGCCCTCTACTGACAGAGTTGAACCTTTCTTTTCATAGAGCAGTTTTGAAACACTCTTTTTGTAGAATCCGCAAGAGGATATTTGCATAGCTTTGAGGATTTCGTGGGAAACGGGATTGTCTTCAGGTAAAATCTAGACAGAAGCATTCTCAGAAACTTCTTTGGGATGTTTGCATTCAAGTCACAGAGCAGAACATTCCCTTTGGTAGAGCAGGTTTGAAACACTCTTTTTGTAGTATCTGGAAGTGGACATTTGGAGCGCTTTCAGGCCTATGTTGGAAAGGGAAATATCTTCACGTAACAACTAGGCAGAAGCATTCTCAGAAAGTTATTTGAGATGTGTGTACTCAACTAAGAGAATTGAACCACCGTTTTCAAGGAGCAGTTTAGAAACACTCTTTCTCTGGAATCTGCAAGAGGATATTTGCCTAGCCTTGAGGATTTCGTTGGAAACGGGATTGTCTTCAGATCAAATCTAGACAGAAGCATTCTCAAAAACTTCTTTGGGATGTTTGCATTCAAGTCACAGAGTAGAACATTCCCTTTGGTAGAGCAGGTTTGAAACACTCTTTTTTTAGTATATGGAAGTGGACATTTGGAGTGCTTTCAGGCCTACGTTGGAAAAGGAAATATCTTCCCATAACAACTAGACAGAAGCATTCTCAGAAACTAGTTTCTGATGTGTGTCCTCAACTAACACAGTTGAACATTTCTTTAGACAGAACAGTTTTGAAACACTCTTTTTGTGGAATCTGCAAGTGGCTATTTGGCTGGATTTGAGGATTTCGTTGGAAACGGGATTACATATAAAAAGCAGACAGCAGCATTCTCAGAAAGTTCTTTGTGATGATTGCATTCAAGTCACAGAATTGAACATTCCCTTTCACAGAGCAGGTTTGAAAGACTCTTTTTGTAGTGTGTGTAAGTGGACATTTGGAGCACTTACCGGCCTAAGGTGAAAAAGGAAATATCTTCCCATAAAAACTAGACAGAAGCATTCTCAGAAACTTACTCGTGATGTGTGTCCTCAACTAAAGGAGTAGAACCTTCCTTTTCATAGAGAAGTTTTGAAACGCTCTTTTTGTGGAATCTGCAAGTGGATATTTGGCTAGTTTTGAGGATTTCCGTTGGAAGCGGGAATTCATACAAATTGCAGACTGCAGCATTCTCAGAAACTTGTTTATGCTGTATCTACTCAACTAACAAAGTTGAACCTTTCTTTTGATAGAGCAGTTTTGAAATGCTCTTTTTGTGGAATCTGCAAGTGGATATTTGGCTAGTTTTGAGGATTTCGTTGGAAGCGGGAATTCATACAAATTGCAGACTGCAGCGTTCTGAGAAACATCTTTGTGATGTTTGTATTCAGGACACAGAGTTGAACATTCCCTATCATAGAGCAGGTTGGAATCACTCCTTTTGTAGTATCTGGAAGTGGACATTTGGAGCGCTTTCAGGCCTATGTTGAAAAAGGAAATATCTTCCCATAACAACTAGGCAGAAGCATTCTCAGAAACTTGTTTGTGATGTGTGCCCTCTACTGACACAGTTGAACCTTTCTTTTCATAGAGCAGTTTTGAAACACTCTTTTTGTAGAATCTGCAAGAGGATATTTGCATAGCTTTGAGGATTTCGTGGGAAACGGGATTGTCTTCAGGTAAAATCTAGACAGAAGCATTCTCAGAAACTTCTTTGGGATGTTTGCATTCAAGTCACAGAGTAGAACATTCCCTTTGGTAGAGCAGGTTTGAAACACTCTTTTTGTAGTATCTGGAAGTGGACATTTGGAGCGCTTTCAGGCCCATGTTGGAAAGGGAAATATCTTCCCGTAACAACTAGGCAGAAGCATTCTCAGAAACTTATTTGAGATGTGTGTACTCAACTAAGAGAATTGAACCACCGTTTTGAAGGAGCAGTTTTGAAACCCTCTTTTTCTGGAATCTGCAAGAGTATATTTGCCTAGCCTTGAGGATTTCGTTGGAAACGTGATTGTCTTCAGATCAAATCTAGACAGAAGCATTCTCAGAAACTTCTTTGGGATGTTTGCATTCAAGTCACAGAGTAGAACATTCCCTTTGGTAGAGCAGGTTTGAAACACTCTTTTTTTAGTATATGGAAGTGGACATTTGGAGTGCTTTCAGGCCTACGTTGGGAAAGGAAATATCTTCCCATAACAACTAGACAGAAGCATTCTCAGAAACTAGTTTCTGATGTGTGTCCTCAACTAACACAGTTGAACATTTCTTTAGACAGAACAGTTTTGAAACACTCTTTTTGTGGAATCTGCAAGTGGCTATTTGGCTAGATTTGAGGATTTCGTTGGAAACGGGATTACATATAAAAAGCAGTCAGCAGCATTCTCAGAAAGTTCTTTGTGATGATTGCATTCAAGTCACAGAATTGAACATTCCCTTTCACAGAGCAGGTTTGAAACACTCTTTTTGTAGTGTGTGTAAGTGGACATTTGGAGCACTTACCGGCCTAAGGTGAAAAAGGAAATATCTTCCCATAAAAACTAGACAGAAGCATTCTCAGAAACTTACTCGTGATGTGTGTCCTCAACTAAAGGAGTAGAACCTTTCTTTTCATAGAGAAGTTTTGAAACGCTCTTTTTGTGGAATCTGCAAGTGGATATTTGGCTAGTTTTGAGGATTTCGTTGGAAGCGGGAATTCATACAAATTGCAGACTGCAGCGTTCTGAGAAACATCTTTGTGATGTTTGTATTCAGGACACAGAGTTGAACATTCCCTATCATAGAGCAGGTTTGAATCACTCCTTTTGTAGTATCTGGAAGTGGACATTTGGAGCGCTTTCAGGCCTATGTTGGAAAAGGAAATATCTTCCCATAACAACTAGACAGAAGCATTCTCAGAAACTTATTTGAGATGTGTGTACTCAACTAAGAGAATTGAACCACCGTTTTGAAGGAGCAGTTTTGAAACACTCTTTTTCTGGAATCTGCAAGTGGATATTTGGCTAGCTTTGGGGATTTCGCTGGAAGCGGGAATACATATAAAAAGCACACAGCAAGCGTTCTGAGAAACTGCTTTCTGATGTTTGCATTCAAGTCAAAAGTTGAACACTCCCTTTCATAGAGCAGTCCTGAAACACTCCTTTTGTAGTATCTGGAACTGGACTTTTGGAGCGCTTTCAGGGCTAAGGTGAAAATGGAAATATCTTCCCATAAAAACTGGACAGAAGCATTCTCAGAAACTTGTTTATGCTGTATCTACTCAACTAACAAAGTTGAACCTTTCTTTTGATAGAGCAGTTTTGAAATGCTCTTTTTGTGGAATCTGCAAGTGGATATTTGGCTAGTTTTGAGGATTTCGCTGGAAGCGGGAATTCATACAAATTGCAGACTGCAGCGTTCTGTGAAACATCTTTGTGATGTTTGTATTCAGGACAGAGAGTTGAACATTCCCTATCATAGAGCAGGTTGGAATCACTCCTTTTGTAGTATCTGGAAGTGGACATTTGGAGCGCTTTCAGGCCTATGTTGAAAAAGGAAATATCTTCCCATAACAACTAGACACAAGCATTCTCAGAAACTTATTTGAGATGTGTGTACTCAACTAAGAGAATTGAACCACCGTTTTGAAGGAGCAGTTTTGAAACTCTCTTTTTCTGGAATCTGCAAGTGGATATTTGGCTAGCTTTGGGGATTTCGCTGGAAGCGGGAATACATATAAAAAGCACACAGCAGCGTTCTGAGAAACTGCTTTCTGATGTTTGCATTCAAGTCAAAAGTTGAACACTCCCTTTCATAGAGCAGTCCTGAAACACCCCTTTTGTAGTATCTGGAACTGGACTTTTGGAGCGATTTCAGGGCTAAGGTGAAAAAGGAAATATCTTCCCATAAAAACTGGACAGAAGCATTCTCAGAAACTTGTTTATGCTGTATCTACTCAACTAACAAAGTTGAACCTTTCTTTTGATAGAGCAGTTTTGAAATGGTCTTTTTGTGGAATCTGCAAGTGGATATTTGGCTAGTTTGGAGGATTTCGTTGGAAGCGGGAATTCATACAAATTGCAGACTGCAGCGTTCTGAGAAACATCTTTGTGATGTTTGTATTCAGGACACAGAGTTGAACATTCCCTATCATAGAGCAGGTTGGAATCACTCCTTTTGTAGTATCTGGAAGTGGACATTTGGAGCGCTTTCAGGCCTATTTTGGAAAGGGAAATATCTTCCCGTAACAACTATGCAGAAGCATTCTCAGAAACTTGTTTGTGATGTGTGCCCTCTACTGACAGAGTTGAACCTTTCTTTTCATAGAGCAGTTTTGAAACACTCTTTTTGTAGAATCTGCAAGAGGATATTTGCATAGCTTTGAGGATTTCGTGGGAAACGGGATTGTCTTCAGGTAAAATCTAGACAGAAGCATTCTCAGAAACTTCTTTGGGATGTTTGCATTCAAGTCACAGAGTAGAACATTCCCTTTGGTAGAGCAGGTTTGAAACACTCTTTTTGTAGTATCTGGAAGTGGACATTTGGAGCGCTTTCAGGCCTATGTTGGAAAGGGAAATATCTTCCCGTAACAACTAGGCAGAAGCATTCTCAGAAACTTATTTGAGATGTGTGTACTCAACTAAGAGAATTGAACCACCGTTTTGAAGGAGCAGTTTTGAAACACTCTTTTTCTGGAATCTGCAAGAGGATATTTGCCTAGCTTTGAGGATTTCGTTGGAAACGGGATTGTGTTCAGATCAAATCTAGACAGAAGCATTCTCAGAAACTTCTTTGGGATGTTTGCATTCAAGTCACAGAGTAGAACATTCCCTTTGGTAGAGCAGGTGTGAAACACTCTTTTTTTAGTATATGGAAGTGGACATTTGGAGCGCTTTCAGGCCTACGTTGGAAAAGGAAATATCTTCCCATAACAACTAGACAGAAGCATTCTCAGAAACTAGTTTCTGATGTGTGTCCTCAACTAACACAGTTGAACATTTCTTTAGACAGAACAGTTTTGAAACTCTCTTTTTGTGGAATCTGCAAGTGGCTATTTGGCTAGATTTGAGGATTTCGTTGGAAACGGGATTACATATAAAAAGCAGACAGCAGCATTCTCAGAAAGTTCTTTGTGATGATTGCATTCAAGTCACAGAATTGAACATTCCCTTTCACAGAGCAGATTTGAAACACTCTTTTTGTAGTGTGTGTAAGTGGACATTTGGAGCACTTTCCGGCCTAAGGTGAGAAAGGAAATATCTTCCCATAAAAACTAGACAGAAGCATTCTCAGAAACTTACTCGTGATGTGTGTCCTCAACTAAAGGAGTAGAACATTTCTATTCATAGAGAAGTTTTGAAACGCTCTTTTTGTGGAATCTCCAAGTGGATATTTGGCTAGTTTTGAGGATTTCGTTGGAAGCGGGAATTCATACAAATTGCAGACTGCAGCGTTCTGAGAATCATCTTTGTGATGTTTGTATTCAGGACACAGAGATGAACATTCCCTATCATAGAGCAGGTTGGAATCACTCCTTTTGTAGTATCTGGAAGTGGACATTTGGAGCGCTTTCAGGCCTATGTTGAAAAAGGAAATATCTTCCCATAACAACTAGACACAAGCATTCTCAGAAACTTGTTTGTGATGTGTGCCCTCTACTGACAGAGTTGAACCTTTCTTTTCATAGAGCAGTTTTGAAACACTCTTTTTGTAGAATCTGCAAGAGGATATTTGCATAGCTTTGAGGATTTCGTGGGAAACGGGATTGTCTTCAGGTAAAATCTAGACAGAAGCATTCTCAGAAACTTCTTTGGGATGTTTGCATTCAAGTCACAGAGTAGAACATTCCCTTTGGTAGAGCAGGTTTGAAACACTCTTTTTATAGTATCTGGAAGTGGACATTTGGAGCGCTTTCAGGCCTATGTTGGAAAGGGAAATATCTTCCCGTAACAACTAGGCAGAAGCATTCTCAGAAACTTATTGGAGATGTGTGTACTCAACTAAGAGAATTGAACCACCGTTTTGAAGGAGCAGTTTTGAAACACTCTTTTTCTGGAATCTGCAAGAGGATATTTGCCTAGCTTTGAGGATTTCGTTGGAAACGGGATTGTCTTCAGATCAAATCTAGACAGAAGCATTCTCAGAAACTTCTTTGGGATGTTTGCATTCAAGTCACAGAGTAGAACATTCCCTTTGGTAGAGCAGGTTTGAAACACTCTTTTTTTAGTATATGGAAGTGGACATTTGCAGCGCTTTCAGCCCACGTTGGAAAAGGAAATATCTTCCCATAACAACTAGACAGAAGCATTCTCAGAAACTAGTTTCTGATGTGTGTCCTCAACTAACACAGTTGTACATTTCTTTAGACAGAACAGTTTTGAAACACTCTTTTTGTGGAATCTGCAAGTGGATATTGGGCTAGATTTGAGGATTTCGTTGGAAACGGGATTACATATAAAAAGCAGACAGCAGCATTCTCAGAAAGTTCTTTGTGATGATTGCATTCAAGTCACAGAATTGAACATTCCCTTTCACAGAGCAGGTTTGAAACACTCTTTTTGTAGTGTGTGTAAGTGGACATTTGGAGCGCTTTCCGGCCTAAGGTGAAAAAAGAAATATCTTCCCATAAAAACTAGACAGAAGCATTCTCAGAAACTTACTCGTGATGTGTGTCCTCAACTAAAGGAGTAGAACCTTTCTATTCATAGAGAAGTTTTGAAACGCTCTTTTTGTGGAATCTCCAAGTGGATATTTGGCTAGTTTTGAGGATTTCGTTGGAAGCGGGAATTCATACAAATTGCAGACTGCAGCGTTCTGAGAAACATCTTTGTGATGTTTGTATTCAGGACACAGAGATGAACATTCCCTATCATAGAGCAGGTTGGAATCACTCCTTTTGTAGTATCTGGAAGTGGACATTTGGAGCGCTTTCAGGCCTATGTTGAAAAAGGAAATATCTTCCCATAACAACTAGACACAAGCATTCTCAGAAACTTGTTTGTGATGTGTGCCCTCTACTGACAGAGTTGAACCTTTCTTTTCATAGAGCAGTTTTGAAACACTCTTTTTGTAGAATCCACAAGAGGATATTTGCATCGCTTTGGGGATTTAGTGGGAAACGGGATTGTCTTCAGGTAAAATCTAGACAGAAGCATTCTCAGAAACTTCTTTGGGATGATTGCATTCAAGTCACAGAGTAGAACATTCCCTTTGGTAGAGCAGGTTTGAAACCCTCTTTTTGTAGTATCTGGAAGTGGACATTTGGAGCGCTTTCAGGCCCATGTTGGAAAGGGAAATATCTTCCCGTAGCAACAAGGCAGAAGCATTCTCAGAAACTTATTTGAGATGTGTGTACTCAACTAAGAGAATTGAACCACCGTTTTGAAGGAGCAGTTTTGAAACACTCTTTTTCTGGAATCTGCAAGAGTATATTTGCCTAGCCTTGAGGATTTCGTTGGAAACGGGATTGTCTTCAGAGAAAATCTAGACAGAAGCATTCTCAGAAACTTCTTTGGGATGTTTGCATTCAAGTCACAGAGTAGAACATTCCCTTTGGTAGAGCAGGTTTGAAACACTCTTTTTTTAGTATACGGAAGTGGACATTTGGAGCGCTTTCAGGCCTACGTTGGAAAAGGAAATATCTTCCCATAAAAACTAGACAGAAGCATTCTCAGAAACTAGTTTCTGATGTGTGTCCTCAACTAACACAGTGGAACATTTCTTTAGACAGAACAGTTTTGAAACACTCTTTTTGTGGAATCTGCAAGTGGCTATTTGGCTAGATTTGAGGATTTCGTTGGAAACGGGATTACTTATAAAAAGCAGTCAGCAGCATTCTCAGAAAGTTCTTTGTGATGATTGCATTCAAGTCACAGAATTGAACATTCCCTTTCACAGAGCAGGTTTGAAACACTCTTTTTGTAGTGTGTGTAAGTGGACATTTGGAGCGCTTTCCGGCCTAAGGTGAAAAAGGAAATATCTTCCCATAAAAACTAGACAGAAGCATTCTCAGAAACTTACTCGTGATGTGTGTCCTCAACTAAAGGAGTAGAACCTTTCTTTTCATAGAGAAGTTTTGAAACGCTCTTTTTGTGGAATCTGCAAGTGGATATTTGGCTAGTTTTGAGGATTTCGTTGGAAGCGGGAATTCATACAAATTGCAGACTGCAGCGTTCTGAGAAACATCTTTGTGATGTTTGTATTCAGGACACAGAGTTGAACATTCCCTATCATAGAGCAGGTTGGAATCACTCCTTTTGTAGTATCTGGAAGTGGACATTTGGAGCGCTTTCAGGCCTATGTTGGAAAAGGAAATATCTTCCCATAACAACTAGACAGAAGCATTCTCAGAAACTTATTTGAGATGTGTGTACTCAACTAAGAGAATTGAACCACCGTTTTGAAGGAGCAGTTTTGAAACACTCTTTTTCTGGAATCTGCAAGTGGATATTTGGCTAGCTTTGGGGATTTCGCTGGAAGCGGGAATACATATAAAAAGCACACAGCAGCGTTCTGAGAAACTGCTTTCTGATGTTTGCATTCAAGTCAAAAGTTGAACACTCCCTTTCATAGAGCAGTCTTGAAACACCCCTTTTGTAGTATCTGGAACTGGACTTTTGGAGCGATTTCAGGGCTAAGGTGAAAAAGGAAATATCTTCCCATAAAAACTGGACAGAAGCATTCTCAGAAACTTGTTTATGCTGTATCTACTCAACTAACAAAGTTGAACCTTTCTTTTGATAGAGCAGTTTTGAAATGGTCTTTTTGTGGAATCTGCAAGTGGATATTTGGCTAGTTTTGAGGATTTCGTTGGAAGCGGGAATTCATACAAATTGCAGACTGCAGCGTTCTGAGAAACATCTTTGTGATGTTTGTATTCAGGACACAGAGTTGAACATTCCCTATCATAGAGCAGGTTGGAATCACTCCTTTTGTAGTATCTGGAAGTGGACATTTGGAGCGCTTTCAGGCCTATGTTGGAAAGGGAAATATCTTCCCGTAACAACTATGCAGAAGCATTCTCAGAAACTTGTTTGTGATGTGTGCCCTCTACTGACAGAGTTGAACCTTTCTTTTCATAGAGCAGTTTTGAAACACTCTTTTTGTAGAATCTGCAAGAGGATATTTGCATAGCTTTGAGGATTTCGTGGGAAACGGGATTGTCTTCAGGTAAAATCTAGACAGAAGCATTCTCAGAAACTTCTTTGGGATGTTTGCATTCAAGTCACAGAGTAGAACATTCCCTTTGGTAGAGTAGGTTTGAAACACTCTTTTTGTAGTATTTGGAAGTGGACATTTGGAGCGCTTTCAGGCCCATGTTGGAAAGGGAAATATCTTCCCGTAACAACTAGGCAGAAGCATTCTCAGAAACTTATTTGAGATGTGTGTATTCAACTAAGAGAATTGAACCACCGTTTTGAAGGAGCAGTTTTGAAACACTCTTTTTCTGGAATCTGAAAGAGGATATTTGCCTAGCCTTGAGGATTTCGTTGGAAACGGGATTGTCTTCAGATCAAATCTATACAGAAGCATTCTCAGAAACTTCTTTGGGATGTTTGCATTCAAGTCACAGAGTAGAACATTCCCTTTGGTAGAGCAGGTTTGAAACACTCTTTTTTTAGTATATGGAAGTGGACATTTGGAGCGCTTTCAGGCCTACGTTGGAAAAGGAAATATCTTCCCATAACAACTAGACAGAAGCATTCTCAGAAACTAGTTTCTGATGTGTGTCCTCAACTAACACAGTTGAACATTTCTTTAGACAGAACAGTTTTGAAACACTCTTTTTGTGGAATCTGCAAGTGGCTATTTGGCTAGATTTGAGGATTTCGTTGGAAACGGGATTACATATAAAAAGCAGTCAGCAGCATTCTCAGAAAGTTCTTTGTGATGATTGCATTCAAGTCACAGAATTGAACATTCCCTTTCACAGAGCAGGTTTGAAACACTCTTTTTGTAGTGTGTGTAAGTGGACATTTGGAGCACTTACCGGCCTAAGGTGAAAAAGGAAATATCTTCCCATAAAAACTAGACAGAAGCATTCTCAGAAACTTACTCGTGATGTGTGTCCTCAACTAAAGGAGTAGAACCTTTCTTTTCATAGAGAAGTTTTGAAACGCTCTTTTTGTGGAATCTGCAAGTGGATATTTGGCTAGTTTTGAGGATTTCGTTGGAAGCGGGAATTCATACAAATTGCAGACTGCAGCGTTCTGAGAAACATCTTTGTGATGTTTGTATTCAGGACACAGAGTTGAACATTCCCTATCATAGAGCAGGTTTGAATCACTCCTTTTGTAGTATCTGGAAGTGGACATTTGGAGCGCTTTCAGGCCTATGTTGGAAAAGGAAATATCTTCCCATAACAAGTAGACAGAAGCATTCTCAGAAACTTATTTGAGATGTGTGTACTCAACTAAGAGAATTGAACCACCGTTTTGAAGGAGCAGTTTTGAAACACTCTTTTTCTGGAATCTGCAAGTGGATATTTGGCTAGCTTTGGGGATTTCGCTGGAAGCGGGAATACATATAAAAAGCACACAGCAGCGTTCTGAGAAACTGCTTTCTGATGTTTGCATTCAAGTCAAAAGTTGAACACTCCCTTTCATAGAGCAGTCCTGAAACACTCCTTTTGTAGTATCTGGAACTGGACTTTTGGAGCGCTTTCAGGGCTAAGGTGAAAAAGGAAATATCTTCCCATAAAAACTGGACAGAAGCATTCTCAGAAACTTGTTTATGCTGTATCTACTCAACTAACAAAGTTGAACCTTTCTTTTGATAGAGCAGTTTTGAAATGCTCTTTTTGTGGAATCTGCAAGTGGATATTTGGCTAGTTTTGAGGATTTCGCTGGAAGCGGGAATTCATACAAATTGCAGACTGCAGCGTTCTGAGAAACATCTTTGTGATGTTTGTATTCAGGACAGAGAGTTGAACATTCCCTATCATAGAGCAGGTTGGAATCACTCCTTTTGTAGTATCTGGAAGTGGACATTTGGAGCGCTTTCAGGCCTATGTTGAAAAAGGAAATATCTTCCCATAACAACTAGACACAAGCATTCTCAGAAACTTGTTTGTGATGTGTGCCCTCTAGTGACAGAGTTGAACCTTTCTTTTCATAGAGCAGTTTTGAAACACTCTTTTTGTAGAATCTGCAAGAGGATATTTGAATAGCTTTGAGGATTTCGTGGGAAACGGGATTGTCTTCAGGTAAAATCTAGACAGAAGCATTCTCAGAAACTTCTTTGGGATGTTTGCATTCAAGTCACAGAGTAGAACATTCCCTTTGGTAGAGCAGGTTTGAAACACTCTTTTTGTAGTATCTGGAAGTGGACATTTGGAGCGCTTTCAGGCCCATGTTGGAAAGGGAAATATCTTCCCGTAACAACTAGGCAGAAGCATTCTCAGAAACTTATTTGAGATGTGTGTACTCAACTAAGAGAAATGAACCACCGTTTTGAAGGAGCAGTTTTGAACCACTCTTTTTCTGGAATCTGCAAGAGTATATTTGCCTAGCCTTGAGGATTTCGTTGGAAACGGGATTGTCTTCAGATAAAATCTAGACAGAAGCATTCTCAGAAACTTCTTTGGGATGTTTGCATTCAAGTCACAGAGTAGAACATTCCCTTTGGTAGAGCAGGTTTGAAACACTCTTTTTTTAGTATATGGAAGGACATTTGGAGCGCTTTCAGGCCTACGTTGGAAAAGGAAATCTCTTCCCATAACAACTAGACAGAAGCATTCTCAGAAACTTATTTGTGATGTGTGTCCTCAACTGACAGAGTTGAACATTTCTTTTGAGAGAGCAGTTTTGAAACACTCTTTTTGTGGAATCTGCAAGTGGATATTTGGCTGGCTTTGAGGATTTCGTTGGAAACGTGAATACAAATAAAAAGCAGACAGCAGCGTTCTGAGAAACTTCTTGGTGATGTTTGCATTCAAGTCACAGAATTGAACATTCCCTTTGATAGAACAGGTTTGAAACACTCCTTTTGTCATATCTGGAAGTGTCCATTTGGAACGCATTCAGGCTTGTGTTGAAAAAGGAAATATCTTCCCATAAAAACTAGACAGAAGCACTCTCAGAAACTTACTCGTGATGTGTGTCCTCAACTAAAGGAGTAGAACCTTTCTTTTCATAGAGAAGTTTTGAAACGCTCTTTTTGTGGAATCTGCAAGTGGATATTTGGCTAGTTTGGAGGATTTCGTTGGAAGCGGGAATTCATACAAATTGCAGACTGCAGCGTTCTGAGAAACATCTTTGTGATGTTTGTATTCAGGACACAGAGTTGAACATTCCCTATCATAGAGCAGGTTTGAATCACTCCTTTTGTAGTATCTGGAAGTGGACATTTGGAGCGCTTTCAGGCCTATGTTGGAAAAGGAAATATCTTCCCATAACAACTAGACAGAAGCATTCTCAGAAACTTATTTGAGATGTGTGTACTCAACTAAGAGAATTGAACCACCGTTTTGAAGGAGCAGTTTTGAAACACTCTTTTTCTGGAATCTGCAAGTGGATATTTGGCTAGCTTTGGGGATTTCGCTGGAAGCGGGAATACATATAAAAAGCACACAGCAGCGTTCTGAGAAACTGCTTTCTGATGTTTGCATTCAAGTCAAAAGTTGAACACTCCCTTTCATAGAGCAGTCCTGAAACACTCCTTTTGTAGTATCTGGAACTGCACTTTTGGAGCGCTTTCAGGGCTAAGGTGAAAAAGGAAATATCTTCCCATAAAAACTGGACAGAAGCATTCTCAGAAACTTGTTTATGCTGTATCTACTCAACTAACAAAGTTGAACCTTTCTTTTGATAGAGCAGTTTTGAAATGCTCTTTTTGTGGAATCTGCAAGTGGATATTTGGCTAGTTTTGAGGATTTCGCTGGAAGCGGGAATTCATACAAATTGCAGACTGCAGCGTTCTGAGAAACATCTTTGTGATGTTTGTATTCAGGACACAGAGTTGAACATTCCCTATCATAGAGCAGGTTTGAATCACTCCTTTTGTAGTATCTGGAAGTGGACATTTGGAGCGCTTTCAGGCCCTATGTTGGAAAAGGAAATATCTTCCCATAACAACTAGACAGAAGCATTCTCAGAAACTTATTTGAGATGTGTGTACTCAACTAAGAGAATTGAACCACCGTTTTGAAGGAGCAGTTTTGAAACACTCTTTTTCTGGAATCTGCAAGTGGATATTTGGCTAGCTTTGGGGATTTCGCTGGAAGCGGGAATACATATAAAAAGCACACAGCAGCGTTCTGAGAAACTGCTTTCTGATGTTTGCATTCAAGTCAAAAGTTGAACACTCCCTTTCATAGAGCAGTCTTGAAACACCCCTTTTGTAGTATCTGGAACTGGACTTTTGGAGCGATTTCAGGGCTAAGGTGAAAAAGGAAATATCTTCCCATAAAAACTGGACAGAAGCATTCTCAGAAACTTGGTTATGCTGTATCTACTCAACTAACAAAGTTGAACCTTTCTTTTGATAGAGCAGTTTTGAAATGGTCTTTTTGTGGAATCTGCAAGTGGATATTTGGCTAGTTTTGAGGATTTCGTTGGAAGCGGGAATTCATACAAATTGCAGACTGCAGCGTTCTGAGAAACATCTTTGTGATGTTTGTATTCAGGACACAGAGTTGAACATTCCCTATCATAGAGCAGGTTGGAATCACTCCTTTTGTAGTATCTGGAAGTGGACATTTGGAGCGCTTTCAGGCCTATTTTGGAAAGGGAAATATCTTCCCGTAACAACTATGCAGAAGCATTCTCAGAAACTTGTTTGTGATGTGTGCCCTCTACTGACAGAGTTGAACCTTTCTTTTCATAGAGCAGTTTCGAAACACTCTTTTTGTAGAATCTGCAAGAGGATATTTGCATAGCTTTGAGGATTTCGTGGGAAACGGGATTGTCTTCAATAAAATCTAGACAGAAGCATTCTCAGAATCTTCTTTGGGATGTTTGCATTCAAGTAACAGAGTAGAACATTCCCTTTGGTAGACCAGGTTTGAAACACTCTTTTTGTAGTATCTGGAAGTGGACATTTGGAGCCCTTTCAGGCCTATGTTGCAAAGGGAAATATCTTCCCGTAACAACTAGGTAGAAGCATTCTCAGAAACTTATTTGAGATGTGTGTACTCAACTAAGAGAATTGAACCACCGTTTTGAAGGAGCAGTTTCGAAACACTCTTTTTGTAGAATCTGCAGGAGGATATTTGCATAGCTTTGAGGATTTCGTTGGAAACGGGATTGTCTTCAGGTAAAATCTAGACAGAAGCATTCTCAGAAACTTCTTTGGGATGTTTGCATTCAAGTCACAGAGTAGAACATTCCCTTTGGTAGAGCAGGTTTGAAACACTCTTTGTGTAGTATCTGGAAGTGGACATTTGGAGCGCATTCAGGCCTACGTTGGAAAAGGAAATATCTTCCCATAACAACTAGACAGAAGCATTCTCAGAAACTAGTTTCTGATGTGTGTCCTCAACTAACAGAGTTGAACATTTCTTTTGACAGAACAGTTTTGAAACACTCTTTTTGAGGAATCTGCAAGTGGATATTTGGCTAGATTTGAGGATTTCGTTGGAAACGGGATTACGTATAAAAAGCAGACAGCAGCATTCTCAGAAAGTTCTTTGTGATGATTGCATTCAAGTCACAGAAATTGAACATTCCCTTTCACAGAGCAGGTTTGAAACACTCTTTTTGTAGTGTGTGTAAGTGGACATTTGGAGCGCTTTCCGGCCTAAGGTGAAAAAGGAAATATCTTCCCATAAAAACTAGACAGAATCATTCTCAGAAACTTACTCGTGATGTGTGTCCTCAACTAAAGGAGTAGAACCTTTCTATTCATAGAGAAGTTTTGAAACGCTCTTTTTGTGGAATCTCCAAGTGGATATTTGGCTAGTTTTGAGGATTTCATTGGAAGCGGGAATTCACACAAATTGCAGACTGCAGCGTTCTGAGAAACATCTTTGTGATGTTTGTATTCAGGACACAGAGTTGAACATTCCCTATCATAGAGCAGGTTGGAATCACTCCTTTTGTAGTATCTGGAAGTGGACATTTGGAGCGCTTTCAGGCCTATGTTGGAAAAGGAAATATCTTCCCATAACAACTAGACAGAAGCATTCTCAGAAACTTATTTGAGATGTGTGTACTCAACTAAGAGAATTGAACCACCGTTTTGAAGGAGCAGTTTTGAAACACTCTTTTTCTGGAATCTGCAAGTGGATATTTGGCTAGCTTTGGGGATTTCGCTGGAAGCGGGAATACATATAAAAAGCACACAGCAGCGTTCTGAGAAACTGCTTTCTGATGTTTGCATTCAAGTCAAAAGTTGAACACTCCCTTTCATAGAGCAGTCCTGAAACACTCCTTTTGTAGTATCTGGAACTGGACTTTTGGAGCGCTTTCAGGGCTAAGGTGAAAAAGGAAATATCTTCCCATAAAAACTGGACAGAAGCATTCTCAGAAACTTACTCGTATTGTGTGTCCTCAACTAAAGGAGTAGAACCTTTCTTTTCATAGAGAAGTTTTGAAACGCTCTTTTTGTGGAATCTGCAAGTGGATATTTGGCTAGTTTTGAGGATTTCGTTGGAAGCGGGAATTCATACAAATTGCAGACTGCAGCATTCTCAGAAACTTGTTTATGCTGTATCTGCTCAACTAACAAAGTTGAACCTTTCTTTTGATAGAGCAGTTTTGAAATGCTCTTTTTGTGGAATCTGCAAGTGGATATTTGGCTAGTTTTGAGGATTTCGTTGGAAGCGGGAATTCATACAAATTGCAGACTGCAGCGTTCTGAGAAACATCTTTGTGATGTTTGTATTCAGGACACAGAGTTGAACATTCCCTATCATAGAGCAGGTTGGGATCACTCCTTTTGTAGTATCTGGAAGTGGACATTTGGAGCGCTTTCAGGCTTATGTTGAAAAAGGAAAAATCTTCCCATAACAACTAGACAGAAGCATTCTCAGAAACTTGTTGGTGATGTGTTTCCTCTACTGACAGAGTTGAACCTTTCTTTTCATAGAGCAGTTTCGAAACACTCTTTTTGTAGAATCTGCAAGAGGATATTTGCATAGCTCTGAGGATTTCGTGGGAAACGGGATTGTCTTCAGGTAAAATCTAGACAGAAGCATTCTCAGAAACTTCTTCGGGATGTTTGCATTCAACTCACAGAGTAGAACATTCCCTTTGGTAGAGCAGGTTTGAAACACTCTTTTTGTCGTATCTGGAAGTGGACATTTGTTGCGCTTTCAGGCCTATGTTGGAAAGGGAAATATCTTCCCGTAACAACTAGGCAGAAGCATTCTCAGAAACTTATTTGAGATGTGTGTACTCAACTAAGAGAATTGAACCACCGTTTTGAAGGAGCAGTTTGGAAACACTCTTTTTCTGGAATCTGCAAGAGGATATTTGCCTAGCTTTGAGGATTTCGTTGGAAAAGGGATTGTCTTCAGATCAAATCTAGACAGAAGCATTCTCAGAAACTTCTTTGGGATGTTTGCATTCAAGTCACAGAGTAGAACATTCCTTTGGTAGAGCAGGTTTGAAACACTCTTTTTTTAGTATATGGAAGTGGACATTTGGAGCGCTTTCAGGCCTACGTTGGAAAAGGAAATATCTTCCCATAACAACTAGACAGAAGCATTCTCAGAAACTAGTTTCTGATGTGTGTCCTCAACTAACACAGTTGAACATTTCTTTAGACAGAACAGTTTTGAAACACTCTTTTTGTGGAATCTGCAAGTGGATATTTGGCTAGATTTGAGGATTTCGTTGGAAACGGGATTACATATAAAAAGCAGACAGCAGCATTCTCAGAAACTTCTTTGTGATGATTGCATTCAAGTCACAGAATTGAACATTCCCTTTCACAGAGCAGGTTTGAAACACTCTTTTTGTAGTGTGTGTAAGTGGACATTTGGAGCGCTTTCCGGCCTAAGGTGAACAAGGAAATATCTTCCCATAAAAACTAGACAGAAGCATTCTCAGAAACTTACTCGTGATGTGTGTCCTCAACTAAAGGAGTAGAACCTTTCTTTTCATAGAGAAGTTTTGAAACGCTCTTTTTGTGGAATCTGCAAGTGGATATTTGGCTAGTTTGGAGGATTTCGTTGGAAGCGGGAATTCATACAAATTGCAGACTGCAGCGTTCTGAGAAACATCTTTGTGATGTTTGTATTCAGGACACAGAGTTGAACATTCCCTATCATAGAGCAGGTTGGAATCACTCCTTTTGTACTATCTGGAAGTGGACATTTGGAGCGCTTTCAGGCCTATGTTGAAAAAGGAAATATCTTCCCATAACAACTAGACAGAAGCATTCTCAGAAACTTGTCTGTGATGTGTGCCCTCTACTGACACAGTTGAATCTTTCTTTTCATAGAGCAGTTTCGAAACACTCTTTTTGTAGAATCTGCAAGAGGATATTTGCATAGCTTTGAGGATTTCGTGGGAAACGGGATTGTCTTCAGGTAAAATCTAGACAGAAGCATTCTCAGAAACTTCTTTGGGATGTTTGCATTCAAGTCACAGAGTAGAACATTCCCTTTGGTAGAGCAGGTTTGAAAAACTCTTTTTGTAGTGTGTGTAAGTGGACATTTGGAGCGCTTTCTGGCCTACGTTGGAAAAGGAAATATCTTCCCATAACAACTAGACAGAAGCATTCTCAGAAACTAGTTTCTGATGTGTGTCCTCAACTAACACAGTTGAACATTTCTTTAGACAGAACAGTTTTGAAACACTCTTTTTGTGGAATCTGCAAGTGGATATTTGGCTAGATTTGAGGATTTCGTTGGAAACGGGATTACATATAAAAAGCAGACAGCAGCATTCTCAGAAACTTCTTTGTGATGATTGCATTCAAGTCACAGAATTGAACATTCCTTTTCACAGAGCAGGTTTGAAACACTCTTTTTCTAGTGTGTGTAAGTGGACATTTGGAGCGCTTTCCGGCCTAAGGTGAACAAGGAAATATCTTCCCATAAAAACTAGACAGAAGCATTCTCAGAAAATTACTCGTGATGTGTGTCCTCAACTAAAGGAGTAGAACCTTTCTTTTCATAGAGAAGTTTTGAAACGCTCTTTTTGTGGAATCTGCAAGTGGATATTTGGCTAGTTTGGAGGATTTCGTTGGAAGCGGGAATTCATACAAATTGCAGACTGCAGCGTTCTGAGAAACATCTTTGTGATGTTTGTATTCAGGACACAGAGTTGAACATTCCCTATCATAGAGCAGGTTTGAATCACTCCTTTTGTAGTATCTGGAAGTGGACATTTGGAGCGCTTTCAGGCCTATGTTGGAAAAGGAAATATCTTCCCATAACAACTAGACAGAAGCATTCTCAGAAACTTATTTGAGATGTGTGTACTCAACTAAGAGAATTGAACCACCGTTTTGAAGGAGCAGTTTTGAAACACTCTTTTTCTGGAATCTGCAAGTGGATATTTGGCTAGCTTTGGGGATTTCGCTGGAAGCGGGAATACATATAAAAAGCACACAGCAGCGTTCTGAGAAACTGCTTTCTGATGTTTGCATTCAAGTCAAAAGTTGAACACTCCCTTTCATAGAGCAGTCCTGAAACACTCCTTTTGTAGTATCTGGAACTGGACTTTTGGAGCGCTTTCAGGGCTAAGGTGAAAAAGGAAATATCTTCCCATAAAAACTGGACAGAAGCATTCTCAGAAACTTGTTTATGCTGTATCTACTCAACTAACAAAGTTGAACCTTTCTTTTGATAGAGCAGTTTTGAAATGCTCTTTTTGTGGAATCTGCAAGTGGATATTTGGCTAGTTTTGAGGATTTCGTTGGAAGCGGGAATTCATACAAATTGCAGACTGCAGCGTTCTGAGAAACATCTTTGTGATGTTTGTATTCAGGACACAGAGTTGAACATTCCCTATCATAGAGCAGGTTGGAATCACTCCTTTTGTAGTATCTGGAAGTGGACATTTGGAGCGCTTTCAGGCCTATTTTGGAAAGGGAAATATCTTCCCGTAACAACTATGCAGAAGCATTCTCAGAAACTTGTTTGTGATGTGTGCCCTCTACTGACAGAGTTGAACCTTTCTTTTCATAGAGCAGTTTTGAAGCACTCTTTTTGTAGAATCTGCAAGAGGATATTTGCATAGCTTTGAGGATTTCGTGGGAAACGGGATTGTCTTCAGGTAAAATCTAGACAGAAGCATTCTCAGAAACTTCTTTGGGATGTTTGCATTCAAGTCACAGAGTAGAACATTCCCTTTGGTAGAGCAGGTTTGAAACACTCTTTTTGTAGTATCTGGAAGTGGACATTTGGAGCGCTTTCAGGCCCATGTTGGAAAGGGAAATATCTTCCCGTAACAACTAGGCAGAAGCATTCTCAGAAACTTATTTGAGATGTGTGTACTCAACTAAGAGAATTGAACCACCGTTTTGAAGGAGCAGTTTTGAAACACTCTTTTTCTGGAATCTGCAAGAGTATATTTGCCTAGCCTTGAGGATTTCGTTGGAAACGGGATTGTATGCAGAGAAAATCTAGACAGAAGCATTCTCAGAAACTTCTTTGGGATGTTTGCATTCAAGTCACAGAGTAGAACATTCCCTTTGGTAGAGCAGGTTTGAAACACTCTTTTTTTAGTATATGGAAGTGGACATTTTGATCGCTTTCAGGCCTACGTTGGAAAAGGAAATATCTTCCCATAACAACTAGACAGAAGCATTCTCAGAAACTAGTTTCTGATGTGTGTCCTCAACTAACACAGTTGAACATTTCTTTAGACAGAACAGTTTTGAAACACTCTTTTTGTGGAATCTGCAAGTGGCTATTTGGCTAGATTTGAGGATTTCGTTGGAAACGGGATTACATATAAAAAGCAGTCAGCAGCATTCTCAGAAAGTTCTTTGTGATGATTGCATTCAAGTCACAGAATTGAACATTCCCTTTCACAGAGCAGGTTTGAAACACTCTTTTTGTAGTGTGTGTAAGTGGACATTTGGAGCACTTACCGGCCTAAGGTGAAAAAGGAAATATCTTCCCATAAAAACTAGACAGAAGCATTCTCAGAAACTTACTCGTGATGTGTGTCCTCAACTAAAGGAGTAGAACCTTTCTTTTCATAGAGAAGTTTTGAAACGCTCTTTTTGTGGAATCTGCAAGTGGATATTTGGCTAGTTTTGAGGATTTTGTTGGAAGCGGGAATTCATACAAATTGCAGACTGCAGCGTTCTGAGAAACATCTTTGTGATGTTTGTATTCAGGACACAGAGTTGAACATTCCCTATCATAGAGCAGGTTTGAATCACCCCTTTTGTAGTATCTGGAAGTGGACATTTGGAGCGCTTTCAGGCCTATGTTGGAAAAGGAAATATCTTCCCATAACAACTAGACAGAAGCATTCTCGGAAACTTATTTGAGATGTGTGTACTCAACTAAGAGAATTGAACCACCGTTTTGAAGGTGCAGTTTTGAAACACTCTTTTTCTGGAATCTGCAAGTGGATATTTGGCTAGCTTTGGGGATTTCGCTGGAAGCGGGAATACATATAAAAAGCACACAGCAGCGTTCTGAGAAACTGCTTTCTGATGTTTGCATTCAAGTCAAATTTGAACACTCCCTTTCATAGAGCAGTCTTGAAACACTCCTTTTGTAGTATCTGGAACTGGACATTTCGGGCGCTTTCAGGGCTAAGGTGAAAAAGAAAATATCTTCCCATAAAAACTGGACAGAAGCATTCTCAGAAACTTGTTTATGCTGTATCTACTCAACTAACAAAGTTGAACCTTTCTTTTGATAGAGCAGTTTTGAAATGGTCTTTTTGTGGAATCTGCAAGTGGATATTTGGCTAGTTTTGAGGATTTCGTTGGAAGCGGGAATTCATACAAATTGCAGACTGCAGCGTTCTGAGAAACATCTTTGTGATGTTTGTATTCAGGACACAGAGTTGAACATTCCCTATCATAGAGCAGGTTGGAATCACTCCTTTTGTAGTATCTGGAAGTGGACATTTGGAGCGCTTTCAGGCCTATTTTGGAAAGGGAAATATCTTCCCGTAACAACTATGCAGAAGCATTCTCAGAAACTTGTTTGTGATGTGTGCCCTCTACTGACAGAGTTGAACCTTTCTTTTCATAGAGCAGTTTTGAAACACTCTTTTTGTAGAATCTGCAAGAGGATATTTGCATAGCTTTGAGGATTTCGTGGGAAACGGGATTGTCTTCAGGTAAAATCTAGACAGAAGCATTCTCAGAAACTTCTTTGGGATGTTTGCATTCAAGTCACAGAGTAGAACATTCCCTTTGGTAGAGCAGGTTTGAAACACTCTTTTTGTAGTATCTGGAAGTGGACATTTGGAGCGCTTTCAGGCCCATGTTGGAAAGGGAAATATCTTCCCGTAACAACTAGGCAGAAGCATTCTCAGAAACTTATTTGAGATGTGTGTACTCAACTAAGAGAATTGAACCACCGTTTTGAAGGAGCAGTTTTGAAACACTCTTTTTCTGGAATCTGCAAGAGTATATTTGCCTAGCCTTGAGGATTTCGTTGGAAACGGGATTGTCTTCAGATAAAATCTAGACAGAAGCATTCTCAGAAACTTCTTTGGGATGTTTGCATTCAAGTCACAGAGTAGAACATTCTCTTTGGTAGAGCAGGTTTGAAACACTCTTTTTTTAGTATATGGAAGTGGACATTTGGAGCGCTTTCAGGCCTACGTTGGAAAAGGAAATATCTTCCCATAACAACTAGACAGAAGCATTCTCAGAAACTAGTTTCTGATGTGTGTCCTCAACTAACACAGTTGAACTTTTCTTTAGACAGAACAGTTTTGAAACACTCTTTTTGTGGAATCTGCAAGTGGATATTGGGCTAGATTTGAGGATTTCGTTGGAAACGCGATTACATATAAAAAGCAGACAGCAGCATTCTCAGAAAGTTCTTTGTGATGATTGCATTCAAGTCACAGAATTGAACATTCCCTTTCACAGAGCAGGTTTGAAACACTCTTTTTGTAGTGTGTGTAAGTGGACATTTGGAGCACTTACCGGCCTAAGGTGAAAAAGGAAATATCTTCCCATAAAAACTAGACAGAAGCATTCTCAGAAACTTACTCGTGATGTGTGTCCTCAACTAAAGGAGTAGAACCTTTCTTTTCATAGAGAAGTTTTGAAACGCTCTTTTTGTGGAATCTGCAAGTGGATATTTGGCTAGTTTTGAGGATTTCGTTGGAAGCGGGAATTCATACAAATTGCAGACTGCAGCGTTCTGAGAAACATCTTTGTGATGTTTGTATTCAGGACACAGAGTTGAACATTCCCTATCATAGAGCAGGTTTGAATCACTCCTTTTGTAGTATCTGGAAGTGGACATTTGGAGCGCTTTCAGGCCTATGTTGGAAAAGGAAATATCTTCCCATAACAACTAGACAGAAGCATTCTCAGAAACTTATTTGAGATGTGTGTACTCAACTAAGAGAATTGAACCACCGTTTTGAAGGAGCAGTTTTGAAACACTCTTTTTCTGGAATCTGCAAGTGGATATTTGGCTAGCTTTGGGGATTTCGCTGGAAGCGGGAATACATATAAAAAGCACACAGCAGCGTTCTGAGAAACTGCTTTCTGATGTTTGCATTCAAGTCAAAAGTTGAACACTCCCTTTCATAGAGCAGTCCTGAAACACTCCTTTTGTAGTATCTGGAACTGGACTTTTGGAGCGCTTTCAGGGCTAAGGTGAAAAAGGAAATATCTTCCCATAAAAACTGGACAGAAGCATTCTCAGAAACTTGTTTATGCTGTATCTACTCAACTAACAAAGTTGAACCTTTCTTTTGATAGAGCAGTTTTGAAATGGTCTTTTTGTGGAATCTGCAAGTGGATATTTGGCTAGTTTTGAGGATTTCGTTGGAAGCGGGAATTCATACAAATTGCAGACTGCAGCGTTCTGAGAAACTGCTTTCTGATGTTTGCATTCAAGTCAAAAGTTGAACACTCCCTTTCATAGAGCAGTCCTGAAACACTCCTTTTGTAGTATCTGGAACTGGACTTTTGGAGCGCTTTCAGGGCTAAGGTGAAAAAGGAAATATCTTCCCATAAAAACTGGAGAGAAGCATTCTCAGAAACTTATTTGAGATGTGTGTACTCAACTAAGAGAATTGAACCACCGTTTTGAAGGAGCAGTTTTGAAACTCTCTTTTTCTGGAATCTGCAAGTGGATATTTGGCTAGCTTTGGGGATTTCGCTGGAAGCGGGAATACATATAAAAAGCACACAGTAGCGTTCTGAGAAACTGCTTTCTGATGTTTGCATTCAAGTCAAAAGTTGAACACTCCCTTTCATAGAGCAGTCTTGAAACACCCCTTTTGTAGTATCTGGAACTGGACTTTTGGAGCGATTTCAGGGCTAAGGTGAAAAAGGAAATATCTTCCCATAAAAACTGGACAGAAGCATTCTCAGAAACTTGTTTATGCTGTATCTACTCAACTAACAAAGTTGAACCTTTCTTTTGATAGAGCAGTTTTGAAATGCTCTTTTTGTGGAATCTGCAAGTGGATATTTGGCTAGTTTTGAGGATTTCGTTGGAAGCGGGAATTCATACAAATTGCAGACTGCAGCGTTCTGAGAAACATCTTTGTGATGTTTGTATTCAGGACACAGAGTTGAACATTCCCTATCATAGAGCAGGTTGGAATCACTCCTTTTGTAGTATCTGGAAGTGGACATTTGGAGCGCTTTCAGGCCTATTTTGGAAAGGGAAATATCTTCCCGTAACAACTATGCAGAAGCATTCTCAGAAACTTGTTTGTGATGTGTGCCCTCTACTGACAGAGTTGAACCTTTCTTTTCATAGAGCAGTTTTGAAACACTCTTTTTGTAGAATCTGCAAGAGGATATTTGCATAGCTTTGAGGATTTCGTGGGAAACGGGATTGTCTTCAGGTAAAATCTAGACAGAAGCATTCTCAGAAACTTCTTTGGGATGTTTGCATTCAAGTCACAGAGTAGAACATTCCCTTTGGTAGAGCAGGTTTGAAACACTCTTTTTGTAGTATCTGGAAGTGGACATTTGGAGCGCTTTCAGGCCCATGTTGGAAAGGGAAATATCTTCCCGTAACAACTAGGCAGAAGCATTCTCAGAAACTTATTTGAGATGTGTGTACTCAACTAAGAGAATTGAACCACCGTTTTGAAGGAGCAGTTTTGAAACACTCTTTTTCTGGAATCTGCAAGAGTATATTTGCCTAGCCTTGAGGATTTCGTTGGAAACGGGATTGTCTTCAGAGAAAATCTAGACAGAAGCATTCTCAGAAACTTCTTTGGGATGTTTGCATTCAAGTCACAGAGTAGAACATTCCCTTTGGTAGAGCAGGTTTGAAACACTCTTTTTGTAGTATCTGGAAGTGGACATTTGGAGCGCTTTCAGGCCTACGTTGGAAAAGGAAATATCTTCCCATAACAACTAGAAAGAAGCATTCTCAGAAACTAGTTTCTGATGTGTGTCCTCAACTAACACAGTTGAACATTTCTTTAGACAGAACAGTTTTGAAACACTCTTTTTGTGGTATCTGCAAGTGGCTATTTGGCTAGATTTGAGGATTTCGTTGGAAACGGGATTACATATAAAAAGCAGACAGCAGCATTCTCAGAAACTTCTTTGTGATGATTGCATTCAAGTCACAGTATTGAACATTCCCTTTCACAGAGCAGGTTTGAAACACTCTTTGTATAGTGTGTGTAAGTGGACATTTGGAGCACTTTCCGGCCTAAGGTGAAAAAGGAAATATCTTCCCATAAAAACTAGACAGAACCATTCTCAGAAACTTACTCGTGATGTGTGTCCTCAACTAAAGAAGTAGAACCTTTCTTTTCATAGAGAAGTTTTGAAACGCTCTTTTTGTGGAATCTGCAAGTGGATATTTGGCTAGTTTTGAGGATTTCGTTGGAAGCGGGAATTCATACAAATTGCAGACTGCAGCGTTCTGAGAAACATCTTTGTGATGTTTGTATTCAGGACACAGAGTGGAACATTCCCTATCATAGAGCAGGTTGGAATCACTCCTTTTGTAGTATCTGGAAGTGGACATTTGGAGCGCTTTCAGGCCTATGTTGAAAAAGGAAATATCTTCCCATAACAACTAGACACAAGCATTCTCAGAAACTTATTTGAGATGTGTGTACTCAACTTAGAGAATTGAACCACCGTTTTGAAGGAGCAGTTTTGAAACACTCTTTTTCTGGAATCTGCAAGTGGATATTTGGCTAGCTTTGGGGATTTCGCTGGAAGCGGGAATACATATAAAAAGCACACAGCAGCGTTCTGAGAAACTGCTTTCTGATGTTTGCATTCAAGTCAAAAGTTGAACACTCCCTTTCATAGAGCAGTCCTGAAACACTCCTTTTGTAGTATCTGGAACTGGACTTTTGGAGCGCTTTCAGGGCTAAGGTGAAAAAGGAAATATCTTCCCATAAAAACTGGACAGAAGCATTCTCAGAAACTTGTTTATGCTGTATCTACTCAACTAACAAAGTTGAACCTTTCTTTTGATAGAGCAGTTTTGAAATGCTCTTTTTGTGGAATCTGCAAGTGGATATTTGGCTAGTTTTGAGGATTTCGTTGGAAGCGGGAATTCATACAAATTGCAGACTGCAGCGTTCTGAGAAACATCTTTGTGATGTTTGTATTCAGGACAGAGAGTTGAACATTCCCTATCATAGAGCAGGTTGGAATCACTCCTTTTGTAGTATCTGGAAGTGGACATTTGGAGCGCTTTCAGGCCTATGTTGAAAAAGGAAATATCTTCCCATAACAACTAGACACAAGCATTCTCAGAAACTTGTTTGTGATGTGTGCCCTCTAGTGACAGAGTTGAACCTTTCTTCTCATAGAGCAGTTTTGAAACACTCTTTTTGTAGAATCTGCAAGAGGATATTTCCATAGCTTTGAGGATTTCGTGGGAAACGGGATTGTCTTCAGGTAAAATCTAGACAGAAGCATTCTCAGAAACTTCTTTGGGATGTTTGCATTCAAGTCACAGAGTAGAACATTCCCTTTGGTAGAGCAGGTTTGAAACACTCTTTTTGTAGTATCTGGAAGTGGACATTTGGAGCGCTTTCAGGCCTATGTTGGAAAGGGAAATATCTTCCCGTAACAACTAGGCAGAAGCATTCTCAGAAACTTATTTGAGATGTGTGTACTCAACTAAGAGAACTGAACCACCGTTTTGAAGGAGCAGTTTTGAAACACTCTTTTTCTGGAATCTGCAAGAGAATATTTGCCTAGACTTGAGGATTTCGTTGGAAACGGGATTGTCTTCAGATAAAATCTAGACAGAAGCATTCTCAGAAACTTCTTTGGGATGTTTGCATTCAAGTCACAGAGTAGAACATTCCCTTTGGTAGAGCAGGTTTGAAACACTCTTTTTTTAGTATATGGAAGTGGACATTTGGAGCGCTTTCAGGCCTACGTTGGAAAAGGAAATATCTTCCCATAACAACTAGACAGAAGCATTCTCAGAAACTAGTTCCTGATGTGTGTCCTCAACTAACACAGTTGAACATTTCTTTAGACAGAACAGTTTTGAAACTCTCTTTTTCTGGAATCTGCAAGTGGCTATTTGGCTAGATTTGAGGATTTCGTTGGAAACGGGATTACATATAAAAAGCAGACAGCAGCATTCTCAGAACGTTCTTTGTGATGATTGCATTCAAGTCACAGAATTGAACATTCCCTTTCACAGAGCAGGTTTGAAACACTCTTTTTGTAGTGTGTGTAAGTGGACATTTGGAGCACTTTCCGGCCTAAGGTGAAAAAGGAAATATCTTCCCATAAAAACTAGACAGAAGCATTCTCAGAAACTTACTCGTGATGTGTGTCCTCAACTAAAGGAGTAGAACCTTTCTTTTCATAGAGAAGTTTTGAAACGCTCTTTTTGTGGAATCTGCAAGTGGATATTTGGCTAGTTTGGAGGATTTCGTTGGAAGCGGGAATTCATACAAATTGCAGACTGCAGCGTTCTGAGAAACATCTTTGTGATGTTTGTATTCAGGACACAGAGTTGAACATTCCCTATCATAGAGCAGGTTTGAATCATTCCTTTTGTAGTATCTGGAAGTGGACATTTGGAGCGCTTTCAGGCCTATGTTGGAAAAGGAAATATCTTCCCATAACAACTAGACAGAAGCATTCTCAGAAACTTATTTGAGATGTGTGTACTCAACTAAGAGAATTGAACCACCGTTTTGAAGGAGCAGTTTTGAAACACTCTTTTTCTGGAATCTGCAAGTGGATATTTGGCTAGCTTTGGGGATTTCGCTGGAAGCGGGAATACATATAAAAAGCACACAGCAGCGTTCTGAGAAACTGCTTTCTGATGTTTGCATTCAAGTCAAAAGTTGAACACTCCCTTTCATAGAGCAGTCCTGAAACACTCCTTTTGTAGTATCTGGAACTGGACTTTTGGAGCGCTTTCAGGGCTAAGGTGAAAAAGGAAATATCTTCCCATAAAAACTGGACAGAAGCATTCTCAGAAACGTGTTTATGCTGTATCTACTCAACTAACAAAGTTGAACCTTTCTTTTGATAGAGCAGTTTTGAAATGCTCTTTTTGTGGAATCTGCAAGTGGATATTTGGCTAGTTTTGAGGATTTCGTTGGAAGCGGGAATTCATACAAATTGCAGACTGCAGCGTTCTGAGAAACATCTTTGTGATGTTTGTATTCAGGACACAGAGTTGAACATTCCCTATCATAGTAGCAGGTTTGAATCACTCCTTTTGTAGTATCTGGAAGTGGACATTTGGAGCGCTTTCAGGCCTATGTTGGAAAAGGAAATATCTTCCCATAACAACTAGACAGAAGCATTCCCAGAAACTTATTTGAGATGTGTGTACTCAACTAAGAGAATTGAACCACCGTTTTGAAGGAGCAGTTTGGAAACACTCTTTTTCTGGAATCTGCAAGTGGATATTTGGCTAGCTTTGGGGATTTCGCTGGAAGCGGGAATACATATAAAAAGCACACAGCAGCGTTCTGAGAAACTGCTTTCTGATGTTTGCATTCAAGTCAAAAGTTGAACACTCCCTTTCATAGAGCAGTCTTGAAACACCCCTTTTGTAGTATCTGGAACTGGACATTTGGAGCGCTTTCAGGGCTAAGGTGAAAAAGGAAATATCTTCCCATAAAAACTGGACAGAAGCATTCTCAGAAACTTGTTTATGCTGTATCTACTCAACTAACAAAGTTGAACCTTTCTTTTGATAGAGCAGTTTTGAAATGCTCTTTTTGTGGAATCTGCAAGTGGATATTTGGCTAGTTTTGAGGATTTTCGTTGGAAGCCGGAATTCATACAAATTGCAGACTGCAGCGTTCTGAGAAACATCTTTGTGATGTTTGTATTCAGGACACAGAGTTGAACATTCCCTATCATAGAGCAGGTTGGAATCACTCCTTTTGTAGTATCTGGAAGTGGACATTTGGAGCGCTTTCAGGCCTATGTTGAAAAAGGAAATATCTTCCCATAACAACTAGACAGAAGCATTCTCAGAAACTTGTTTGTGATGTGTGCCCTCTACTGACACAGTTGAACCTTTCTTTTCATAGAGCAGTTTCGAAACACTCTTTTTGTAGAATCTGCAAGAGGATATTTGCATAGCTTTGAGGATTTCGTGGGAAACGGGATTGTCTTCAGGTAAAATCTAGACAGAAGCATTCTCAGAAACTTCTTTGGGATGTTTGCATTCAAGTCACAGAGTAGAACATTCCCTTTGGTAGAGCAGGTTTGAAACACTCTTTTTGTAGTGTGTGTAAGTGGACATTTGGAGCGCTTTCAGACCTACGTTGGAAAAGGAAATATCTTCCCATAACAACTAGACAGAAGCATTCTCAGAAACTAGTTTCTGATGTGTGTCCTCAACTAACACAGTTGAACATTTCTTTAGACAGAACAGTTTTGAAACACTCTTTTTGTGGAATCTGCAAGTGGATATTTTGCTAGATTTGAGGATTTCGTTGGAAACGGGATTACATATAAAAAGCAGACAGCAGCATTCTCAGAAACTTCTTTGTGATGATTGCATTCAAGTCACAGAATTGAACATTCCCTTTCACAGAGCAGGTTTGAAACACTCTTTTTGTAGTGTGTGTAAGTGGACATTTGGAGCGCTTTCCGGCCTAAGGTGAACAAGGAAATATCTTCCCATAAAAACTAGACAGAAGCATTCTCAGAAACTTACTCGTGATGTGTGTCCTCAACTAAAGGAGTAGAACCTTTCTTTTCATAGAGAAGTTTTGAAACGCTCTTTTTGTGGAATCTGCAAGTGGATATTTGGCTAGTTTGGAGGATTTCGTTGGAAGTGGGAATTCATACAAGATGCAGACTGCAGCGTTCTGAGAAACATCTTTGTGATGTTTGTATTCAGGACACAGAGTTGAACATTCCCTATCATAGAGCAGGTTTGAATCACTCCTTTTGTAGTATCTGGAAGTGGACATTTGGAGCGCTTTCAGGCCTATGTTGGAAAAGGAAATATCTTCCCATAACAACTAGACAGAAGCATTCCCAGAAACTTATTTGAGATGTGTGTACTCAACTAAGAGAATTGAACCACCGTTTTGAAGGAGCAGTTTGGAAACACTCTTTTTCTGGAATCTGCAAGTGGATATTTGGCTAGCTTTGGGGATTTCGCTGGAAGCGGGAATACATATAAAAAGCACACAGCAGCGTTCTGAGAAACTGCTTTCTGATGTTTGCATTCAAGTCAAAAGTTGAACACTCCCTTTCATAGAGCAGTCTTGAAACACCCCTTTTGTAGTATCTGGAACTGGAAATTTGGAGCGCTTTCAGGGCTAAGGTGAAAAAGGAAATATCTTCCCATAAAAACTGGACAGAAGCATTCTCAGAAACTTGTTTATGCTGTATCTACTCAACTAACAAAGTTGAACCTTTCTTTTGATAGAGCAGTTTTGAAATGCTCTTTTTGTGGAATCTGCAAGTGGATATTTGGCTAGTTTGGAGGATTTCGTTGGAAGCGGGAATTCATACAAATTGCAGACTGCAGCGTTCTGAGAAACATCTTTGTGATGTTTGTATTCAGGACACAGAGTTGAACATTCCCTATCATAGAGCAGGTTGGGATCACTCCTTTTGTAGTATCTGGAAGTGGACATTTGGAGCGCTTTCAGGCCTATGTTGAAAAAGGAAAAATCTTCCCATAACAACTAGACAGAAGCATTCTCAGAAACTTGTTGATGATGTGTTTCCTCTACTGACAGAGTTGAACCTTTCTTTTCATAGAGCAGTTTCGAAACACTCTTTTTGTAGAATCTGCAAGAGGATATTTGCATAGCTCTGAGGATTTCGTGGGAAACGGGATTGTCTTCAGGTAAAACCTAGACAGAAGCATTCTCAGAAACTTCTTCGGGATGTTTGCATTCAAGTCACAGAGTAGAACATTCCCTTTGGTAGAGCAGGTTTGAAACACTCTTTTTGTCGTATCTGGAAGTGGACATTTGTTGCGCTTTCAGGCCTATGTTGGAAAGGGAAATATCTTCCCGTAACAACTAGGCAGAAGCATTCTCAGAAACTTATTTGAGATGTGTGTACTCAACTAAGAGAATTGAACCACCGTTTTGAAGGAGCAGTTTGGAAACACTCTTTTTCTGGAATCTGCAAGAGGATATTTGCCTAGCTTTGAGGATTTCGTTGGAAAAGGGATTGTCTTCAGATCAAATCTAGACAGAAGCATTCTCAGAAACTTCTTTGGGATGTTTGCATTCAAGTCACAGAGTAGAACATTCCTTTGGTAGAGCAGGTTTGAAACACTCTTTTTTTAGTATATGGAAGTGGACATTTGGAGCGCTTTCAGGCCTACGTTGGAAAAGGAAATATCTTCCCATAACAACTGGACGGAAGCATTCTCAGAAACTAGTTTCTGATGTGTGTCCTCAACTAACACAGTTGAACATTTCTTTAGACAGAACAGTTTTGAAACACTCTTTTTGTGGAATCTGCAAGTGGATATTTGGCTAGATTTGAGGATTTCGTTGGAAACGGGATTACATATAAAAAGCAGACAGCAGCATTCTCAGAAACTTCTTTGTGATGATTGCATTCAAGTCACAGAATTGAACATTCCCTTTCACAGAGCAGGTTTGAAACACTCTTTTTGTAGTGTGTGTAAGTGGACATTTGGAGCGCTTTCCGGCCTAAGGTGAACAAGGAAATATCTTCCCATAAAAACTAGACAGAAGCATTCTCAGAAACTTACTCGTGATGTGTGTCCTCAACTAAAGGAGTAGAACCTTTCTTTTCATAGAGAAGTTTTGAAACGCTCTTTTTGTGGAATCTGCAAGTGGATATTTGGCTTGTTTGGAGGATTTCGTTGGAAGCGGGAATTCATACAAATTGCAGACTGCAGCGTTCTGAGAAACATCTTTGTGATGTTTGTATTCAGGACAGAGAGTTGAACATTCCCTATCATAGAGCAGGTTGGAATCACTCCTTTTGTAGTATCTGGAAGTGGACATTTGGAGCGCTTTCAGGCCTATGTTGAAAAAGGAAATATACTTCCCATAACAACTAGACACAAGCATTCTCAGAAACTTGTTTGTGATGTGTGCCCTCTACTGACAGAGTTGAACCTTTCTTTTCATAGAGCAGTTTTGAAACACTCTTTTTGTAGAATCTGCAAGAGGATATTTGCATAGCTTTGAGGATTTCGTGGGAAACGGGATTGTCTTCAGGTAAAATCTAGACAGAAGCATTCTCAGAAACTTCTTTGGGATGTTTGCATTCAAGTCACAGAGTAGAACATTCCCTTTGGTAGAGCAGGTTTGAAACACTCTTTTTGTAGTATCTGGAAGTGGACATTTGGAGTGCTTTCAGGCCTATGCTGGAAAGGGAAATATCTTCCCGTAACAACTAGGCAGAAGCATTCTCAGAAACTTATTTGAGATGTGTGTACTCAACTAAGAGAATTGAACCACCGTTTTGAAGGAGCAGTTTTGAAACACTCTTTTTCTGGAATCTGCAAGAGGATATTTGCCTAGCCTTGAGGATTTCGTTGGAAACGGGATTGTCTTCAGATCAAATCTAGACAGAAGCATTCTCAGAAACTTCTTTGGGATGTTTGCATTCAAGTCACAGAGTAGAACATTCCCTTTGGTAGAGCAGGTTTGAAACACTCTTTTTTTAGTATATGGAAGTGGACATTTGGAGCGCTTTCAGGCCTACGTTGGAAAAGGAAATATCTTCCCATAACAACTAGACAGAAGCATTCTCAGAAACTAGTTTCTGATGTGTGTCCTCAACTAACACAGTTGAACATTTCTTTAGACAGAACAGTTTTGAAACACTCTTTTTGTGGAATCTGCAAGTGGCTATTTGGCTAGATTTGAGGATTTCGTTGGAAACGGGATTACATATAAAAAGCAGACAGCAGCATTCTCAGTAAAGTTGTTTGTGATGATTGCATTCAAGTCACAGAATTGAACATTCCCTTTCACAGAGCAGGTTTGAAACACTCTTTTTGTAGTGTGTGTAAGTGGACATTTGGAGCGCTTTCCGGCCTAAGGTGAAAAAGGACATATCTTCCCATAAAAACTAGACAGAAGCATTCTCAGAAACTTACTCGTGATGTGTGTCCTCAACTAAAGGAGTAGAACCTTTCTTTTCATAGAGAAGTTTTGAAACGCTCTTTTTGTGGAATCTGCAAGTGGATATTTGGCTAGTTTGGAGGATTTCGTTGGAAGCGGGAATTCATACAAATTGCAGACTGCAGCGTTCTGAGAAACATCTTTGTGATGTTTGTATTCAGGACACAGAGTTGAACATTCCCTATCATAGAGCAGGTTGGAATCACTCCTTTTGTAGTATCTGGAAGTGGACATTTGGAGCGCTTTCAGGCCTATGTTGGAAAAGGAAATATCTTCCCATAACAACTAGACAGAAGCATTCTCAGAAACTTATTTGAGATGTGTGTACTCAACTAAGAGAATTGAACCACCGTTTTGAAGGAGCAGTTTTGAAACACTCTTTTTCTGGAATCTGCAAGTGGATATTTGGCTAGCTTTGGGGATTTCGCTGGAAGCGGGAATACATATAAAAAGCACACAGCAGCGTTCTGAGAAACTGCTTTCTGATGTTTGCATTCAAGTCAAAAGTTGAACACTCCCTTTCATAGAGCAGTCTTGAAACACCCCTTTTGTAGTATCTGGAACTGGACTTTTGGAGCGCTTTCAGGGCTAAGGTGAAAAAGGAAATATCTTCCCATAAAAACTGGACAGAAGCATTCTCAGAAACTTGTTTATGCTGTATCTACTCAACTAACAAAGTTGAACCTTTCTTTTGATAGAGCAGTTTTGAAATGCTCTTTTTGTGGAATCTGCAAGTGGATATTTGGCTAGTTTTGAGGATTTCGTTGGAAGCGGGAATTCATACAAATTGCAGACTGCAGCGTTCTGAGAAACATCTTTGTGATGTTTGTATTCAGGACACAGAGATGAACATTCCCTATCATAGAGCAGGTTGGAATCACTCCTTTTGTAGTATCTGGAAGTGGACATTTGGAGCGCTTTCAGGCCTATGTTGAAAAAGGAAATATCTTCCCATAACAACTAGACACAAGCATTCTCAGAAACTTGTTTGTGATGTGTGCCCTCTACTGACAGAGTTGAACCTTTCTTTTCATAGAGCAGTTTTGAAACACTCTTTTTGTAGAATCTGCAAGAGGATATTTGCATAGCTTTGAGGATTTCGTGGGAAACGGGATTGTCTTCAGGTAAAATCTAGACAGAAGCATTCTCAGAAACTTCTTTGGGATGTTTGCATTCAAGTCACAGAGTAGAACATTCCCTTTGGTAGAGCAGGTTTGAAACACTCTTTTTGTAGTATCTGGAAGTGGACATTTGGAGCGCTTTCAGGCCCATGTTGGAAAGGGAAATATCTTCCCGTAACAACTAGGCAGAAGCATTCTCAGAAACTTATTTGAGATGTGTGTACTCAACTAAGAGAATTGAACCACCGTTTTGAAGGAGCAGTTTTGAAACACTCTTTTTCTGGAATCTGCAAGAGTATATTTGCCTAGCCTTGAGGATTTCGTTGGAAACGGGATTGTCTTCAGAGAAAATCTAGACAGAAGCATTCTCAGAAACTTCTTTGGGATGCTTGCATTCAAGTCACAGAGTAGAACATTCCCTTTGGTAGAGCAGGTTTGAAACACTCTTTTTGTAGTATCTGGAAGTGGACATTTGGAGCGCTTTCAGGCCTACGTTGGAAAAGGAAATATCTTCCCATAACAACTAGACAGAAGCATTCTCAGAAACTAGTTTCTGATGTGTGTCCTCAACTAACACAGTTGAACATTTCTTTAGACAGAACAGTTTTGAAACACTCTTTTTGTGGAATCTGCAAGTGGCTATTTGGCTAGATTTGAGGATTTCGTTGGAAACGGGATTACATATAAAAAGCAGTCAGCAGCATTCTCAGAAAGTTCTTTGTGATGATTGCATTCAAGTCACAGAATTGAACATTCCCTTTCACAGAGCAGGTTTGAAACACTCTTTTTGTAGTGTGTGTAAGTGGACATTTGGAGCACTTTCCGGCCTAAGGTGAAAAAGGAAATATCTTCCCATAAAAACTAGACAGAAGCATTCTCAGAAACTTACTCGTGATGTGTGTCCTCAACTAAAGAAGTAGAACCTTTCTTTTCATAGAGAAGTTTTGAAACGCTCTTTTTGTGGAATCTGCAAGTGGATATTTGGCTAGTTTTGAGGATTTCGTTGGAAGCGGGAATTCATACAAATTGCAGACTGCAGCGTTCTGAGAAACATCTTTGTGATGTTTGTATTCAGGACACAGAGTTGAACATTCCCTATCATAGAGCAGGTTTGAATCACTCCTTTTGTAGTATCTGGAAGTGGACATTTGGAGCGCTTTCAGGCCTATGTTGGAAAAGGAAATATCTTCCCATAACAACTAGACAGAAGCATTCTCAGAAACTTATTTGAGATGTGTGTACTCAAGTAAGAGAATTGAACCACCGTTTTGAAGGAGCAGTTTTGAAACACTCTTTTTCTGGAATCTGCAAGTGGATATTTGGCTAGCTTTGGGGATTTCGCTGGAAGCGGGAATACATATAAAAAGCATACAGCAGAGTTCTGAGAAACTGCTTTCTGATGTTTGCATTCAAGTCAAAAGTTGAACACTCCCTTTCATAGAGCAGTCCTGAAACACTCCTTTTGTAGTATCTGGAACTAGACTTTTGGAGCGCTTTCAGGGCTAAGGTGAAAAAGGAAATATCTTCCCATAAAAACTGGACAGAAGCATTCTCAGAAACTTGTTTATGCTGTATCTACTCTACTAACAAAGTTGAACCTTTCTTTTGATAGAGCAGTTTTGAAATGCTCTTTTTGTGGAATCTGCAAGTGGATATTTGGCTAGATTTGAGGATTTCGTTGGAAGCTGGAATTCATACAAATTGCAGACTGCAGCGTTCTGAGAAACATCTTTGTGATGTTTGTATTCAGGACACAGAGTTGAACATTCCCTATCATAGAGCAGGTTGGAATCACTCCTTTTGTAGTATCTGGAAGTGGCCATTTCGAGCGCTTTGAGGCCTATGTTGAAAAAGGAAATATCTTCCCATAACAAGTAGACACAAGCATTCTCAGAAACTTGTTGTGATGTGTGCCCTCTACTGACAGAGTTGAACCTTTCTTTTCATAGAGCAGTTTCGAAACACTCTTTTTGTAGAATCTGCAAGAGGATATTTGCATAGCTTTGAGGATTTCGTGGGAAACGGGATTGTCTTCAGGTAAAATCTAGACAGAAGCATTCTCAGAAAATTCTTCGGGATGTTTGCATTCAAGTCACAGAGTAGAACATTCCCTTTGGTAGAGCAGGTTTGAAACACTCTTTTTGTAGTATCTGGAAGTGGACATTTGGAGCGCTTTCAGGCCTATGTTGGAAAGGGAAATATCTTCCCGTAACAACTAGGCAGAAGCATTCTCAGAAACTTATTTGAGATGTGTGTACTCAACTAAGAGAATTGAACCACCGTTTTGAAGGAGCAGTTTTGAAACACTCTTTTTCTGGAATCTGCAAGAGGATATTTGCATAGATTTGAGGATTTCGTTGGAAACGGGATTGTCTTCAGATCCAATCTAGACAGAAGCATTCTCAGAAACTTCTTTGGGATGTTTGCATTCAAGTCACAGAGTAGAACATTCCCTTTGGTAGAGCAGGTTTGAAACACTCTTTTTTTAGTATATGGAAGTGGACATTTGGAGCGCTTTCAGGCCTACGTTGGAAAAGGAAATATCTTCCCATAACAACTAGACAGAAGCATTCTCAGAAACTAGTTTCTGATGTGTGTCCTCAACTAACACAGTTGAACATTTCTTTAGACAGAACAGTTTTGAAACACTCTCTTTGTGGAATCTGCAAGTGGATATTTGGCTAGATTTGAGGATTTCCGTTGGAAACGGGATTACATATAAAAAGCAGACAGCAGCATTCTCAGAAACTTCTTTGTGATGATTGCATTCAAGTCACAGAATTGAACATTCCCTTTCACAGAGCAGGTTTGAAACACTCTTTTTGTAGTGTGTGTAAGTGGACATTTGGAGCGCTTTCCGGCCTAAGGTGAACAAGGAAATATCTTCCCATAAAAACTAGACAGAAGCATTCTCAGAAACTTACTCGTGATGTGTGTCCTCAACTAAAGGAGTAGAACCTTTCTTTTCATAGAGAAGTTTTGAAACGCTCTTTTTGTGGAATCTGCAAGTGGATATTTGGCTAGTTTGGAGGATTTCGTTGGAAGCCGGAATTCATACAAATTGCAGACCGCAGCGTTCTGAGAAACATCTTTGTGATGTTTGTATTCAGGACACAGAGTTGAACATTCCCTATCATAGAGCAGGTTGGAATCACTCCTTTTGTAGTATCTGGAAGTGGACATTTGGAGCGCTTTCAGGCCTATGTTGGAAAAGGAAATATCTTCCCATAACAACTAGACAGAAGCATTCTCAGAAACTTATTTGAGATGTGTGTACTCAACTAAGAGAATTGAACCACCGTTTTGAAGGAGCAGTTTTGAAACTCTCTTTTTCTGGAATCTGCAAGTGGATATTTGGCTAGCTTTGGGGATTTCGCTGGAAGCGGGAATACATATAAAAAGCACACAGCAGCGTTCTGAGAAACTGCTTTCTGATGTTTGCATTCAAGTCAAAAGTTGAACACTCCCTTTCATAGAGCAGTCCTGAAACACCCCTTTTGTAGTATCTGGAACTGGACTTTTGGAGCGATTTCAGGGCTAAGGTGAAAAAGGAAATATCTTCCCATAAAAACTGGACAGAAGCATTCTCAGAAACTTGTTTATGCTGTATCTACTCAACTAACAAAGTTGAACCTTTCTTTTGATAGAGCAGTTTTGAAATGGTCTTTTTGTGGAATCTGCAAGTGGATATTTGGCTAGTTTTGAGGATTTCGTTGGAAGCGGGAATTCATACAAATTGCAGACTGCAGCGTTCTGAGAAACATCTTTGTGATGTTTGTATTCAGGACACAGAGTTGAACATTCCCTATCATAGAGCAGGTTGGAATCACTCCTTTTGTAGTATCTGGAAGTGGACATTTGGAGCGCTTTCAGGCCTATTTTGGAAAGGGAAATATCTTCCCGTAACAACTATGCAGAAGCATTCTCAGAAACTTGTTTGTGATGTGTGCCCTCTACTGACAGAGTTGAACCTTTCTTTTCATAGAGCAGTTTTGAAACACTCTTTTTGTAGAATCTGCAAGAGGATATTTGCATAGCTTTGAGGATTTCGTGGGAAACGGGATTGTCTTCAGGTAAAATCTAGACAGAAGCATTCTCAGAAACTTCTTTGGGATGTTTGCATTCAAGTCACAGAGTAGAACATTCCCTTTGGTAGAGCAGGTTTGAAACACTCTTTTTGTAGTATCTGGAAGTGGACATTTGGAGCGCTTTCAGGCCCATGTTGGAAAGGGAAATATCTTCCCGTAACAACTAGGCAGAAGCATTCTCAGAAACTTATTTGAGATGTGTGTACTCAACTAAGAGAATTGAACCACCGTTTTGAAGGAGCAGTTTTGAAACACTCTTTTTCTGGATTCTGCAAGAATATATTTGCCTAGCCTTGAGGATTTCGTTGGAAACGGGATTGTCTTCAGATATAATCTAGACAGAAGCATTCTCAGAAACTTCTTTGGGATGTTTGTATTCAAGTCACAGAGTAGAACATTCTCTTTGGTAGAGCAGGTTTGAAACACTCTTTTTTTAGTATATGGAAGTGGACATTTGGAGCGCTTTCAGGCCTACGTTGGAAAAGGAAATATCTTCCCATAAGAACTAGACAGAAGCATTCTCAGAAACTAGTTTCTGATGTGTGTCCTCAACTAACACAGTTGTACATTTCTTTAGACAGAACAGTTTTGAAACACTCTTTTTGTGGAATCTGCAAGTGGATATTTGGCTAGATTTGAGGATTTCGTTGGAAACGGGATTACATATAAAAAGCAGTCAGCAGCATTCTCAGAAAGTTCTCTGTGATGATTGCATTCAAGTCACAGAATTGAACATTCCCTTTCACAGAGCAGGTTTGAAACACTCTTTTTGTAGTGTGTGTAAGTGGACATTTGGAGCGCTTTCCGGCCTAAGGTGAGAAAGGAAATATCTTCCCATAAAAACTAGACAGAAGCATTCTCAGAAACTTACTCGTGATGTGTGTCCTCAACTAAAGGAGTAGAACCTTTCTATTCATAGAGAAGTTTTGAAACGCTCTTTTTGTGGAATCTCCAAGTGGATATTTGGCTAGTTTTGAGGATTTCGTTGGAAGCGGGAATTCATACAAATTGCAGACTGCAGCGTTCTGAGAAACATCTTTGTGATGTTTGTATTCAGGACACAGAGATGAACATTCCCTATCATAGAGCAGGTTGGAATCACTCCTTTTGTAGTATCTGGAAGTGGACATTTGGAGCGCTTTCAGGCCTATGTTGAAAAAGGAAATATCTTCCCATAACAACTAGACACAAGCATTCTCAGAAACTTGTTTGTGATGTGTGCCCTCTACTGACAGAGTTGAACCTTTCTTTTCATAGAGCAGTTTTGAAACACTCTTTTTGTAGAATCTGCAAGAGGATATTTGCATAGCTTTGGGGATTTCGTGGGAAACGGGATTGTCTTCAGGTAAAATCTAGACAGAAGCATTCTCAGAAACTTCTTTGGGATGTTTGCATTCAAGTCACAGAGTAGAACATTCCCTTTGGTAGAGCAGGTTTGAAACCCTCTTTTTGTAGTATCTGGAAGTGGACATTTGGAGCGCTTTCAGGCCCATGTTGGAAAGGGAAATATCTTCCCGTAACAACGAGGCAGAAGCATTCTCAGAAACTTATTTGAGATGTGTGTACTCAACTAAGAGAATTGAACCACCGTTTTGAAGGAGCAGTTTTGAAACACTCTTTTTCTGGAATCTGCAAGAGTATATTTGCCTAGCCTTGAGGATTTCGTTGGAAACGGGATTGTCTTCAGATAAAATCTAGACAGAAGCATTCTCAGAAACTTCTTTGGGATGTTTGCATTCAAGTCACAGAGTAGAACATTCCCTTTGGTAGAGCAGGTTTGAAACACTCTTTTTTTAGTATATGGAAGTGGACATTTGGAGCGCTTTCAGGCCTACGTTGGAAAAGGAAATATCTTCCCATAACAACTAGACAGAAGCATTCTCAGAAACTAGTTTCTGATGTGTGTCCTCAACTGACACAGTTGTACATTTCTTTAGACAGAACAGTTTTGAAACACTCTTTTTGTGGAATCTGCAAGTGGATATTGGGCTAGATTTGAGGATTTCGTTGGAAACGGGATTACATATAAAAAGCAGTCAGCAGCATTCTCAGAAAGTTCTTTGTGATGATTGCATTCAAGTCACAGAATTGAACATTCCCTTTCACAGAGCAGGTTTGAAACACTCTTTTTGTAGTGTGTGTAAGTGGACATTTGGAGCGCTTTCCGGCCTAAGGTGAAAAAGGACATATCTTCCCATAAAAACTAGACGGAAGCATCCTCAGAAACTAACTCGTGATGTGTGTCCTCAACTAAAGGAGTAGAACCTTTCTATTCATAGAGAAGTTTTGAAACGCTTTTTTTGTGGAATCTCCAAGTGGATATTTGGCTAGTTTTGAGGATTTCGTTGGAAGCGGGAATTCATACAAATTGCAGACTGCAGCGTTCTGAGAAACATCTTTGTGATGTTTGTATTCAGGACACAGAGTTGAACATTCCCTATCATAGAGCAGGTTTGAATCACTCCTTTTGTAGTATCTGGAAGTGGACATTTGGAGCGCTTTCAGGCCTATGTTGGAAAAGGAAATATCTTCCCATAACAACTAGACAGAAGCATTCCCAGAAACTTATTGGAGATGTGTGTACTCAACTATGAGAATTGAACCACCGTTTTGAAGGAGCAGTTTGGAAACACTCTTTTTCTGGAATCTGCAAGTGGATATTTGGCTAGCTTTGGGGATTTCGCTGGAAGCGGGAATACATATAAAAAGCACACAGCAGCGTTCTGAGAAACTGCTTTCTGATGTTTGCATTCAAATCAAAAGTTGAACACTTCCTTTCATAGAGCAGTCTTGAAACACCCCTTTTGTAGTATCTGGAACTGGAAATTTGGAGCGCTTTCAGGGCTAAGGTGAAAAAGGAAATATCTTCCCATAAAAACTGGACAGAAGCATTCTCAGAAACTTGTTTATGCTGTATCTACTCAACTAACAAAGTTGAACCTTTCTTTTGATAGAGCAGTTTTGAAATGCTCTTTTTGTGGAATCTGCAAGTGGATATTTGGCTAGTTTTGAGGATTTCGTTGGAAGCGGGAATTCATACAAATTGCAGACTGCAGCGTTCTGAGAAACATCTTTGTGATGTTTGTATTCAGGACACAGAGTTGAACATTCCCTATCATAGAGCAGGTTGGAATCACTCCTTTTGTAGTATCTGGAAGTGGACATTTGGAGCGCTTTCAGGCCTATTTTGGAAAGGGAAATATCTTCCCGTAACAACTATGCAGAAGCATTCTCAGAAACTTGTTTGTGATGTGTGCCCTCTACTGACAGAGTTGAACCTTTCTTTTCATAGAGCAGTTTTGAAACACTCTTTTTGTAGAATCTGCAAGAGGATATTTGCATAGCTTTGAGGATTTCGTGGGAAACGGGATTGTCTTCAGGTAAAATCTAGACAGAAGCATTCTCAGAAACTTCTTTGGGATGTTTGCATTCAAGTCACAGAGTAGAACATTCCCTTTGGTAGAGCAGGTTTGAAACACTCTTTTTGTAGTATCTGGAAGTGGACATTTGGAGCGCTTTCAGGCCCATGTTGGAAAGGGAAATATCTTCCCGTAACAACTAGGCAGAAGCATTCTCAGAAACTTATTTGAGATGTGTGTACTCAACTAAGAGAATTGAACCACCGTTTTGAAGGAGCAGTTTTGAAACACTCTTTTTCTGGAATCTGCAAGAGTATATTTGCCTAGCCTTGAGGATTTCGTTGGAAACGGGATTGTCTTCAGAGAAAATCTAGACAGAAACATTCTCAGAAACTTCTTTGGGATGCTTGCATTCCAGTCACAGAGTAGAACATTCCCTTTGGTAGAGCAGGTTTGAAACACTCTTTTTGTAGTATCTGGAAGTGGACATTTGGAGCGCTTTCAGGCCTACGTTGGAAAAGGAAATATCTTCCCATAACAACTAGACAGAAGCATTCTCAGAAACTAGTTTCTGATGTGTGTCCTCAACTAACACAGTTGAACATTTCTTTAGACAGAACAGTTTTGAAACACTCTTTTTGTGGAATCTGCAAGTGGCTATTTGGCTAGATTTGAGGATTTCGTTGGAAACGGGATTACATATAAAAAGCAGTCAGCAGCATTCTCAGAAAGTTCTTTGTGATGATTGCATTCAAGTCACAGAATTGAACATTCCCTTTCACAGAGCAGGTTTGAAACACTCTTTTTGTAGTGTGTGTAAGTGGACATTTGGAGCACTTACCGGCCTAAGGTGAAAAAGGAAATATCTTCCCATAAAAACTAGACAGAAGCATTCTCAGAAACTTACTCGTGATGTGTGTCCTCAACTAAAGGAGTAGAACCTTTCTTTTCATAGAGAAGTTTTGAAACGCTCTTTTTGTGGAATCTGCAAGTGGATATTTGGCTAGTTTTGAGGATTTCGTTGGAAGCGGGAATTCATACAAATTGCAGACTGCAGCGTTCTGAGAAACATCTTTGTGATGTTTGTATTCAGGACACAGAGTTGAACATTCCCTATCATAGAGCAGGTTGGAATCACTCCTTTTGTAGTATCTGGAAGTGGACATTTGGAGCGCTTTCAGGTCTATTTTGGAAAGGGAAATATCTTCCCGTAACAACTATGCAGAAGCATTCTCAGAAACTTATTTGAGATGTGTGTACTCAACTAAGAGAATTGAACCACCGTTTTGAAGGAGCAGTTTTGAAACTCTCTTTTTCTGGAATCTGCAAGTGGATATTTGGCTAGCTTTGGGGATTTCGCTGGAAGCGGGAATACATATAAAAAGCACACAGCAGCGTTCTGAGAAACTGCTTTCTGATGTTTGCATTCAAGTCAAAAGTTGAACACTCCCTTTCATAGAGCAGTCTTGAAACACCCCTTTTGTAGTATCTGGAACTGGACTTTTGGAGCGATTTCAGGGCTAAGGTGAAAAAGGAAATATCTTCCCATAAAAACTGGACAGAAGCATTCTCAGAAACTTGTTTATGCTGTATCTACTCAACTAACAAAGTTGAACCTTTCTTTTGATAGAGCAGTTTTGAAATGGTCTTTTTGTGGAATCTGCAAGTGGATATTTGGCTAGTTTTGAGGATTTCGTTGGAAGCGGGAATTCATACAAATTGCAGACTGCAGCGTTCTGAGAAACATCTTTGTGATGTTTGTATTCAGGACACAGAGTTGAACATTCCCTATCATAGAGCAGGTTGGAATCACTCCTTTTGTAGTATCTGGAAGTGGACATTTGGAGCGCTTTCAGGCCTATTTTGGAAAGGGAAATATCTTCCCGTAACAACTATGCAGAAGCATTCTCAGAAACTTGTTTGTGATGTGTGCCCTCTACTGACAGAGTTGAACCTTTCTTTTCATAGAGCAGTTTTGAAACACTCTTTTTGTAGAATCTGCAAGAGGATATTTGCATAGCTTTGAGGATTTCGTGGGAAACGGGATTGTCTTCAGGTAAAATCTAGACAGAAGCATTCTCAGAAACTTCTTTGGGATGTTTGCATTCAAGTCACAGAGTAGAACATTCCCTTTGGTAGAGCAGGTTTGAAACACTCTTTTTGTAGTATCTGGAAGTGGACATTTGGAGCGCTTTCAGGCCCATGTTGGAAAGGGAAATATCTTCCCGTAACAACTAGGCAGAAGCATTCTCAGAAACTTATTTGAGATGTGTGTACTCAACTAAGAGAATTGAACCACCGTTTTGAAGGAGCAGTTTTGAAACACTCTTTTTCTGGAATCTGCAAGAGTATATTTGCCTAGCCTTGAGGATTTCGTTGGAAACGGGATTGTCTTCAGAGAAAATCTAGACAGAAGCATTCTCAGAAACTTCTTTGGGATGTTTGCATTCAAGTCACAGAGTAGAACATTCCCTTTGGTAGAGCAGGTTTGAAACACTCTTTTTGTAGTATCTGGAAGTGGACATTTGGAGCGCTTTCAGGCCTACGTTGGAAAAGGAAATATCTTCCCATAACAACTAGACAGAAGCATTCTCAGAAACTAGTTTCTGATGTGTGTCCTCAACTAACACAGTTGAACATTTCTTTAGACAGAACAGTTTTGAAACACTCTTTTTGTGGAATCTGCAAGTGGCTATTTGGTTAGATTTGAGGATTTCGTTGGAAACGGGATTACATATAAAAAGCAGTCAGCAGCATTCTCAGAAAGTTCTTTGTGATGATTGCATTCAAGTCACAGAATTGAACATTCCCTTTCACAGAGCAGGTTTGAAACACTCTTTTTGTAGTGTGTGTAAGTGGACATTTGGAGCACTTACCGGCCTAAGGTGAAAAAGGAAATATCTTCCCATAAAAACTAGACAGAAGCATTCTCAGAAACTTACTCGTGATGTGTGTCCTCAACTAAAGGAGTAGAACCTTTCTTTTCATAGAGAAGTTTTGAAACGCTCTTTTTGTGGAATCTGCAAGTGGATATTTGGCTAGTTTTGAGGATTTCGTTGGAAGCGGGAATTCATACAAATTGCAGACTGCAGCGTTCTGAGAAACATCTTTGTGATGTTTGTATTCAGGACACAGAGTTGAACATTCCCTATCATAGAGCAGGTTGGAATCACTCCTTTTGTAGTATCTGGAAGTGGACATTTGGAGCGCTTTCAGGCCTATGTTGGAAAAGGAAATATCTTCCCATAACAACTAGACAGAAGCATTCTCAGAAACTTATTTGAGATGTGTGTACTCAACTAAGAGAATTGAACCACCGTTTTGAAGGAGCAGTTTTGAAACACTCTTTTTCTGGAATCTGCAAGTGGATATTTGGCTAGCTTTGGGGATTTCGCTGGAAGCGGGAATACATATAAAAAGCACACAGCAGCGTTCTGAGAAACTGCTTTCTGATGTTTGCATTCAAGTCAAAAGTTGAACACTCCCTTTCATAGTGCAGTCCTGAAACACTCCTTTTGTAGTATCTGGAACTGGACTTTTGGAGCGCTTTCAGGGCTAAGGTGAAAAAGGAAATATCTTCCCATAAAAACTGGACAGAAGCATTCTCAGAAACTTGTTTATGCTGTATCTACTCAACTAACAAAGTTGAACCTTTCTTTTGATAGAGCAGTTTTGAAATGCTCTTTTTGTGGAATCTGCAAGTGGATATTTGGCTAGTTTTGAGGATTTCGTTGGAAGCGGGGAATTCATACAAATTGCAGACTGCAGCATTCTCAGAAACTTATTTGAGATGTGTGTACTCAACTAAGAGAATTGAACCACCGTTTTGAAGGAGCAGTTTTGAAACTCTCTTTTTCTGGAATCTGCAAGTGGATATTTGGCTAGCTTTGGGGATTTCGCTGGAAGCGGGAATACATATAAAAAGCACACAGCAGCGTTCTGAGAAACTGCTTTCTGATGTTTGCATTCAAGTCAAAAGTTGAACACTCCCTTTCATAGAGCAGTCTTGAAACACCCCTTTTGTAGTATCTGGAACTGGACTTTTGGAGCGATTTCAGGGCTAAGGTGAAAAAGGAAATATCTTCCCATAAAAACTGGACAGAAGCATTCTCAGAAACTTGTTTATGCTGTATCTACTCAACTAACAAAGTTGAACCTTTCTTTTGATAGAGCAGTTTTGAAATGGTCTTTTTGTGGAATCTGCAAGTGGATATTTGGCTAGTTTTGAGGATTTCGTTGGAAGCGGGAATTCATACAAATTGCAGACTGCAGCGTTCTGAGAAACATCTTTGTGATGTTTGTATTCAGGACACAGAGTTGAACATTCCCTATCATAGAGCAGGTTGGAATCACTCCTTTTGTAGTATCTGGAAGTGGACATTTGGAGCGCTTTCAGGCCTATTTTGGAAAGGGAAATATCTTCCCGTAACAACTATGCAGAAGCATTCTCAGAAACTTGTTTGTGATGTGTGCCCTCTACTGACAGAGTTGAACCTTTCTTTTCATAGAGCAGTTTTGAAACACTCTTTTTGTAGAATCTGCAAGAGGATATTTGCATAGCTTTGAGGATTTCGTGGGAAACGGGATTGTCTTCAGGTAAAATCTAGACAGAAGCATTCTCAGAAACTTCTTTGGGATGTTTGCATTCAAGTCACAGAGTAGAACATTCCCTTTGGTAGAGCAGGTTTGAAACACTCTTTTTGTAGTATCTGGAAGTGGACATTTGGAGCGCTTTCAGGCCCATGTTGGAAAGGGAAATATCTTCCCGTAACAACTAGGCAGAAGCATTCTCAGAAACTTATTTGAGATGTGTGTACTCAACTAAGAGAATTGAACCACCGTTTTGAAGGAGCAGTTTTGAAACACTCTTTTTCTGGAATCTGCAAGAGTATATTTGCCTAGCCTTGAGGATTTCGTTGGAAACGGGATTGTCTTCAGAGAAAATCTAGACAGAAGCATTCTCAGAAACTTCTTTGGGATGTTTGCATTCAAGTCACAGAGTAGAACATTCCCTTTGGTAGAGCAGGTTTGAAACACTCTTTTTTTAGTATCTGGAAGTGGACATTTGGAGCGCTTTCAGGCCTACGTTGGAAAAGGAAATATCTTCCCATAACAACTAGACAGAAGCATTCTCAGAAACTAGTTTCTGATGTGTGTCCTCAACTAACACAGTTGAACATTTCTTTAGACAGAACAGTTTTGAAACACTCTTTTTGTGGAATCTGCAAGTGGCTATTTGGCTAGATTTGAGGATTTCGTTGGAAACGGGATTACATATAAAAAGCAGTCAGCAGCATTCTCAGAAAGTTCTTTGTGATGATTGCATTCAAGTCACAGAATTGAACATTCCCTTTCACAGAGCAGGTTTGAAACACTCTTTTTGTAGTGTGTGTAAGTGGACATTTGGAGCACTTACCCGCCTAAGGTGAAAAAGGAAATATCTTCCCATAAAAACTAGACAGAAGCATTCTCAGAAACTTACTCGTGATGTGTGTCCTCAACTAAAGGAGTAGAACCTTTCTTTTCATAGAGAAGTTTTGAAACGCTCTTTTTGTGGAATCTGCAAGTGGATATTTGGCTAGTTTTGAGGATTTCGTTGGAAGCGGGAATTCATACAAATTGCAGACTGCAGCGTTCTGAGAAACATCTTTGTGATGTTTGTATTCAGGACACAGAGTTGAACATTCCCTCTCATATAGCAGGTTTGAATAACTCCTTTTGTAGTATCTGGAAGTGGACATTTGGAGCGCTTTCCGGCCTCAGGTGAAAAAGGAAATATCTTCCCATAAAAACTAGACAGAAGCATTCTCAGAAACTTATTTGAGATGTGTGTACTCAACTAAGAGAATTGAACCACCGTTTTGAAGGAGCAGTTTTGAAACACTCTTTTTCTGGAATCTGCAAGTGGATATTTGGCTAGCTTTGGGGATTTCGCTGGAAGCGGGAATACATATAAAAAGCACACAGCAGCGTTCTGAGAAACTGCTTTCTGATGTTTGCATTCAAGTCAAAAGTTGAACACTCCCTTTCATAGAGCAGTCTTGAAACACTCCTTTTGTAGTATCTGGAACTGGACTTTTGGAGCGATTTCAGGGCTAAGGTGAAAAAGGAAATATCTTCCCATAAAAACTGGACAGAAGCATTCTCAGAAACTTGTTTATGCTGTATCTACTCAACTAACAAAGTTGAACCTTTCTTTTGAAAGAGCAGTTTTGAAATGCTCTTTTTGTGGAATCTGCAAGTGGATATTTGGCTAGGTTAGAGGATTTCGTTGGAAGCGGGAATTCATACAAATTGCAGACTGCAGCGTTCTGAGAAGCATCTTTGTGATGTTTGTATTCAAGACACAGAGATGAACATTCCCTATCATAGAGCATGTTGGAATCACTCCTTTTGTAGTATCTGGAAGTGGACATTTGGAGCGCTTTCAGGCCTATGTTGAAAAAGGAAATATCGTCCCATACCAACTAGACACAAGCATTCTCAGAAACTTGTTTGTGATGTGTGCCCTCTACTGACAGAGTTGAACCTTTCTTTTCATAGAGCAGTTTTGAAACACTCTTTTTGTAGAATCTGCAAGAGGATATTTGCATAGCTTTGAGGATTTCGTGGGAAACGGGATTGTCTTCAGGTAAAATCTAGACAGAAGCATTCTCAGAAACTTCTTTGGGATGTTTGCATTCAAGTCACAGAGTAGAACATTCCCTTTGGTAGAGCAGGTTTGAAACACTCTTTTTGTAGTATCTGGAAGTGGACATTTGGAGCGCTTTCAGGCCCATGTTGGAAAGGGAAATATCTTCCCGTAACAACTAGGCAGAAGCATTCTCAGAAACTTATTTGAGATGTGTGTACTCAACTAAGAGAATTGAACCACCGTTTTGAAGGAGCAGTTTTGAAACACTCTTTTTCTGGAATCTGCAAGAGTATATTTGCCTAGCCTTGAGGATTTCGTTGGAAACGGGATTGTCTTCAGAGAAAATCTAGACAGAAGCATTCTCAGAAACTTCTTTGGGATGTTTGCATTCAAGTCACAGAGTAGAACATTCCCTTTGGTAGAGCAGGTTTGAAACACTCTTTTTTTAGTATATGGAAGTGGACATTTGGAGCGCTTTCAGGCCTACGTTGGAAAAGGGAATATCTTCCCATAACAACTAGACAGAAGCATTCTCAGAAACTAGTTTCTGATGTGTGTCCTCAACTAACACAGTTGAACATTTCTTTAGACAGAACAGTTTTGAAACACTCTTTTTGTGGAATCTGCAAGTGGCTATTTGGCTAGATTTGAGGATTTCGTTGGAAACGGGATTACATATAAAAAGCAGTCAGCAGCATTCTCAGAAAGTTCTTTGTGATGATTGCATTCAAGTCACAGAATTGAACATTCCCTTTCACAGAGCAGGTTTGAAACACTCTTTTTGTAGTGTGTGTAAGTGGACATTTGGAGCACTTACCGGCCTAAGGTGAAAAAGGAAATAATCTTCCCATAAAAACTAGACAGAAGCATTCTCAGAAACTTACTCGTGATGTGTGTCCTCAACTAAAGGAGTAGAACCTTTCTTTTCATAGAGAAGTTTTGAAACGCTCTTTTTGTGGAATCTGCAAGTGGATATTTGGCTAGTTTTGAGGATTTCGTTGGAAGCGGGAATTCATACAAATTGCAGACTGCAGCGTTCTGAGAAACATCTTTGTGATGTTTGTATTCAGGACACAGAGTTGAACATTCCCTATCATAGAGCAGGTTTGAATCACTCCTTTTGTAGTATCTGGAAGTGGACATTTGGAGCGCTTTCAGGCCTATGTTGGAAAAGGAAATATCTTCCCATAACAACTAGACAGAAGCATTCTCAGAAACTTATTTGAGATGTGTGTACTCAACTAAGAGAATTGAACCACCGTTTTGAAGGAGCAGTTTTGAAACTCTCTTTTTCTGGAATCTGCAAGTGGATATTTGGCTAGCTTTGGGGATTTCGCTGGAAGCGGGAATACATATAAAAAGCACACAGCAGCGTTCTGAGAAACTGCTTTCTGATGTTTGCATTCAAGTCAAAAGTTGAACACTCCCTTTCATAGAGCAGTCTTGAAACACCCCTTTTGTAGTATCTGGAACTGGACTTTTGGAGCGATTTCAGGGCTAAGGTGAAAAAGGAAATATCTTCCCATAAAAACTGGACAGAAGCATTCTCAGAAACTTGGTTATGCTGTATCTACTCAACTAACAAAGTTGAACCTTTCTTTTGATAGAGCAGTTTTGAAATGGTCTTTTTGTGGAATCTGCAAGTGGATATTTGGCTAGTTTTGAGGATTTCGTTGGAAGCGGGAATTCATACAAATTGCAGACTGCAGCGTTCTGAGAAACATCTTTGTGATGTTTGTATTCAGGACACAGAGTTGAACATTCCCTATCATAGAGCAGGTTGGAATCACTCCTTTTGTAGTATCTGGAAGTGGACATTTGGAGCGCTTTCAGGCCTATGTTGGAAAAGGAATTATCTTCCCATAACAACTAGACAGAAGCATTCTCAGAAACTTATTTGAGATGTGTGTACTCAACTAAGAGAATTGAACCACCGTTTTGAAGGAGCAGTTTTGAAACTCTCTTTTTCTGGAATCTGCAAGTGGATATTTGGCTAGCTTTGGGGATTTCGCTGGAAGCGGGAATACATATAAAAAGCACACAGCAGCGTTCTGAGAAACTGCTTTCTGATGTTTGCATTCAAGTCAAAAGTTGAACACTCCCTTTCATAGAGCAGTCTTGAAACACCCCTTTTGTAGTATCTGGAACTGGACTTTTGGAGCGATTTCAGGGCTAAGGTGAAAAAGGAAATATCTTCCCATAAAAACTGGACAGAAGCATTCTCAGAAACTTGTTTATGCTGTATCTACTCAACTAACAAAGTTGAACCTTTCTTTTGATAGAGCAGTTTTGAAATGGTCTTTTTGTGGAATCTGCAAGTGGATATTTGGCTAGTTTTGAGGATTTCGTTGGAAGCGGGAATTCATACAAATTGCAGACTGCAGCGTTCTGAGAAACATCTTTGTGATGTTTGTATTCAGGACACAGAGTTGAACATTCCCTATCATAGAGCAGGTTGGAATCACTCCTTTTGTAGTATCTGGAAGTGGACATTTGGAGCGCTTTCAGGCCTATTTTGGAAAGGGAAATATCTTCCCGTAACAACTATGCAGAAGCATTCTCAGAAACTTGTTTGTGATGTGTGCCCTCTACTGACAGAGTTGAACCTTTCTTTTCATAGAGCAGTTTTGAAACACTCTTTTTGTAGAATCTGCAAGAGGATATTTGCATAGCTTTGAGGATTTCGTGGGAAACGGGATTGTCTTCAGGTAAAATCTAGACAGAAGCATTCTCAGAAACTTCTTTGGGATGTTTGCATTCAAGTCACAGAGTAGAACATTCCCTTTGGTAGAGCAGGTTTGAAACACTCTTTTTGTAGTATCTGGAAGTGGACATTTGGAGCGCTTTCAGGCCCATGTTGGAAAGGGAAATATCTTCCCGTAACAACTAGGCAGAAGCATTCTCAGAAACTTATTTGAGATGTGTGTACTCAACTAAGAGAATTGAACCACCGTTTTGAAGGAGCAGTTTTGAAACACTCTTTTTCTGGAATCTGCAAGAGGATATTTGCCTAGCCTTGAGGATTTCGTTGGAAACGGGATTGTCTTCAGAGAAAATCTAGACAGAAGCATTCTCAGAAACTTCTTTGGGATGCTTGCATTCAAGTCACAGAGTAGAACATTCCCTTTGGTAGAGCAGGTTTGAAACACTCTTTTTGTAGTATCTGGAAGTGGACATTTGGAGCGCTTTCAGGCCTACGTTGGAAAAGGAAATATCTTCCCATAACAACTAGACAGAAGCATTCTCAGAAACTCGTTTCTGATGTGTGTCCTCAACTAACACAGTTGAACATTTCTTTAGACAGAACAGTTTTGAAACACTCTTTTTGTGGAATCTGCAAGTGGCTATTTGGCTAGATTTGAGGATTTCGTTGGAAACGGGATTACATATAAAAAGCAGTCAGCGGCATTCTCAGAAAGTTCTTTGTGATGATTGCATTCAAGTCACAGAATTGAACATTCCCTTTCACAGAGCAGGTTTGAAACACTCTTTTTGTAGTGTGTGTAAGTGGACATTTGGAGCACTTACCGGCCTAAGGTGAAAAAGGAAATATCTTCCCATAAAAACTAGACAGAAGCATTCTCAGAAACTTACTCGTGATGTGTGTCCTCAACTAAAGGAGTAGAACCTTTCTTTTCATAGAGAAGTTTTGAAACGCTCTTTTTGTGGAATCTGCAAGTGGATATTTGGCTAGTTTTGAGGATTTCGTTGGAAGCGGGAATTCATACAAATTGCAGACTGCAGCGTTCTGAGAAACATCTTTGTGATGTTTGTATTCAGGACACAGAGTTGAACATTCCCTATCATAGAGCAGGTTTGAATCACTCCTTTTGTAGTATCTGGAAGTGGACATTTGGAGCGCTTTCAGGCCTATGTTGGAAAAGGAAATATCTTCCCATAACAACTAGACAGAAGCATTCTCAGAAACTTATTTGAGATGTGTGTACTCAACTAAGAGAATTGAACCACCGTTTTGAAGGAGCAGTTTTGAAACACTCTTTTTCTGGAATCTGCAAGTGGATATTTGGCTAGCTTTGGGGATTTCGCTGGAAGCGGGAATACATATAAAAAGCACACAGCAGCGTTCTGAGAAACTGCTTTCTGATGTTTGCATTCAAGTCAAAAGTTGAACACTCCCTTTCATAGAGCAGTCTTGAAACACCCCTTTTGTAGTATCTGGAACTGGACTTTTGGAGCGATTTCAGGGCTAAGGTGAAAAAGGAAATATCTTCCCATAAAAACTGGACAGAAGCATTCTCAGAAACTTGTTTATGCTGTATCTACTCAACTAACAAAGTTGAACCTTTCTTTTGATAGAGCAGTTTTGAAATGGTCTTTTTGTGGAATCTGCAAGTGGATATTTGGCTAGTTTTGAGGATTTCGTTGGAAGCGGGAATTCATACAAATTGCAGACTGCAGCGTTCTGAGAAACATCTTTGTGATGTTTGTATTCAGGACACAGAGTTGAACATTCCCTATCATAGAGCAGGTTGGAATCACTCCTTTTGTAGTATCTGGAAGTGGACATTTGGAGCGCTTTCAGGCCTATTTTGGAAAGGGAAATATCTTCCCGTAACAACTATGCAGAAGCATTCTCAGAAACTTGTTTGTGATGTGTGCCCTCTACTGACAGAGTTGAACCTTTCTTTTCATAGAGCGGTTTTGAAACACTCTTTTTGTAGAATCTGCAAGAGGATATTTGCATAGCTTTGAGGATTTCGTGGGAAACGGGATTGTCTTCAGGTAAAATCTAGACAGAAGCGTTCTGAGAAACATCTTTGTGATGTTTGTATTCAGGACACAGAGTTGAACATTCCCTATCATAGAGCAGGTTTGAATCACTCCTTTTGTAGTATCTGGAAGTGGACATTTGGAGCGCTTTCAGGCCTATGTTGGAAAAGGAAATATCTTCCCATAACAACTAGGCAGAAGCATTCTCAGAAACTTATTTGAGATGTGTGTACTCAACTAAGAGAATTGAACCACCGTTTTGAAGGAGCAGTTTTGAAACACTCTTTTTCTGGAATCTGCAAGAGTATATTTGCCTAGCCTTGAGGATTTCGTTGGAAACGGGATTGTCTTCAGAGAAAATCTAGACAGAAGCATTCTCAGAAACTTCTTTGGGATGTTTGCATTCAAGTCACAGAGTAGAACATTCCCTTTGGTAGAGCAGGTTTGAAACACTCTTTTTTTAGTATATGGAAGTGGACATTTGGAGCGCTTTCAGGCCTACGTTGGAAAAGGAAATATCTTCCCATAACAACTAGACAGAAGCATTCTCAGAAACTAGTTTCTGCTGTGTGTCCTCAACTAACACAGTTGAACATTTCTATAGACAGAACAGTTTTGAAACACTCTTTTTGTGGAATCTGCAAGTGGCTATTTGGCTAGATTTGAGGATTTCGTTGGAAACGGGATTACATATAAAAAGCAGTCAGCAGCATTCTCAGAAAGTTCTTTGTGATGATTGCATTCAAGTCACAGAATTGAACATTCCCTTTCACAGAGCAGGTTTGAAACACTCTTTTTGTAGTGTGTGTAAGTGGACATTTGGAACCCTTACCGGCCTAAGGTGAAAAAGGAAATATCTTCCCATAAAAACTAGACAGAAGCATTCTCAGAAACTTACTCGTGATGTGTGTCCTCAACTAAAGGAGTAGAACCTTTCTTTTCATAGAGAAGTTTTGAAACGCTCTTTTTGTGGAATCTGCAAGTGGATATTTGGCTAGTTTGGAGGATTTCGTTGGAAGCGGGAATTCATACAAATTGCAGACTGCAGCGTTCTGAGAAACATCTTTGTGATGTTTGTATTCAAGACACAGAGATGAACATTCCCTCTCATAGAGCATGTTGGAATCACTCCTTTTGTAGTATCTGGAAGTGGACATTTGGAGCGCTTTCAGGCCTATGTTGAAAAAGGAAATATCTTCCCATAACAACTAGAAACAAGCATTCTCAGAAACTTGTTTGTGATGTGTGCCCTCTACTGACAGAGTTGAACCTTTCTTTTCATAGAGCAGTTTTGAAACACTCTTTTTGTAGAATCCGCAAGAGGATATTTGCATAGCTTTGAGGATTTCGTGGAAAACGGGATTGTCTTCAGGTAAAATCTAGACAGAAGCATTCTCAGAAACTCCTTTGGGATGTTTGCATTCAAGTCACAGAGTAGAACATTCCCTTTGGTAGAGCAGGTTTGAAACACTCTTTTTGTAGTATCTGGAAGTGGACATTTGGAGCGCTTTCAGGCCTATGTTGGAAAGGGAAATATCTTCCCGTAACAACTAGGCAGAAGCATTCTCAGAAACTTATTTGAGATGTGTGTACTCAACTAAGAGAATTGAACCACCGTTTTGAAGGCGCAGTTTTGAAACACTCTTTTTCTGGAATCTGCAAGAGTATATTTGCCTAGCCTTGACGATTTCGTTGGAAACGTGGTTGTCTTCAGATAAAATCTAGACAGAAGCATTCTCAGAAACTTCTTTGGGATGTTTGCATTCAAGTCACAGAGTAGAACATTCCCTTTGGTAGAGCAGGTTTGAAACACTCTTTTTTTAGTATATGGAAGTGGACATTTTGATCGCTTTCAGGCCTACGTTGGAAAAGGAAATATCTTCCCATAACGACTAGACAGAAGCATTCTCAGAAACTAGTTTCTGATGTGTGTCCTCAACTAACACAGTTGAACATTTCCTTAGACAGAACAGTTTTGAAACACTCTTTTTGTGGAATCTGCAAGTGGCTATTTGGCTAGATTTGAGGATTTCTTTGGAAACGGGATTACATATAAAAAGCAGTCAGCAGCATTCTCAGAAAGTTCTTTGTGATGATTGCATTCAAGTCACAGAATTGAACATTCCCTTTCACAGAGCAGGTTTGAAACACTCTTTTTGTAGTGTGTGTAAGTGGACATTTGGAGCGCTTTCCGGCCTAAGGTGAAAAAGGAAATATCTTCCTATAGAAACTAGAGAGAAGCATTCTCAGAAACTTACTCGTGATGTGTGTCCTCAACTAAAGGAGTAGAACGTTTCTATTCATAGAGAAGTTTTGAAACGCTCTTTTTGTGGAATCTCCAAGTGGATATTTGGCTAGTTTTGAGGATTTCGTTGGAAGCGGGAATTCATACAAATTGCAGACTGCAGCGTTCTGAGAAACATCGTTGTGATGTTTGTATTCAGGACACAGAGTTGAACATTCCCTATCATAGAGCAGGTTTGAATCACTCCTTTTGTAGTATCTGGAAGTGGACATTTGGAGCGCTTTCAGGCCTATGTTGGAATAGGAAATATCTTCCCATAACAACTAGACAGAAGCATTCTCAGAAACTTATTTGAGATGTGTGTACTCAACTAAGAGAATTGAACCACCGTTTTGAAGGAGCAGTTTTGAAACTCTCTTTTTCTGGAATCTGCAAGTGGATATTTGGCTAGCTTTGGGGATTTCGCTGGAAGCGGGAATACATATAAAAAGCACACAGCAGCGTTCTGAGAAACTGCTTTCTGATGTTTGCATTCAAGTCAAAAGTTGAACACTCCCTTTCATAGAGCAGTCTTGAAACACCCCTTTTGTAGTATCTGGAACTGGACTTTTGGAGCGATTTCAGGGCTAAGGTGAAAAAGGAAATATCTTCCCATAAAAACTGGACAGAAGCATTCTCAGAAACTTGGTTATGCTGTATCTACTCAACTAACAAAGTTGAACCTTTCTTTTGATAGAGCAGTTTTGAAATGGTCTTTTTGTGGAATCTGCAAGTGGATATTTGGCTAGTTTTGAGGATTTCGTTGGAAGCGGGAATTCATACAAATTGCAGACTGCAGCGTTCTGAGAAACATCTTTGTGATGTTTGTATTCAGGACACAGAGTTGAACATTCCCTATCATAGAGCAGGTTGGAATCACTCCTTTTGTAGTATCTGGAAGTGGACATTTGGAGCGCTTTCAGGCCTATTTTGGAAAGGGAAATATCTTCCCGTAACAACTATGCAGAAGCATTCTCAGAAACTTGTTTGTGATGTGTGCCCTCTACTGACAGAGTTGAACCTTTCTTTTCATAGAGCAGTTTTGAAACACTCTTTTTGTAGAATCTGCAAGAGGATATTTGCATAGCTTTGAGGATTTCGTGGGAAACGGGATTGTCTTCAGGTAAAATCTAGACAGAAGCGTTCTCAGAAACTTCTTTGGGATGTTTGCATTCAAGTCACAGAGTAGAACATTCCCTTTGGTAGAGCAGGTTTGAAACACTCTTTTTGTAGTATCTGGAAGTGGACATTTGGAGCGCTTTCAGGCCCATGTTGGAAAGGGAAATATCTTCCCGTAACAACTAGGCAGAAGCATTCTCAGAAACTTATTTGAGATGTGTGTACTCAACTAAGAGAATTGAACCACCGTTTTGAAGGAGCAGTTTTGAAACACTCTTTTTCTGGAATCTGCAAGAGTATATTTGCCTAGCCTTGAGGATTTCGTTGGAAACGGGATTGTCTTCAGATAAAATCTAGACAGAAGCATTCTCAGAAACTTCTTTGGGATGTTTGCATTCAAGTCACAGAGTAGAACATTCCCTTTGGTAGAGCAGGTTTGAAACACTCTTTTTTTAGTATATGGAAGTGGACATTTGGAGCGCTTTCAGGCCTACGTTGGAAAAGGAAATATCTTCCCATAACAACTAGACAGAAGCATTCTCAGAAACTAGTTTCTGATGTGTGTCCTCAACTAACACAGTTGAACTTTTCTTTAGACAGAACAGTTTTGAAACACTCTTTTTGTGGAATCTGCAAGTGGATATTTGGCTAGATTTGAGGATTTCGTTGGAAACGGGATTACATATAAAAAGCAGACAGCAGCATTCTCAGAAAGTTCTTTGTGATGATTGCATTCAAGTCACAGAATTGAACATTCCCTTTCACAGAGCAGGTTTGAAACACTCTTTTTGTAGTGTGTGTAAGTGGACATTTGGAGCGCTTTCCGGCCTAAGGTGAAAAAGGAAATATCTTCCCATAAAAACTAGACAGAAGCATTCTCAGAAACTTACTCGTGATGTGTGTCCTCAACTAAAGGAGTAGAACCTTTCTATTCGTAGAGAAGTTTTGAAATGCTCTTTTTGTGGAATCTCCAAGTGGATATTTGGCTAGTTTTGAGGATTTCGTTGGAAGCGGGAATTCATACAAATTGCAGAGTGCAGCGTTCTGAGAAACATCTTTGTGATGTTTGTATTCAGGACACAGAGAGGAACATTCCCTATCATAGAGCAGGTTGGAATCACTCCTTTTGTAGTATCTGGAAGTGGACATTTGGAGCGCTTTCAGGCCTATGTTGAAAAAGGAAATATCTTCCCATAACAACTAGACACAAGCATTCTCAGAAACTTGTTTGTGATGTGTGCCCTTCTACTGACAGAGTTGAACCTTTCTTTTCATAGAGCAGTTTTGAAACACTCTTTTTGTAGAATCTGCAAGAGGATATTTGCATAGCTTTGAGGATTTCGTGGGAAACGGGATTGTCTTCAGGTAAAATCTAGACAGAAGCATTCTCAGAAACTTCTTTGGGATGTTTGCATTCAAGTCACAGAGTAGAACATTCCCTTTGGTAGAGCAGGTTTGAAACACTCTTTTTGTAGTATCTGGAAGTGGACATTTGGAGCGCTTTCAGGCCCATGTTGGAAAGGGAAATATCTTCCCGTAACAACTAGGCAGAAGCATTCTCAGAAACTTATTTGAGATGTGTGTACTCAACTAAGAGAATTGAACCACCGTTTTGAAGGAGCAGTTTTGAAACACTCTTTTTCTGGAATCTGCAAGAGTATATTTGCCTAGCCTTGAGGATTTCGTTGGAAACGGGATTGTCTTCAGAGAAAATCTAGACAGAAGCATTCTCAGAAACTTCTTTGGGATGTTTGCATTCAAGTCACAGAGTAGAACATTCCCTTTGGTAGAGCAGGTTTGAAACACTCTTTTTGTAGTATCTGGAAGTGGACATTTGGATCGCTTTCAGGCCTACGTTGGAAAAGGAAATATCTTCCCATAACAACTAGACAGAAGCATTCTCAGAAACTAGTTTCTGATGTGTGTCCTCAACTAACACAGTTGAACATTTCTTTAGACAGAACAGTTTTGAAACACTCTTTTTGTGGAATCTGCAAGTGGCTATTTGGCTAGATTTGAGGATTTCGTTGGAAACGGGATTACATATAAAAAGCAGTCAGCAGCATTCTCAGAAAGTTCTTTGTGATGATTGCATTCAAGTCACAGAATTGAACATTCCCTTTCACAGAGCAGGTTTGAAACACTCTTTTTGTAGTGTGTGTAAGTGGACATTTGGAGCACTTACCGGCCTAAGGTGAAAAAGGAAATATCTTCCCATAAAAACTAGACAGAAGCATTCTCAGAAACTTACTCGTGATGTGTGTCCTCAACTAAAGGAGTAGAACCTTTCTTTTCATAGAGAAGTTTTGAAACGCTCTTTTTGTGGAATCTGCAAGTGGATATTTGGCTAGTTTTGAGGATTTCGTTGGAAGCGGGAATTCATACAAATTGCAGACTGCAGCGTTCTGAGAAACATCTTTGTGATGTTTGTATTCAGGACACAGAGTTGAACATTCCCTATCATAGAGCAGGTTTGAATCACTCCTTTTGTAGTATCTGGAAGTGGACATTTGGAGTGCTTTCAGGCCTATGTTGGAAAAGGAAATATCTTCCCATAACAACTAGACAGAAGCATTCTCAGAAACTTATTTGAGATGTGTGTACTCAACTAAGAGAATTGAACCACCGTTTTGAAGGAGCAGTTTTGAAACACTCTTTTTCTGGAATCTGCAAGTGGATATTTGGCTAGCTTTGGGGATTTCGCTGGAAGCGGGAATACATATAAAAAGCACACAGCAGCGTTCTGAGAAACTGCTTTCTGATGTTTGCATTCAAGTCAAAAGTTGAACACTCCCTTTCATAGAGCAGTCTTGAAACACTCCTTTTGTAGTATCTGGAACTGGACTTTTGGAGCGATTTCAGGGCTAAGGTGAAAAAGGAAATATCTTCCCATAAAAACTGGACAGAAGCATTCTCAGAAACTTGTTTATGCTGTATCTACTCAGCTAACAAAGTTGAACTTTCTTTTGATAGAGCAGTTTTGAAATGGTCTTTTTGTGGAATCTGCAAGTGGATATTTGGCTAGTTTTGAGGATTTCGTTGGAAGCGGGAATTCATACAAATTGCAGACTGCAGCGTTCTGAGAAACATCTTTGTGATGTTTGTATTCAGGACAGAGAGTTGAACATTCCCTATCATAGAGCAGGTTGGAATCACTCCTTTTGTAGTATCTGGAAGTGGACATTTGGAGCGCTTTCTGGCCTATGTTGAAAAAGGAAATATCTTCCCATAACAACTAGACACAAGCATTCTCAGAAACTTGTTTGTGATGTGTGCCCTCTACTGACAGAGTTGAACCTTTCTTTTCATAGAGCAGTTTTGAAACACTCTTTTTGTAGAATCTGCAAGAGGATATTTGCATAGCTTTGAGGATTTCGTGGGAAACGGGATTGTCTTCAGGTAAAATCTAGACAGAAGCATTCTCAGAAACTTCTTTGGGATGTTTGCATTCAAGTCACAGAGTAGAACATTCCCTTTGGTAGAGCAGGTTTGAAACACTCTTTTTGTAGTATCTGGAAGTGGACATTTGGAGCACTTTCAGGCCTATGTTGGAAAGGGAAATATCTTCCCGTAACAACTAGGCAGAAGCATTCTCAGAAACTTATTTGAGATGTGTGTACTCAACTAAGAGAATTGAACCACCGTTTTGAAGGAGCAGTTTTGAAACACTCTTTTTCTGGAATCTGCAAGAGGATATTTGCCTAGCCTTGAGGATTTCGTTGGAAACGGGATTGTCTTCAGATCAAATCTAGACAGAAGCATTCTCAGAAACTTCTTTGGGATGTTTGCATTCAAGTCACAGAGTAGAACATTCCCTTTGGTAGAGCAGGTTTGAAACACTCTTTTTTTAGTATATGGAAGTGGACATTTGGAGCGCTTTCAGGCCTACGTTGGAAAAGGAAATATCTTCCCATAACAACTAGACAGAAGCATTCTCAGAAACTAGTTTCTGATGTGTGTCCTCAACTAACACAGTTGAACTTTTCTTTAGACAGGACAGTTTTGAAACACTCTTTTTGTGGAATCTGCAAGTGGATATTTGGCTAGGTTTGAGGATTTCGTTGGAAACGGGATTACATATAAAAAGCAGACAGCAGCATTCTCAGAAAGTTCTTTGTGATGATTGCATTCAAGTCACAGAATTGAACATTCCCTTTCACAGAGCAGGTTTGAAACCCTCTTTTTGTAGTGTGTGTAAGTGGACATTTGGAGCGCTTTCCGGCCTAAGGTGAAAAAGGAAATATCTTCCCATAAAAACTAGACAGAAGCATTCTCAGAAACTTACTCGTGATGTGTGTCCTCAACTAAAGGAGTAGAACATTTCTATTCATAGAGAAGTTTTGAAACGCTCTTTTTGTGGAATCTCCAAGTGGATATTTGGCTAGTTTTGAGGATTTCGTTGGAAGCGGAATTCATACAAATTGCAGACTGCAGCGTTCTGAGAAACTGCTTTCTGATGTTTGCATTCAAGTCAAAAGTTGAACACTCCCTTTCATAGAGCAGTCCTGAAACACTCCTTTTGTAGTATCTGGAACTGGACTTTTGGAGCGCTTTCAGGGCTAAGGTGAAAAAGGAAATATCTTCCCATAAAAACTGGACAGAAGCATTCTCAGAAACTTGTTTATGCTGTATCTACTCAACTAACAAAGTTGAACCTTTCTTTTGATAGAGCAGTTTTGAAATGCTCTTTTTGTGGAATCTGCAAGTGGATATTTGGCTAGTTTGGAGGATTTCGTTGGAAGCGGGAATTCATACAAATTGCAGACTGCAGCGTTCTGAGAAACATCTTTGTGATGTTTGTATGCAGGACAGGGAGTTGAACATTCCCTATCATAGAGCAGGTTGGAATCACTCCTTTTGTAGTATCTGGAAGTGGACATTTGGAGCGCTTTCTGGCCTATGTTGAAAAAGGAAATATCTTCCCATAACAACTAGACACAAGCATTCTCAGAAACTTGTTTGTGATGTGTGCCCTCTACTGACAGAGTTGAACCTTTCTTTTCATAGAGCAGTTTTGAAACACTCTTTTTGTAGAATCTGCAAGAGGATATTTGCATAGCTTTGAGGATTTCGTGGGAAACGGGATTGTCTTCAGGTAAAATCTAGACAGAAGCATTCTCAGAAACTTCTTTGGGATGTTTGCATTCAAGTCACAGAGTAGAACATTCCCTTTGGTAGAGCAGGTTTGAAACACTCTTTTTGTAGTATCTGGAAGTGGACATTTGGAGCGCTTTCAGGCCCATGTTGGAAAGGGAAATATCTTCCCGTAACAACTAGGCAGAAGCATTCTCAGAAACTTATTTGAGATGTGTGTACTCAACTAAGAGAATTGAACCACCGTTTTGAAGGAGCAGTTTTGAAACACTCTTTTTCTGGAATCTGCAAGAGTATATTTGCCTAGCCTTGAGGATTTCGTTGGAAACGGGATTGTCTTCAGAGAAAATCTAGACAGAAGCATTCTCAGAAACTTCTTTGGGATGCTTGCATTCAAGTCACAGAGTAGAACATTCCCTTTGGTAGAGCAGGTTTGAAACACTCTTTTTGTAGTATCTGGAAGTGGACATTTGGAGCGCTTTCAGGCCTACGTTGGAAAAGGAAATATCTTCCCATAACAACTAGACAGAAGCATTCTCAGAAACTAGTTTCTGATGTGTGTCCTCAACTAACACAGTTGAACATTTCTTTAGACAGAACAGTTTTGAAACACTCTTTTTGTGGAATCTGCAAGTGGCTATTTGGCTAGATTTGAGGATTTCGTTGGAAACGGGATTACATATAAAAAGCAGTCAGCGGCATTCTCAGAAAGTTCTTTGTGATGATTGCATTCAAGTCACAGAATTGAACATTCCCTTTCACAGAGCAGGTTTGAAACACTCTTTTTGTAGTGTGTGTAAGTGGACATTTGGAGCACTTACCGGCCTAAGGTGAAAAAGGAAATAATCTTCCCATAAAAACTAGACAGAAGCATTCTCAGAAACTTACTCGTGATGTGTGTCCTCAACTAAAGGAGTAGAACCTTTCTTTTCATAGAGAAGTTTTGAAACGCTCTTTTTGTGGAATCTGCAAGTGGATATTTGGCTAGTTTTGAGGATTTCGTTGGAAGCGGGAATTCATACAAATTGCAGACTGCAGCGTTCTGAGAAACATCTTTGTGATGTTTGTATTCAGGACACAGAGTTGAACATTCCCTATCATAGAGCAGGTTGGAATCACTCCTTTTGTAGTATCTGGAAGTGGACATTTGGAGCGCTTTCAGGCCTATGTTGGAAAAGGAAATATCTTCCCATAACAACTAGACAGAAGCATTCTCAGAAACTTATTTGAGATGTGTGTACTCAACTAAGAGAATTGAACCACCGTTTTGAAGGAGCAGTTTTGAAACTCTCTTTTTCTGGAATCTGCAAGTGGATATTTGGCTAGCTTTGGGGATTTCGCTGGAAGCGGGAATACATATAAAAAGCACACAGCAGCGTTCTGAGAAACTGCTTTCTGATGTTTGCATTCAAGTCAAAAGTTGAACACTCCCTTTCATAGAGCAGTCCTGAAACACCCCTTTTGTAGTATCTGGAACTGGACTTTTGGAGCGATTTCAGGGCTAAGGTGAAAAAGGAAATATCTTCCCATAAAAACTGGACAGAAGCATTCTCAGAAACTTGTTTATGCTGTATCTACTCAACTAACAAAGTTGAACCTTTCTTTTGATAGAGCAGTTTTGAAATGGTCTTTTTGTGGAATCTGCAAGTGGATATTTGGCTAGTTTTGAGGATTTCGTTGGAAGCGGGAATTCATACAAATTGCAGACTGCAGCGTTCTGAGAAACATCTTTGTGATGTTTTTATTCAGGACACAGAGTTGAACATTCCCTGTCCTAGAGCAGGTTGGAATCACTCCTTTTGTAGTATCTGGAAGTGGACATTTGGAGCGCTTTCAGGCCTATTTTGGAAAGGGAAATATCTTCCCATAACAACTATGCAGAAGCATTCTCAGAAACTTGTTTGTGATGTGTGCCCTCTACTGACAGAGTTGAACCTTTCTTTTCATAGAGCAGTTTTGAAACACTCTTTTTGTAGAATCTGCAAGAGGATATTTGCATAGCTTTGAGGATTTCGTGGGAAACGGGATTGTCTTCAGGTAAAATCTAGACAGAAGCATTCTCAGAAACTTCTTTGGGATGTTTGCATTCAAGTCACAGAGTAGAACATTCCCTTTGGTAGAGCAGGTTTGAAACACTCTTTTTGTAGTATCTGGAAGTGGACATATGGAGCGCTTTCAGGCTCATGTTGGAAAGGGAAATATCTTCCCTTAACAACTAGGCAGAAGCATTCTCAGAAACTTATTTGAGATGTGTGTACTCAACTAAGAGAATTGAACCACAGTTTTGAAGGAGCAGTTTTGAAACACTCTTTTTCTGGATTCTGCAAGAATATATTTGCCTAGCCTTGAGGATTTCGTTGGAAACTGGATTGTCTTCAGATAAAATCTAGACAGAAGCATTCTCAAAAACTTCTTTGGGATGTTTGCATTCAAGTCACAGAGTAGAACATTCTCTTTGGTAGAGCAGGTTTGAAACACTCTTTTTTTAGTATATGGAAGTGGACATTTGGAGCGCTTTCAGGCCTACGTTGGAAAAGGAAATATCTTCCCATAAGAACTAGACAGAAGCATTCTCAGAAACTAGTTTCTGATGTGTGTCCTCAACTAACACAGTTGAACATTTCTTTAGACAGAACAGTTTTGAAACACTCTTTTTGTGGAATCTGCAAGTGGCTATTTGGCTAGATTTGAGGATTTCGTTGGAAACGGGATTACATATAAAAAGCAGTCAGCAGCATTCTCAGAAAGTTCTTTGTGATGATTGCATTCAAGTCACAGAATTGAACATTCCCTTTCACAGAGCAGGTTTGAAACACTCTTTTTGTAGTGTGTGTAAGTGGACATTTGGAGCACTTACCGGCCTAAGGTGAAAAAGGAAATATCTTCCCATAAAAACTAGACAGAAGCATTCTCAGAAACTTACTCGTGATGTGTGTCCTCAACTAAAGGAGTAGAACCTTTCTTTTCATAGAGAAGTTTTGAAACGCTCTTTTTGTGGAATCTGCAAGTGGATATTTGGCTAGTTTTGAGGATTTCGTTGGAAGCGGGAATTCATACAAATTGCAGACTGCAGCGTTCTGAGAAACATCTTTGTGATGTTTGTATTCAGGACACAGATTTGAACATTCCCTATCATAGAGCAGGTTTGAATCACTCCTTTTGTAGTATCTGGAAGTGGACATTTGGAGCGCTTTCAGGCCTATGTTGGAAAAGGAAATATCTTCCCATAACAACTAGACAGAAGCATTCTCAGAAACTTATTTGAGATGTGTGTACTCAACTAAGAGAATTGAACCACCGTTTTGAAGGAGCAGTTTTGAAACACTCTTTTTCTGGAATCTGCAAGTGGATATTTGGCTAGCTTTGGGGATTTCGCTGGAAGCCGGAATACATATAAAAAGCATACAGCCAGCGTTCTGAGAAACTGCTTTCTGATGTTTGCATTCAAGTCAAAAGTTGAACACTCCCTTTCATAGAGCAGTCTTGAAACACCCCTTTTGTAGTATCTGGAACTGGACTTTTGGAGCGATTTCAGGGCTAAGGTGAAAAAGGAAATATCTTCCCATAAAAACTGGACAGAGCATTCTCAGAAACTTGTTTATGCTGTATCTACTCAACTAACAAAGTTGAACCTTTCTTTTGATAGAGCAGTTTTGAAATGGTCTTTTTGTGGAATCTGCAAGTGGATATTTGGCTAGTTTTGAGGATTTCGTTGGAAGCGGGAATTCATACAAATTGCAGACTGCAGCGTTCTGAGAAACATCTTTGTGATGTTTGTATTCAGGACACAGAGTTGAACATTCCCTATCATAGAGCAGGTTGGAATCACTCCTTTTGTAGTATCTGGAAGTGGACATTTGGAGCGCTTTCAGGCCTATTTTGGAAAGGGAAATATCTTCCCGTAACAACTATGCAGAAGCATTCTCAGAAACTTGTTTGTGATGTGTGCCCTCTACTGACAGAGTTGAACCTTTCTTTTCATAGAGCAGTTTTGAAACACTCTTTTTGTAGAATCTGCAAGAGGATATTTGCATAGCTTTGAGGATTTCGTGGGAAACGGGATTGTCTTCAGGTAAAATCTAGACAGAAGCATTCTCAGAAACTTCTTTGGGATGTTTGCATTCAAGTCACAGAGTAGAACATTCCCTTTGGTAGAGCAGGTTTGAAACACTCTTTTTGTAGTATCTGGAAGTGGACATTTGGAGCGCTTTCAGGCCCATGTTGGAAAGGGAAATATCTTCCCGTAACAACTAGGCAGAAGCATTCTCAGAAACTTATTTGAGATGTGTGTACTCAACTAAGAGAATTGAACCACCGTTTTGAAGGAGCAGTTTTGAAACACTCTTTTTCTGGAATCTGCAAGAGTATATTTGCCTAGCCTTGAGGATTTCGTTGGAAACGGGATTGTCTTCAGAGAAAATCTAGACAGAAGCATTCTCAGAAACTTCTTTGGGATGTTTGCATTCAAGTCACAGAGTAGAACATTCCCTTTGGTAGAGCAGGTTTGAAACACTCTTTTTTTAGTATATGGAAGTGGACATTTGGAGCGCTTTCAGGCCTACGTTGGAAAAGGAAATATCTTCCCATAACAACTAGACAGAAGCATTCTCAGAAACTAGTTTCTGATGTGTGTCCTCAACTAACACAGTTGAACATTTCTTTAGACAGAACAGTTTTGAAACACTCTTTTTGTGGAATCTGCAAGTGGCTATTTGGCTAGATTTGAGGATTTCGTTGGAAACGGGATTACATATAAAAAGCAGTCAGCAGCATTCTCAGAAAGTTCTTTGTGATGATTGCATTCAAGTCACAGCAATTGAACATTCCCTTTCACAGAGCAGGTTTGAAACACTCTTTTTGTAGTGTGTGTAAGTGGACATTTGGAGCACTTACCGGCCTAAGGTGAAAAAGGAAATATCTTCCCATAAAAACTAGACAGAAGCATTCTCAGAAACTTACTCGTGATGTGTGTCCTCAACTAAAGGAGTAGAACCTTTCTTTTCATAGAGAAGTTTTGAAACGCTCTTTTTGTGGAATCTGCAAGTGGATATTTGGCTAGTTTTGAGGATTTCGTTGGAAGCGGGAATTCATACAAATTGCAGACTGCAGCGTTCTGAGAAACATCTTTGTGATGTTTGTATTCAGGACACAGAGTTGAACATTCCCTATCATAGAGCAGGTTTGAATCACTCCTTTTGTAGTATCTGGAAGTGGACATTTGGAGCGCTTTCAGGCCTATGTTGGAAAAGGAAATATCTTCCCATAACAACTAGACAGAAGCATTCTCAGAAACTTATTTGAGATGTGTGTACTCAACTAAGAGAATTGAACCACCGTTTTGAAGGAGCAGTTTTGAAACTCTCTTTTTCTGGAATCTGCAAGTGGATATTTGGCTAGCTTTGGGGATTTCGCTGGAAGCGGGAATACATATAAAAAGCACACAGCAGCGTTCTGAGAAACTGCTTTCTGATGTTTGCATTCAAGTCAAAAGTTGAACACTCCCTTTCATAGAGCAGTCCTGAAACACCCCTTTTGTAGTATCTGGAACTGGACTTTTGGAGCGATTTCAGGGCTAAGGTGAAAAAGGAAATATCTTCCCATAAAAACTGGACAGAAGCATTCTCAGAAACTTGTTTATGCTGTATCTACTCAACTAACAAAGTTGAACCTTTCTTTTGATAGAGCAGTTTTGAAATGGTCTTTTTGTGGAATCTGCAAGTGGATATTTGGCTAGTTTTGAGGATTTCGTTGGAAGCGGGAATTCATACAAATTGCAGACTGCAGCGTTCTGAGAAACATCTTTGTGATGTTTGTATTCAGGACAGAGAGTTGAACATTCCCTATCATAGAGCAGGTTGGAATCACTCCTTTTGTAGTATCTGGAAGTGGACATTTGGAGCGCTTTCAGGCCTATTTTGGAAAGGGAAATATCTTCCCGTAACAACTATGCAGAAGCATTCTCAGAAACTTGTTTGTGATGTGTGCCCTCTACTGACAGAGTTGAACCTTTCTTTTCATAGAGCAGTTTTGAAACACTCTTTTTGTAGAATCTGCAAGAGGATATTTGCATAGCTTTGAGGATTTCGTGGGAAACGGGATTGTCTTCAGGTAAAATCTAGACAGAAGCATTCTCAGAAACTTCTTTGGGATGTTTGCATTCAAGTCACAGAGTAGAACATTCCCTTTGGTAGAGCAGGTTTGAAACACTCTTTTTGTAGTATCTGGAAGTGGACATTTGGAGCGCTTTCAGGCCTATGTTGGAAAGGGAAATATCTTCCCGTAACAACTAGGCAGAAGCATTCTCAGAAACTTATTTGAGATGTGTGTACTCAACTAAGAGAATTGAACCACCGTTTTGAAGGAGCAGTTTTGAAACACTCTTTTTCTGGAATCTGCTAGAGTATATTTGCCTAGCTTTGAGGATTTCGTTGGAAACGGGATTGTCTTCAGCTAAAATCTAGACAGAAGCATTCTCAGAAACTTCTTTTGGATGTTTCTATTCAAGTCACAGAGTAGAACATTCCCTTTGGTAGAGCAGGTTTGAAACACTCTTTTTGTAGTATCTGGAAGTGGACATTTGGAGCGCTTTCAGGCCTATGTTGGAAAGGGAAATATCTTCCCGTAACAACTAGGCAGAAGCATTCTCAGAAACTTATTTGAGATGGGTGTACTCAACTAAGAGAATTGAACCACCCTTTTCAAGGAGCAGTTTTGAAACACTCTTTTTCTGGAATCTGCAAGAGTATATTTGCCTAGCTTTGAGGATTTCGTTGGAAACGGGATTGTCTTCAGATAAAATCTAGACAGAAGCATTCTCAGAAACTTCTTTGGGTGTTTGCATTCAATTCATAGAGTAGAACATTCCCTTTGTTAGAGCAGGTTTGAAACACTCTTTTTTTAGTATATGGAAGTGGACATTTGGAGCGCTTTCAGGCCTACGTTGGAAAAGGAAATATCTTCCCATAACAACTAGACAGAAGCATTCTCAGAACCTAGTTTCTGATGTGTGTCCTCAACTAACACAGTTGAACATTTCTTTAGACAGAACAGTTTTGAAACACTCTTTTTGTGGAATCTGCAAGTGGCTATTTGGCTAGATTTGAGGATTTCTTTGGAAACGGGATTACATATAAAAAGCTGACAGCAGCATTCTCAGAAAGTTCTTTGTGATGATTGCATTCAAGTCACAGAATTGAACATTCCCTTTCACAGAGCAGGTTTGAAACACTCTTTTTGTAGTGTGTGTAAGTGGACATTTGGAGCGCTTTCCGGCCTAAGGTGAAAAAGGACATATCTTCCCATAAAAACTAGACAGAAGCATTCTCAGAAACTTACTCGTGATGTGTGTCCTCAACTAAAGGAGTAGAACCTTTCTATTCATAGAGAAGTTTTGAAACGCTCTTTTTGTGGAATCTCCAAGTGGATATTTGGCTAGTTTTGAGGATTTCGTTGGAAGCGGGAATTCATACAAATTGCAGACTGCAGCGTTCTGAGAAACATCTTTGTGATGTTTGTATTCAGGACAGAGAGATGAACATTCCCTATCATAGAGCATGTTGGAATCACTCCTTTTGTAGTATCTGGAAGTGGACATTTGGAGCGCTTTCAGGCCTATGTTGAAAAAGGAAATATCTTCCCATAACAACTAGACACAAGCATTCTCAGAAACTTGCTTGTGATGTGTGCCCTCTACTGACAGAGTTGAACCTTTCTTTTCATAGAGCAGTTTTGAAACACTCTTTTTGTAGAATCCGCAAGAGGATATTTGCATAGCTTTGAGGATTTCGTGGGAAACGGGATTGTCTTCAGGTAAAATCTAGACAGAAGCATTCTCAGAAACTTCTTTGGGATGTTTGCATTCAAGTCACAGAGTAGAACATTCCCTTTGGTAGAGCAGGTTTGAAACACTCTTTTTGTAGTATCTGGAAGTGGACATTTGGAGCGCTTTCAGGCCCATGTTGGAAAGGGAAATATCTTCCCGTAACAACTAGGCAGAAGCATTCTCAGAAACTTATTTGAGATGTGTGTACTCAACTAAGAGAATTGAACCACCGTTTTGAAGGAGCAGTTTTGAAACACTCTTTTTCTGGAATCTGCAAGAGTATATTTGCCTAGCCTTGAGGATTTCGTTGGAAACGGGATTGTCTTCAGATAAAATCTAGACAGAAGCATTCTCAGAAACTTCTTTGGGATGTTTGCATTCAAGTCACAGAGTAGAACATTCCCTTTGGTAGAGCAGGTTTGAAACACTCTTTTTTTAGTATATGGAAGTGGACATTTGGAGCGCTTTCAGGCCTACGTTGGAAAAGGAAATATCTTCCCATAACAACTAGACAGAAGCATTCTCAGAAACTAGTTTCTGATGTGTGTCCTCAACTAACACAGTTGAACTTTTCTTTAGACAGAACAGTTTTGAAACACTCTTTTTGTGGAATCTGCAAGTGGATATTGGGTTAGATTTGAGGATTTCGTTGGAAAGGGGATTACACATAAAAAGCAGACAGCAGCATTCTCAGAAAGTTCTTTGTGATGATTGCATTCAAGTCACAGAATTGAACATTCCCTTTCACAGAGCAGGTTTGAAACACTCTTTTTGTAGTGTGTGTAAGTGGACATTTGGAGCGCTTTCCGGCCTAAGGTGAAAAAGGACATATCTTCCCATAAAAACTAGACAGAAGCATTCTCAGAAACTTACTCGTGATGTGTGTCCTCAACTAAAGGAGTAGAACCTTTCTTTTCATAGAGAAGTTTTGAAACGCTCTTTTTGTGGAATCTGCAAGTGGATATTTGGCTAGTTTGGAGGATTTCGTTGGAAGCGGGAATTCATACAAATTGCAGACTGCAGCGTTCTGAGAAACATCTTTGTGATGTTTGTATTCAGGACACAGAGTTGAACATTCCCTATCATAGAGCAGGTTGGAATCACTCCTTTTGTAGTATCTGGAAGTGGACATTTGGAGCGCTTTCAGGCCTATGTTGGAAAAGGAAATATCTTCCCATAACAACTAGACAGAAGCATTCTCAGAAACTTATTTGAGATGTGTGTACTCAACTAAGAGAATTGAACCACCGTTTTAAAAGAGCAGTTTTGAAACACTCTTTTTCTGGAATCTGCAAGTGGATATTTGGCTAGCTTTGGGGATTTCGCTGGAAGCGGGAATACCTATAAAGAGCACACAGCAGCGTTCTGAGAATCTGCTTTCTGATGTTTGCATTCAAGTCAAAAGTTGAACACTCACTTTCATAGAGCAGTCTTGAAACACCCCTTTTGTAGTATCTGGAACTGGACATTTGGAGCGCTTTCAGGGCTAAGGTGAAAAAGGAAATATCTTCCCATAAAAACTGGACAGAAGCATTCTCAGAAACTTGTTTATGCTGTATCTACTCAACTAACAAAGTTGAACCTTTCTTTTGATAGAGCAGTTTTGAAATGGTCTTTTTGTGGAATCTGCAAGTGGATATTTGGCTAGTTTTGAGGATTTCGTTGGAAGCGGGAATTCATACAAATTGCAGACTGCAGCGTTCTGAGAAACATCTTTGTGATGTTTGTATTCAGGACACAGAGTTGAACATTCCCTATCATAGAGCAGGTTGGAATCACTCCTTTTGTAGTATCTGGAAGTGGACATTTGGAGCGCTTTCAGGCCTATTTTGGAAAGGGAAATATCTTCCCGTAACAACTATGCAGAAGCATTCTCAGAAACTTGTTTGTGATGTGTGCCCTCTACTGACAGAGTTGAACCTTTCTTTTCATAGAGCAGTTTTGAAACACTCTTTTTGTAGAATCTGCAAGAGGATATTTGCATAGCTTTGAGGATTTCGTGGGAAACGGGATTGTCTTCAGGTAAAATCTAGACAGAAGCATTCTCAGAAACTTCTTTGGGATGTTTGCATTCAAGTCACAGAGTAGAACATTCCCTTTGGTAGAGCAGGTTTGAAACACTCTTTTTGTAGTATCTGGAAGTGGACATTTGGAGCGCTTTCAGGCCCATGTTGGAAAGGGAAATATCTTCCCGTAACAACTAGGCAGAAGCATTCTCAGAAACTTATTTGAGATGTGTGTACTCAACTAAGAGAATTGAACCACCGTTTTGAAGGAGCAGTTTTGAAACACTCTTTTTCTGGAATCTGCAAGAGTATATTTGCCTAGCCTTGAGGATTTCGTTGGAAACGGGATTGTCTTCAGATAAAATCTAGACAGAAGCATTCTCAGAAACTTCTTTGGGATGTTTGCATTCAAGTCACAGAGTAGAACATTCCCTTTGGTAGAGCAGGTTTGAAACACTCTTTTTGTAGTATATGGAAGGACATTTGGAGCGCTTTCAGGCCTACGTTGGAAAAGGAAATCTCTTCCCATAACAACTAGACAGAAGCATTCTCAGAAACTAGTTTCTGATGTGTGTCCTCAACTAACACAGTTGTACATTTCTTTAGACAGAACAGTTTTGAAACACTCTTTTTGTGGAATCTGCAAGTGGCTATTTGGCTAGATTTGAGGATTTCGTTGGAAACGGGATTACATATAAAAAGCAGACAGCAAGCATTCTCAGAAAGTTCTTTGTGATGATTGCATTCAAGTCACAGAATTGAACATTCCCTTTCACAGAGCAGGTTTGAAACACTCTTTTTGTAGTGTGTGTAAGTGGACATTTGGAGCGCTTTCCGGCCTAAGGTGAAAAAGGACATATCTTCCCATAAAAACTAGACAGAAGCATTCTCAGAAACTTACTCGTGATGTGTGTCCTCAACTAAAGGAGTAGAACCTTTCTATTCATAGAGAAGTTTTGAAACGCTCTTTTTGTGGAATCTCCAAGTGGATATTTGGCTAGTTTTGAGGATTTCGTTGGAAGCGGGAATTCATACAAATTGCAGACTGCAGCGTTCTGAGAAACATCTTTGTGATGTTTGTATTCAGGACACAGAGATGAACATTCCCTATCATAGAGCAGGTTGGAATCACTCCTTTTGTAGTATCTGGAAGTGGACATTTGGAGCGCTTTCAGGCCTATGTTGAAAAAGGAAATATCTTCCCATAACAACTAGACACAAGCATTCTCAGAAACTTATTTGAGATGTGTGTACTCAACTAAGAGAATTGAACCACCGTTTTGAAGGAGCAGTTTTGAAACACTCTTTTTCTGGAATCTGCAAGTGGATATTTGGCTAGCTTTGGGGATTTCGCTGGAGGCGGGAATACATATAAAAAGCACACAGCAGCGTTCTGAGAAACTGCTTTCTGATGTTTGCATTCAAGTCAAAAGTTGAACACTCCCTTTCATAGAGCAGTCCTGAAACACTCCTTTTGTAGTATCTGGAACTGGACTTTTGGAGCGCTTTCAGGGCTAAGGTGAAAAAGGAAATATCTTCCCATAAAAACTGGACAGAAGCATTCTCAGAAACTTGTTTATGCTGTATCTACTCAACTAACAAAGTTGAACCTTTCTTTTGATAGAGCAGTTTTGAAATGCTCTTTTTGTGGAATCTGCAAGTGGATATTTGGCTAGTTTTGAGGATTTCGTTGGAAGCGGGAATTCATACAAATTGCAGACTGCAGCGTTCTGAGAAACATCTTTGTGATGTTTGTATTCAGGACACAGAGTTGAACATTCCCTATCATAGAGCAGGTTTGAATCACTCCTTTTGTAGTATCTGGAAGTGGACATTTGGAGCGCTTTCAGGCCTATGTTGGAAAAGGAAATATCTTCCCATAACAACTAGACAGAAGCATTCTCAGAAACTTATTTGAGATGTGTGTACTCAACTAAGAGAATTGAACCACCGTTTTGAAGGAGCAGTTTTGAAACTCTCTTTTTCTGGAATCTGCAAGTGGATATTTGGCTAGCTTTGGGGATTTCGCTGGAAGCGGGAATACATATAAAAAGCACACAGCAGCGTTCTGAGAAACTGCTTTCTGATGTTTGCATTCAAGTCAAAAGTTGAACACTCCCTTTCATAGAGCAGTCCTGAAACACCCCTTTTGTAGTATCTGGAACTGGACTTTTGGAGCGATTTCAGGGCTAAGGTGAAAAAGGAAATATCTTCCCATAAAAACTGGACAGAAGCATTCTCAGAAACTTGTTTATGCTGTATCTACTCAGCTAACAAAGTTGAACCTTTCTTTTGATAGAGCAGTTTTGAAATGCTCTTTTTGTGGAGTCTGCAAGTGGATATTTGGTTAGTTTTGAGGATTGCGTTGGAAGCGGGAATTCATACAAATTGCAGACTGCAGCGTTCTGAGAAACATATTTGTGATGTTTGTATTCAGGACACAGAGTTGAACATTCCCTATCATAGAGCAGGTTTGAATCACTCCTTTTGTAGTATCTGGAAGTGAACATTTGGAGCGCTTTCCGGCCTCAGGTGAAAAAGGAAATATCTTCCCATAAAAACTAGACAGAAGCATTCTCAGAAACTTGTTTGTGATGTGTGCCCTCTACTGACAGAGTTGAACCTTTCTTTTCATAGAGCAGTTTTGAAACACTCTTTTTGTAGAATCTGCAAGAGGATATTTGCATAGCTTTGAGGATTTCGTGGGAAACGGGATTGTCTTCAGGTAAAATCTAGACAGAAGCATTCTCAGAAACTTCTTTGTGATGATTGCATTCAAGTCACAGTATTGAACATTCCCTTTCACAGAGCAGGTTTGAAACACTCTTTGTATAGTGTGTGTAAGTGGACATTTGGAGCACTTTCCGGCCTAAGGTGAAAAAGGAAATATCTTCCCATAAAAACTAGACAGAAGCATTCTCAGAAACTTACTCGTGATGTGTGTCCTCAACTAAAGAAGTAGAACCTTCCTTTTCATAGATAAGTTTCGAAACGCTCTTTTTGTGGAATCTGCAAGTGGATATTTGGCTAGTTTTGAGGATTTCGTTGGAAGCGGGAATTCATACAAATTGCAGACTGCAGCGTTCTGAGAAACATCTTTGTGATGTTTGTATTCAGGACACAGAGTTGAACATTCCCTATCATAGAGCAGGTTGGAATCACTCCTTTGTAGTATCTGGAAGTGGACATTTGGAGCGCTTTCAGGCCTATGTTGAAAAAGGAAATATCTTCCCATAACAACTAGACACAAGCATTCTCAGAAACTTGTTTGTGATGTGTGCCCTCTACTGACAGAGTTGAACCTTTCTTTTCATAGAGCAGTTTTGAAACACTCTTTTTGTAGAATCTGCAAGAGGATATTTGCATAGCTTTGAGGATTTCGTGGGAAACGGGATTGTCTTCAGGTAAAATCTAGACAGAAGCATTCTCAGAAACTTCTTTGGGATGTTTGCATTCAAGTCACAGAGTAGAACATTCCCTTTGGTAGAGCAGGTTTGAAACACTCTTTTTGTAGTATCTGGAAGTGGACATTTGGAGCGCTTTCAGGCCTATGTTGGAAAGGGAAATATCTTCCCGTAACAACTAGGCAGAAGCATTCTCAGAAACTTATTTGAGATGTGTGTCCTCAACTAAGAGAACTGAACCACCGTTTTGAAGGAGCAGTTTTGAAACACTCTTTTTCTGGAATCTGCAAGAGGATATTTGCCTAGCCTTGAGGATTTCGTTGGAAACGGGATTGTCTTCAGATCAAATCTAGACAGAAGCATTCTCAGAAACTTCTTTGGGATGTTTGCATTCAAGTCACAGAGTAGAACATTCCCTTTGGTAGAGCAGGTTTGAAACACTCTTTTTTTAGTATATGGAAGTGGACATTTGGAGCGCTTTCAGGCCTACGTTGGAAAAGGAAATATCTTCCCATAACAACTAGACAGAAGCATTCTCAGAAACTAGTTTCTGATGTGTGTCCTCAACTAACACAGTTGAACATTTCTTTAGACAGAACAGTTTTGAAACACTCTTTTTGTGGAATCTGCAAGTGGCTATTTGGCTAGATTTGAGGATTTCGTTGGAAACGGGATTACATATAAAAAGCAGACAGCAGCATTCTCAGAAAGTTCTTTGTGATGATTGCATTCAAGTCACAGAATTGAACATTCCCTTTCACAGAGCAGGTTTGAAACACTCTTTTTGTAGTGTGTGTAAGTGGACATTTGGAGCACTTTCCGGCCTAAGGTGAAAAAGGAAATATCTTCCCATAAAAACTAGACAGAAGCATTCTCAGAAACTTACTCGTGATGTGTGTCCTCAACTAAAGGAGTAGAACCTTTCTTCTCATAGAGAAGTTTTGAAACGCTCTTTTTGTGGAATCTGCAAGTGGATATTTGGCTAGTTTTGAGGATTTCGTTGGAAGCGGGAATTCATACAAATTGCAGACTGCAGCATTCTCAGAAACTTGTTTATGCTGTATCTACTCAACTAACAAAGTTAAACCTTTCTTTTGATAGAGCAGTTTTGAAATGCTCTTTTTGTGGAATCTGCAAGTGGATATTTGGCTAGTTTTGAGGATTTCGTTGGAAGCGGGAATTCATACAAATTGCAGACTGCAGCGTTCTGAGAAACATCTTTGTGATGTTTGTATTCAGGACACAGAGTTGAACATTCCCTATCATAGAGCAGGTTGGGATCACTCCTTTTGTAGTATCTGGAAGTGGACATTTGGAGCGCTTTCAGGCCTATGTTGAAAAAGGAAATATCTTCCCATAACAACTAGACACAAGCATTCTCAGAAACTTGTTTGTGATGTGTGCCCTCTACTGACAGAGTTGAACCTTTCTTTTCATAGAGCAGTTTTGAAACACTCTTTTTGTAGAATCTGCAAGAGGATATTTGCATAGCTTTGAGGATTTCGTGGGAAACGGGATTGTCTTCAGGTAAAATCTAGACAGAAGCATTCTCAGAAACTTTTTTGGGATGTTTGCATTCAAGTCACAGAGTAGAACATTCCCTTTGGTAGAGCAGGTTTGAAACACTCTTTTTGTAGTATCTGGAAGTGGACATTTGGAGCACTATCAGGCCCATGTTGGAAAGGGAAATATCTTCCCGTAACAACTAGGCAGAAGCATTCTCAGAAACTTCTTTGGGATGTTTGCATTCAAGTCACAGAGTAGAACATTCCCTTTGGTAGAGCAGGTTTGAAACACTCTTTTTTTAGTATATGGAAGTGGACATTTGGAGCGCTTTCAGGCCTACGTTGGAAACGGGATTTTCTTCAGATCAAATCTAGACAGAAGCATTCTCAGAAACTTCTTTGGGATGTTTGCATTCAAGTCACAGAGTAGAACATTCCCTTTGGTAGAGCAGGTTTGAAACACTCTTTTTTTAGTATATGGAAGTGGACATTTGGAGCGCTTTCTGGCCTACGTTGGAAAAGGAAATATCTTCCCATAACAACTAGACAGAAGCATTCTCAGAAACTAGTTTCTGATGTGTGTCCTCAACTAACACAGTTGAACATTTCTTTAGACAGAACAGTTTTGAAACACTCTTTTTGTGGAATCTGCAAGTGGCTATTTGGCTAGATTTGAGGATTTCGTTGGAAACGGGATTACATATAAAAAGCAGACAGCAGCATTCTCAGAAAGTTCTTTGTGATGATTGCATTCAAGTCACAGAATTGAACATTCCCTTTCACAGAGCAGGTTTGAAACACTCTTTTTGTAGTGTGTGTAAGTGGACATTTGGAGCACTTTCCGGCCTAAGGTGAAAAAGGAAATATCTTCCCATAAAAACTAGACAGAAGCATTCTCAGAAACTTACTCGTGATGTGTGTCCTCAACTAAAGGAGTAGAACCTTTCTTTTCATAGAGAAGTTTTGAAACGCTCTTTTTGTGGAATCTGCAAGTGGATATTTGGCTAGTTTTGAGGATTTCGTTGGAAGCGGGAATTCATACAAATTGCAGACTGCAGCGTTCTGAGAAACATCTTTGTGATGTTTGTATTCAGGACAACAGAGTTGAACATTCCCTATCATAGAGCAGGTTTGAATCACTCCTTTTGTAGTATCTGGAAGTGGACATTTGGAGCGCTTTCAGGCCTATGTTGGAAAAGGAAATATCTTCCCATAACAACTAGACAGAAGCATTCTCAGAAACTTATTTGAGATGTGTGTACTCAACTAAGAGAATTGAACCACCGTTTTGAAGGAGCAGTTTTGAAACTCTCTTTTTCTGGAATCTGCAAGTGGATATTTGGCTAGCTTTGGGGATTTCGCTGGAAGCGGGAATACATATAAAAAGCACACAGCAGCGTTCTGAGAAACTGCTTTCTGATGTTTGCATTCAAGTCAAAAGTTGAACACTCCCTTTCATAGGGCAGTCCTGAAACACCCCTTTTGTAGTATCTGGAACTGGACTTTTGGAGCGATTTCAGGGCTAAGGTGAAAAAGGAAATATCTTCCCATAAAAACTGGACAGAAGCATTCTCAGAAACTTGTTTATGCTGTATCTACTCAACTAACAAAGTTGAACCTTTCTTTTGATAGAGCAGTTTTGAAATGGTCTTTTTGTGGAATCTGCAAGTGGATATTTGGCTAGTTTTGAGGATTTCGTTGGAAGCGGGAATTCATACAAATTGCAGACTGCAGCGTTCTGAGAAACATCTTTGTGATGTTTGTATTCAGGACACAGAGTTGAACATTCCCTATCATAGAGCAGGTTGGAATCACTCCTTTTGTAGTATCTGGAAGTGGACATTTGGAGCGCTTTCAGGCCTATTTTGGAAAGGGAAATATCTTCCCGTAACAACTATGCAGAAGCATTCTCAGAAACTTGTTTGTGATGTTGTGCCCTCTACTGACAGAGTTGAACCTTTCTTTTCATAGAGCAGTTTTGAAACACACTTTTTGTAGAATCTGCAAGAGGATATTTGCATAGCTTTGAGGATTTCGTGGGAAACGGGATTGTCTTCAGGTAAAATCTAGACAGAAGCATTCTCAGAAACTTCTTTGGGATGTTTGCATTCAAGTCACAGAGTAGAACATTCCCTTTGGTAGAGCAGGTTTGAAACACTCTTTTTGTAGTATCTGGAAGTGGACATTTGGAGCGCTTTCAGGCCCATGTTGGAAAGGGAAATATCTTCCCGTAACAACTAGGCAGAAGCATTCTCAGAAACTTATTTGAGATGTGTGTACTCAACTAAGAGAATTGAACCACCGTTTTGAAGGAGCAGTTTTGAAACACTCTTTTTCTGGAATCTGCAAGAGTATATTTGCCTAGCCTTGAGGATTTCGTTGGAAACGGGATTGTCTTCAGATAAAATCTAGACAGAAGCATTCTCAGAAACTTCTTTGGGATGTTTGCATTCAAGTCACAGAGTAGAACATTCCCTTTGGTAGAGCAGGTTTGAAACACTCTTTTTTTAGTATATGGAAGTGGACATTTGGAGCGCTTTCAGGCCTACGTGGGAAAAGGAAATATCTTCCCATAACAACTAGACAGAAGCATTCTCAGAAACTAGTTTCTGATGTGTGTCCTCAACTAACACAGTTGTACATTTCTTTAGACAGAACAGTTTTGAAACACTCTTTTTGTGGAATCTGCAAGTGGATATTGGGGTAGATTTGAGGATTTCGTTGGAAACGGGATTACATATAAAAAGCAGTCAGCAGCATTCTCAGAAAGTTCTTTGTGATGATTGCATTCAAGTCACAGAATTGAACATTCCCTTTCACAGAGCAGGTTTGAAACACTCTTTTTGTAGTGTGTGTAAGTGGACATTTGGAGCACTTTCCGGCCTAAGGTGAAAAAGGAAATATCTTCCCATAAAAACTAGACAGAAGCACTCTCAGAAACTTACTCGTGATGTGTGTCCTCAACTAAAGGAGTAGAACCTTTCTTTTCATAGAGAAGTTTTGAAACGCTCTTTTTGTGGAATCTGCAAGTGGATATTTGGCTAGTTTGGAGGATTTCGTTGGAAGCGGGAATTCATACAAATTGCAGACTGCAGCGTTCTGAGAAACATCTTTGTGATGTTTGTATTCAGGACACAGAGTTGAACATTCCCTATCATAGAGCAGGTTTGAATCACTCCTTTTGTAGTATCTGGAAGTGGACATTTGGAGCGCTTTCAGGCCTATGTTGGAAAAGGAAATACCTTCCCATAACAACTAGACAGAAGCATTCTCAGAAACTTATTTGAGATGTGTGTACTCAACTAAGAGAATTGAACCACCGTTTTGAAGGAGCAGTTTTGAAACACTCTTTTTCTGGAATCTGCAAGTGGATATTTGGCTAGCTTTGGGGATTTCGCTGGAAGCGGGAATACATATAAAAAGCACACAGCAGCGTTCTGAGAAACTGCTTTCTGATGTTTGCATTCAAGTCAAAAGTTGAACACTCCCTTTCATAGTGCAGTCTGAAACACTCCTTTTGCAGTATCTGGAACTGGACTTTTGGAGCGCTTTCAGGGCTAAGGTGAAAAAGGAAATATCTTCCCATAAAAACTGGACAGAAGCATTCTCAGAAACTTGTTTATGCTGTATCTACTCAACTAACAAAGTTGAACCTTTCTTTTGATAGAGCAGTTTTGAAATGCTCTTTTTGTGGAATCTGCAAGTGGATATTTGGCTAGTTTTGAGGATTTCGTTGGAAGCGGGAATTCATACAAATTGCAGACTGCAGCGTTCTGAGAAACATCTTTGTGATGTTTGTATTCAGGACACAGAGTTGAACATTCCCTATCATAGAGCAGGTTGGAATCACTCCTTTTGTAGTATCTGGAAGTGGACATTTGGAGCGCTTTCAGGCCTATTTTGGAAAGGGAAATATCTTCCCGTAACAACTATGCAGAAGCATTCTCAGAAACTTGTTTGTGATGTGTGCCCTCTACTGACAGAGTTGAACCTTTCTTTTCTTAGAGCAGTTTTGAAACACTCTTTTTGTAGAATCTGCAAGAGGATATTTGCATAGCTTTGAGGATTTCGTGGGAAACGGGATTGTCCTTCAGGTAAAATCTAGACAGAAGCATTCTCAGAAACTTCTTTGGGATGTTTGCATTCAAGTCACAGAGTAGAACATTCCCTTTGGTAGAGCAGGTTTGAAACACTCTTTTTATAGTATCTGGAAGTGGACATTTGGAGCGCTTTCAAGCCTATGTTGGAAAGGGAAATATCTTCCCGTAACAACTAGGCAGAAGCATTCTCAGAAACTTATTTGAGATGTGTGTACTCAACTAAGAGAATTGAACCACTGTTTTGAAGGAGCAGTTTTGAAACACTCTTTTTCTGGAATCTGCAAGAGGATATTTGCCTAGCCTTGAGGATTTCGTTGGAAACGGGATTGTCTTCAGATCAAATCTAGACTGAAGCATTCTCAGCAAACTTCTTTGAGATGTTTGCATTCAAGTCACAGAGTAGAACATTCCCTTTGGTAGAGCAGGTTTGAAACACTCTTTTTTTAGTATATGGAAGTGGACATTTGGAGCGCTTTCAGGCCTACGTTAGAAAAGGAAATATCTTCCCATAACAACTAGACAGAAGCATTCTCAGAAACTAGTTTCTGATGTGTGTCCTCAACTAACACAGTTGTACATTTCTTTAGACAGAACAGTTTTGAAACACTCTTTTTGTGGAATCTGCAAGTGGATATTGGGCTAGATTTGAGGATTTCGTTGGAAACGGGATTACATATAAAAAGCAGACAGCAGCATTCTCAGAAAGTTCTTTGTGATGATTGCATTCAAGTCACAGAATTGAACATTCCCTTTCACAGAGCAGGTTTGAAACACCCTTTTTGTAGTGTGTATAAGTGGACATTTGGAGCGCATTCCGGCCTAAGGTGAAAAAGGAAATATCTTCCCATAAAAACTAGACAGAAGCATTCTCAGAAACTTACTCGTGATGTGTGTCCTCAACTAAAGGAGTAGAACCTTTCTATTCATAGAGAAGTTTTGAAACGCTCTTTTTGTGGAATCTCCAAGTGGATATTTGGCTAGTTTTGAGGATTTCGTTGGAAGCGGGAATTCATACAAATTGCAGACTGCAGCGTTCTGAGAAACATCTTTGTGATGTTTGTATTCAGGACACAGAGATGAACATTCCCTATCATAGAGCAGGTTGGAATCACTCCTTTTGTAGTATCTGGAAGTGGACATTTGGAGCGCTTTCAGGCCTATGTTGAAAAAGGAAATATCTTCCCATAACAACTAGACACAAGCATTCCCAGAAACTTATTTGAGATGTGTGTACTCAACTAAGAGAATTGAACCACCGTTTTGAAGGAGCAGTTTGGAAACACTCTTTTTCTGGAATCTGCAAGTGGATATTTGGCTAGCTTTGGGGATTTCGCTGGAAGCGGGAATACATATAAAAAGCACACAGCAGCGTTCTGAGAAACTGCTTTCTGATGTTTGCATTCAAGTCAAAAGTTGAACACTCCCTTTCATAGAGCAGTCTTGAAACACCCCTTTTGTAGTATCTGGAACTGGAAATTTGGAGCGCTTTCAGGGCTAAGGTGAAAAAGGAAATATCTTCCCATAAAAACTGGACAGAAGCATTCTCAGAAACTTGTTTATGCTGTATCTACTCAACTAACAAAGTTGAACCTTTCTTTTGATAGAGCAGTTTTGAAATGCTCTTTTTGTGGAATCTGCAAGTGGATATTTGGCTAGTTTTGAGGATTTCGTTGGAAGCGGGAATTCATACAAATTGCAGACTGCAGCGTTCTGAGAAACATCTTTGTGATGTTTGTATTCAGGACACAGAGATGAACATTCCCTATCATAGAGCAGGTTGGAATCACTCCTTTTGTAGTATCTGGAAGTGGACATTTGGAGCGCTTTCAGGCCTATGTTGAAAAAGGAAATATCTTCCCATAACAACTAGACACAAGCATTCTCAGAAACTTGTTTGTGATGTGTGCCCTCTACTGACAGAGTTGAACCTTTCTTTTCATAGAGCAGTTTTGAAACACTCTTTTATAGAATCCGCAAGAGGATATTTGCATAGCTTTGAGGATTTCGTGGGAAACGGGATTGTCTTCAGGTAAAATCTAGACAGAAGCATTCTCAGAAACTTCTTTGGGATGTTTGCATTCAAGTCACAGAGTAGAACATTCCCTTTGGTAGAGCAGGTTTGAAACACTCTTTTTGTAGTATCTGGAAGTGGACATTTGGAGCGCTTTCAGGCCCATGTTGGAAAGGGAAATATCTTCCCGTAACAACTAGGCAGAAGCATTCTCAGAAACTTATTTGAGATGTGTGTACTCAACTAAGAGAATTGAACCACCGTTTTGAAGGAGCAGTTTTGAAACACTCTTTTTCTGGAATCTGCAAGAGTATATTTGCCTAGCCTTGAGGATTTCGTTGGAAACGGGATTGTCTTCAGATAAAATCTAGACAGAAGCATTCTCAGAAACTTCTTTGGGATGTTTGCATTCAAGTCACAGAGTAGAACATTCCCTTTGTTAGAGCAGGTTTGAAACACTCTTTTTTTAGTATATGGAAGTGGACATTTGGAGCGCTTTCAGGCCTACGTTGGAAAAGGAAATATCTTCCCATAACAACTAGACAGAAGCATTCTCAGAAACTAGTTTCTGATGTGTGTCCTCAACTAACACAGTTGAACATTTCTTTAGACAGAACAGTTTTGAAACACTCTTTTTGTGGAATCTGCAAGTGGATATTTGGCTAGATTTGAGGATTTCGTTGGAAACGGGATTACATATAAAAAGCAGACAGCAGCATTCTCAGAAACTTCTTTGTGATGATTGCATTCAAGTCACAGAATTGAACATTCCCTTTCACAGAGCAGGTTTGAAACACTCTTTTTGTAGTGTGTGTAAGTGGACATTTGGAGCACTTTCCGGCCTAAGGTGAACAAGGAAATATCTTCCCATAAAAACTAGACAGAAGCATTCTCAGAAACTTACTCGTGATGTGTGTCCTCAACTAAAGGAGTAGAACCTTTCTTTTCATAGAGAAGTTTTGAAACGCTCTTTTTGTGGAATCTGCAAGTGGATATTTGGCTAGTTTTGAGGATTTCGTTGGAAGCGGGAATTCATACAAATTGCAGACTGCAGCGTTCTGAGAAACATCTTTGTGATGTTTGTATTCAGGACACAGAGTTGAACATTCCCTATCATAGAGCAGGTTGGAATCACTCCTTTTGTAGTATCTGGAAGTGGACATTTGGAGCGCTTTCCGGCCTATGTTGGAAAAGGAAATATCTTCCCATAACAACTAGACAGAAGCATTCTCAGAAACTTATTTGAGATGTGTGTACTCAACTAAGAGAATTGAACCACCGTTTTGAAGGAGCAGTTTTGAAACACTCTTTTTCTGGAATCTGCAAGTGGATATTTGGCTAGCTTTGGGGATTTCGCTGGAAGCGGGAATACATATAAAAAGCACACAGCAGCGTTCTGAGAAACTGCTTTCTGATGTTTGCATTCAAGTCAAAAGTTGAACACTCCCTTTCATAGAGCAGTCCTGAAACACTCCTTTTGTAGTATCTGGAACTGGACTTTTGGAGCGCTTTCAGGGCTAAGGTGAAAAAGGAAATATCTTCCCATAAAAACTGGACAGAAGCATTCTCAGAAACTTGTTTATGCTGTATCTACTCAACTAACAAAGTTGAACCTTTCTTTTGATAGAGCAGTTTTGAAATGCTCTTTTTGTGGAATCTGCAAGTGGATATTTGGCTAGTTTTGAGGATTTCGTTGGAAGCGGGAATTCATACAAATTGCAGACTGCAGCGTTCTGAGAAACATCTTTGTGATGTTTGTATTCAGGACACAGAGTTGAACATTCCCTATCATAGAGCAGGTTTGAATCACTCCTTTTGTAGTATCTGGAAGTGGACATTTGGAGCGCTTTCAGGCCTATGTTGGAAAAGGAAATATCTTCCCATAACAACTAGACAGAAGCATTCTCAGAAACTTATTTGAGATGTGTGTACTCAACTAAGAGAATTGAACCACCGTTTTGAAGGAGCAGTTTTGAAACTCTCTTTTTCTGGAATCTGCAAGTGGATATTTGGCTAGCTTTGGGGATTTCGCTGGAAGCGGGAATACATATAAAAAGCACACAGCAGCGTTCTGAGAAACTGCTTTCTGATGTTTGCATTCAAGTCAAAAGTTGAACACTCCCTTTCATAGAGCAGTCCTGAAACACCCCTTTTGTAGTATCTGGAACTGGACTTTTGGAGCGATTTCAGGGCTAAGGTGAAAAAGGAAATATCTTCCCATAAAAACTGGACAGAAGCATTCTCAGAAACTTGTTTATGCTGTATCTACTCAACTAACAAAGTTGAACCTTTCTTTTGATAGAGCAATTTTGAAATGCTCTTTTTGTGGAATCTGCAAGTGGATATTTGGCTAGTTTTGAGGATTTCGTTGGAAGCGGGAATTCATACAAATTGCAGACTGCAGCGTTCTGAGAAACATCTTTGTGATGTTTGTATTCAGGACAGAGAGTTGAACATTCCCTATCATAGAGCAGGTTGGAATCACTCCTTTTGTAGTATCTGGAAGTGGACATTTGGAGCGCTTTCAGGCCTATGTTGAAAAAGGAAATATCTTCCCATAACAACTAGACACAAGCATTCTCAGAAACTTGTTTGTGATGTGTGCCCTCTACTGACAGAGTTGAACCTTTCTTTTCATAGAGCAGTTTTGAAACACTCTTTTTGTAGAATCTGCAAGAGGATATTTGCATAGCTTTGAGGATTTCGTGGGAAACGGGACTGTCTTCAGGTAAAATCTAGACAGAAGCATTCTCAGAAACTTCTTTGGGATGTTTGCATTCAAGTCACAGAGTAGAACATTCCCTTTGGTAGAGCAGGTTTGAAACACTCTTTTTGTAGTATCTGGAAGTGGACATTTGGAGCGCTTTCAGGCCTATGTTGGAAAGGGAAATATCTTCCCGTAACAACTAGGCAGAAGCATTCTCAGAAACTTATTTGAGATGTGTGTCCTCAACTAAGAGAATTGAACCACCGTTTTGAAGGAGCAGTTTTGAAACACTCTTTTTCTGGAATCTGCAAGAGGATATTTGCCTAGCCTTGAGGATTTCGTTGGAAACGGGATTGTCTTCAGATCAAATCTAGACAGAAGCATTCTCAGAAACTTCTTTGGGATGTTTGCATTCAAGTCACAGAGTAGAACATTCCCTTTGGTAGAGCAGGTTTGAAACACTCTTTTTTTAGTATATGGAAGTGGACATTTGGAGCGCTTTCAGGCCTACGTTGGAAAAGGAAATATCTTCCCATAACAACTAGACAGAAGCATTCTCAGAAACTAGTTTCTGATGTGTGTCCTCAACTAACACAGTTGAACATTTCTTTAGACAGAACAGTTTTGAAACACTCTTTTTGTGGAATCTGCAAGTGGCTATTTGGCTAGATTTGAGGATTTCGTTGGAAACGGGATTACATATAAAAAGCAGTCAGCAGCATTCTCAGAAAGTTCTTTGTGATGATTGCATTCAAGTCACAGAATTGAACATTCCCTTTCACAAAGCAGGTTTGAAACACTCTTTTTGTAGTGTGTGTAAGTGGACATTTGGAACCCTTACCGGCCTAAGGTGAAAAAGGAAATATCTTCCCATAAAAACTAGACAGAAGCATTCTCAGAAACTTACTCGTGATGTGTGTCCTCAACTAAAGAAGTAGAACCTTTCTTTTCATAGATAAGTTTTGAAACGCTCTTTTTGTGGAATCTGCAAGTGGATATTTGGCTAGTTTGGAGGATTTCGTTGGAAGCGGGAATTCATACAAATTGCAGACTGCAGCGTTCTGAGAAACATCTTTGTGATGTTTGTATTCAGGACACAGAGTTGAACATTCCCTATCATAGAGCAGGTTGGAATCACTCCTTTTGTAGTATCTGGAAGTGGACATTTGGAGCGCTTTCAGGCCTATGTTGGAAAAGGAAATATCTTCCCATAACAACTAGACAGAAGCATTCTCAGAAACTTATTTGAGATGTGTGTACTCAACTAAGAGAATTGAACCACCGTTTTGAAGGAGCAGTTTTGAAACTCTCTTTTTCTGGAATCTGCAAGTGGATATTTGGCTAGCTTTGGGGATTTCGCTGGAAGCGGGAATACATATAAAAAGCACACAGCAGCGTTCTGAGAAACTGCTTTCTGATGTTTGCATTCAAGTCAAAAGTTGAACACTCCCTTTCATAGAGCAGTCTTGAAACACCCCTTTTGTAGTATCTGGAACTGGACTTTTGGAGCGATTTCAGGGCTAAGGTGAAAAAGGAAATATCTTCCCATAAAAACTGGACAGAAGCATTCTCAGAAACTTGTTTATGCTGTATCTACTCAACTAACAAAGTTGAACCTTTCTTTTGATAGAGCAGTTTTGAAATGGTCTTTTTGTGGAATCTGCAAGTGGATATTTGGCTAGTTTTTAGGATTTCGTTGGAAGCGGGAATTCATACAAATTGCAGACTGCAGCGTTCTGAGAAACATCTTTGTGATGTTTGTATTCAGGACAGAGAGTTGAACATTCCCTATCATAGAGCAGGTTGGAATCACTCCTTTTGTAGTATCTGGAAGTGGACATTTGGAGCGCTTTCAGGCCTATGTTGAAAAAGGAAATATCTTCCCATAACAACTAGACACAAACATTCTCAGAAACTTGTTTGTGATGTGTGCCCTCTACTGACAGAGTTGAACCTTTCTTTTCATAGAGCAGTTTTGAAACACTCTTTTTGTAGAATCTGCAAGAGGATATTTGCATAGCTTTGAGGATTTCGTGGGAAACGGGATTGTCTTCAGGTAAAATCTAGACAGAAGCATTCTCAGAAACTTCTTTGGGATGTTTGCATTCAAGTCACAGAGTAGAACATTCCCTTTGGTAGAGCAGGTTTGAAACCCTCTTTTTGTAGTATCTGGAAGTGGACATTCGGAGCGCTATCAGGCCCATGTTGGAAAGGGAAATATCTTCCCGTAACAACTAGGCAGAAGCATTCTCAGAAACTTATTTGAGATGTGTGTACTCAACTAAGAGAATTGAACCACCGTTTTGAAGGAGCAGTTTTGAAACACTCTTTTTCTGGAATCTGCAAGAGTATATTTGCCTAGCCTTGAGGATTTCGTTGGAAACGGGATTGTCTTCAGATAAAATCTAGACAGAAGCATTCTCAGAAACTTCTTTGGGATGTTTGCATTCAAGTCACAGAGTAGAACATTCTCTTTGGTAGAGCAGGTTTGAAACACTCTTTTTTTAGTATATGGAAGTGGACATTTGGAGCGCTTTCAGGCCTACGTTGGAAAAGGAAATATCTTCCCATAACAACTAGACAGAAGCATTCTCAGAAACTAGTTTCTGATGTGTGTCCTCAACTAACACAGTTGAACATTTCTTTAGACAGAACAGTTTTGAAACACTCTTTTTGTGGAATCTGCAAGTGGCTATTTGGCTAGATTTGAGGATTTCGTTGGAAACGGGATTACATATAAAAAGCAGTCAGCGGCATTCTCAGAAAGTTCTTTGTGATGATTGCATTCAAGTCACAGAATTGAACATTCCCTTTCACAGAGCAGGTTTGAAACACTCTTTTTGTAGTGTGTGTAAGTGGACATTTGGAGCACTTACCGGCCTAAGGTGAAAAAGGAAATATCTTCCCATAAAAACTAGACAGAAGCATTCTCAGAAACTTACTCGTGATGTGTGTCCTCAACTAAAGGAGTAGAACCTTTCTTTTCATAGAGAAGTTTTGAAACGCTCTTTTTGTGGAATCTGCAAGTGGATATTTGGCTAGTTTTGAGGATTTCGTTGGAAGCGGGAATTCATACAAATTGCAGACTGCAGCGTTCTGAGAAACATCTTTGTGATGTTTGTATTCAGGACACAGAGTTGAACATTCCCTATCATAGAGCAGGTTGGAATCACTCCTTTTGTAGTATCTGGAAGTGGACATTTGGAGCGCTTTCAGGCCTATTTTGGAAAGGGAAATATCTTCCCGTAACAACTATGCAGAAGCATTCTCAGAAACTTATTTGAGATGTGTGTACTCAACTAAGAGAATTGAACCACCGTTTTGAAGGAGCAGTTTTGAAACACTCTTTTTCTGGAATCTGCAAGTGGATATTTGGCTAGCTTTGGGGATTTCGCTGGAAGCGGGAATACATATAAAAAGCACACAGCAGCGTTCTGAGAAACTGCTTTCTGATGTTTGCATTCAAGTCAAAAGTTGAACACTCCCATTCATAGAGCAGTCTTGAAACACCCCTTTTGTAGTATCGGGAACTGGACATTTGGAGCGCTTTCAGGGCTAAGGTGAAAAAGGAAATATCTTCCCATAAAAACTGGACAGAAGCATTCTCAGAAACTTGTTTATGCTATATCTACTCAACTAACAAAGTTGAACCTTTCTTTTGATAGAGCAGTTTGAAATGCTCTTTTTGTGGAATCTGCAAGTGGATATTTGGCTAGGTTTGAGGATTTCGTTGGAAGCGGGAATTCATACAAATTGCAGACTGCAGCGTTCTGAGAAACGTCTTTGTGATGTTTGTATTCAGGACACAGAGTTGAACATTCCCTATCATCGAGCAGGTTGGAATCACTCCTTTTGTAGTATCTGGAAGTGGACATTTGGAGCGCTTTCAGGCCTATGTTGAAAAAGGAAATATCTTCCCATAACAACTAGACAGAAGCATTCTCAGAAACTTATTTGAGATGTGTGTACTCAACTAAGAGAATTGAACCACCGTTTTGAAGGAGCAGTTTTGAAACACTCTTTTTCTGGAATCTGCAAGTGGATATTTGGCTAGCTTTGGGGATTTCGCTGGAAGCGGGAATACATATAAAAAGCACACAGCAGAGTTCTGAGAAACATCTTTGTGATGTTTGTATTCAGGACACAGAGATGAACATTCCCTATCATAGAGCAGGTTGGAATCACTCCTTTTGTAGTATCAGGAAGTGGACATTTGGAGCGCTTTCAGGCCTATGTTGAAAAAGGAAATATCTTCCCATAACAACTAGACACAAGCATTCTCAGAAACTTGTTTGTGATGTGTGCCCTCTACTGACAGAGTTGAACCTTTCTTTTCATAGAGCAGTTTTGAAACACTCTTTTTGTAGAATCTGCAAGAGGATATTTGCATAGCTTTGAGGATTTCGTGGGAAACGGGATTGTCTTCAGGTAAAATCTAGACAGAAGCATTCTCAGAAACTTCTTTGGGATGTTTGCATTCAAGTCACAGAGTAGAACATTCCCTTTGGTAGAGCAGGTTTGAAACACTCTTTTTGTAGTATCTGGAAGTGGACATTTGGAGCGCTTTCAGGCCCATGTTGGAAAGGGAAATATCTTCCCGTAACAACTAGGCAGAAGCATTCTCAGAAACTTATTTGAGATGTGTGTACTCAACTAAGAGAATTGAACCACCGTTTTGAAGGAGCAGTTTTGAAACACTCTTTTTCTGGAATCTGCAAGAGTATATTTGCCTAGCCTTGAGGATTTCGTTGGAAACGGGATTGTCTTCAGAGAAAATCTAGACAGAAGCATTCTCAGAAACTTCTTTGGGATGTTTGCATTCAAGTCACAGAGTAGAACATTCCCTTTGGTAGAGCAGGTTTGAAACACTCTTTTTTTAGTATATGGAAGTGGACATTTGGATCGCTTTCAGGCCTACGTTGGAAAAGGAAATATCTTCCCATAACAACTAGACAGAAGCATTCTCAGAAACTAGTTTCTGATGTGTGTCCTCAACTAACACAGTTGAACATTTCTTTAGACAGAACAGTTTTGAAACACTCTTTTTGTGGAATCTGCAAGTGGCTATTTGGCTAGATTTGAGGATTTCGTTGGAAACGGGATTACATATAAAAAGCAGTCAGCAGCATTCTCAGAAAGTTCTTTGTGATGATTGCATTCAAGTCACAGAATTGAACATTCCCTTTCACAGAGCAGGTTTGAAAGACTCTTTTTGTAGTGTGTGTAAGTGGACATTTGGAGCACTTACCGGCCTAAGGTGAAAAAGGAAATATCTTCCCATAAAAACTAGACAGAAGCATTCTCAGAAACTTACTCGTGATGTGTGTCCTCAACTAAAGGAGTAGAACCTTTCTTTTCATAGAGAAGTTTTGAAACGCTCTTTTTGTGGAATCTGCAAGTGGATATTTGGCTAGTTTTGAGGATTTCGTTGGAAGCGGGAATTCATACAAATTGCAGACTGCAGCGTTCTGAGAAACATCTTTGTGATGTTTGTATTCAGGACACAGAGTTGAACATTCCCTATCATAGAGCAGGTTTGAATCACTCCTTTTGTAGTATCTGGAAGTGGACATTTGGAGCGCTTTCAGGCCTATGTTGGAAAAGGAAATATCTTCCCATAACAACTAGACAGAAGCATTCTCAGAAACTTATTTGAGATGTGTGTACTCAACTAAGAGAATTGAACCACCGTTTTGAAGGAGCAGTTTTGAAACTCTCTTTTTCTGGAATCTGCAAGTGGATATTTGGCTAGCTTTGGGGATTTCGCTGGAAGCGGGAATACATATAAAAAGCACACAGCAGCGTTCTGAGAAACTGCTTTCTGATGTTTGCATTCAAGTCAAAAGTTGAACACTCCCTTTCATAGAGCAGTCTTGAAACACCCGTTTTGTAGTATCTGGAACTGGACTTTTGGAGCGATTTCAGGGCTAAGGTGAAAAAGGAAATATCTTCCCATAAAAACTGGACAGAAGCATTCTCAGAAACTTGTTTATGCTGTATCTACTCAACTAACAAAGTTGAACCTTTCTTTTGATAGAGCAGTTTTGAAATGGTCTTTTTGTGGAATCTGCAAGTGGATATTTGGCTAGTTTTGAGGATTTCGTTGGAAGCGGGAATTCATACAAATTGCAGACTGCAGCGTGTTCTGAGAAACATCTTTGTGATGTTTGTATTCAGGACACAGAGTTGAACATTCCCTATCATAGAGCAGGTTGGAATCACTCCTTTTGTAGTATCTGGAAGTGGACATTTGGAGCGCTTTCAGGCCTATTTTGGAAAGGGAAATATCTTCCCGTAACAACTATGCAGAAGCATTCTCAGAAACTTGTTTGTGATGTGTGCCCTCTACTGACAGAGTTGAACCTTTCTTTTCATAGAGCAGTTTTGAAACACTCTTTTTGTAGAATCTGCAAGAGGATATTTGCATAGCTTTGAGGATTTCGTGGGAAACGGGATTGTCTTCAGGTAAAATCTAGACAGAAGCATTCTCAGAAACTTCTTTGGGATGTTTGCATTCAAGTCACAGAGTAGAACATTCCCTTTGGTAGAGCAGGTTTGAAACACTCTTTTTGTAGTATCTGGAAGTGGACATTTGGAGCGCTTTCAGGCCCATGTTGGAAAGGGAAATATCTTCCCGTAACAACTAGGCAGAAGCATTCTCAGAAACTTATTTGAGATGTGTGTACTCAACTAAGAGAATTGAACCACCGTTTTGAAGGAGCAGTTTTGAAACACTCTTTTTCTGGAATCTGCAAGAGTATATTTGCCTAGCCTTGAGGATTTCGTTGGAAACGGGATTGTCTTCAGAGAAAATCTAGACAGAAGCATTCTCAGAAACTTCTTTGGGATGTTTGCATTCAAGTCACAGAGTAGAACATTCCCTTTGGTAGAGCAGGTTTGAAACACTCTTTTTTTAGTATATGGAAGTGGACATTTTGATCGCTTTCAGGCCTACGTTGGAAAAGGAAATATCTTCCCATAACAACTAGACAGAAGCATTCTCAGAAACTAGTTTCTGATGTGTGTCCTCAACTAACACAGTTGAACATTTCTTTAGACAGAACAGTTTTGAAACACTCTTTTTGTGGAATCTGCAAGTGGCTATTTGGCTAGATTTGAGGATTTCGTTGGAAACGGGATTACATATAAAAAGCAGTCAGCAGCATTCTCAGAAAGTTCTTTGTGATGATTGCATTCAAGTCACAGAATTGAACATTCCCTTTCACAGAGCAGGTTTGAAACACTCTTTTTGTAGTGTGTGTAAGTGGACATTTGGAGCGCTTTCCGGCCTAAGGTGAAAAAGGACATATCTTCCCATAAAAACTAGACAGAAGCATTCTCAGAAACTTACTCGTGATGTGTGTCCTCAACTAAAGGAGTAGAACCTTTCTTTCATAGAGAAGTTTTGAAACGCTCTTTTTGTGGAATCTGCAAGTGGATATTTGGCTAGTTTGGAGGATTTCGTTGGAAGCGGGAATTCATACAAATTGCAGACTGCAGCGTTCTGAGAAACATCTTTGTGATGTTTGTATTCAGGACACAGAGTTGAACATTCCCTATCATAGAGCAGGTTGGAATCACTCCTTTTGTAGTATCTGGAAGTGGACATTTGGAGCGCTTTCAGGCCTACGTTGGAAAAGGAAATATCTTCCCATAACAACTAGACAGAAGCATTCTCAGAAACTAGTTTCTGATGTGTGTCCTCAACTAACACAGTTGAACATTTCTTTAGACAGAACAGTTTTGAAACTCTCTTTTTGTGGAATCTGCAAGTGGCTATTTGGCTAGATTTGAGGATTTCGTTGGAAACGGGATTACATATAAAAAGCAGACAGCAGCATTCTCAGAAAGTTCTTTGTGATGATTGCATTCAAGTCACAGAATTGAACATTCCCATTCACAGAGCAGGTTTGAAACACTCTTTTTATAGTGTGTGTAAGTGGACATTTGGAGCACTTTCCGGCCTAAGGTGAAAAAGGAAATATCTTCCCATAAAAACTAGACAGAAGCATTCTCAGAAACTTACTCGTGATGTGTGTCCTCAACTAAAGGAGTAGAACCTTTCTTTTCATAGAGAAGTTTTGAAACGCTCTTTTTGTGGAATCTGCAAGTGGATATTTGGCTAGTTTGGAGGATTTCGTTGGAAGCGGGAATTCATACAAATTGCAGACTGCAGCTTTCTGAGAAACATCTTTGTGATGTTTGTATTCAGGACACAGAGTTGAACATTCCCTATCATAGAGCAGGTTTGAATCACTCCTTTTGTAGTATCTGGAAGTGGACATTTGGAGCGCTTTCAAGCCTATGTTGGAAAAGGAAATATCTTCCCATAACAACTAGACAGAAGCATTCTCAGAAACTTATTTGAGATGTGTGTACTCAACTAAGAGAATTGAACCACCGTTTTGAAGGAGCAGTTTTGAAACACTCTTTTTCTGGAATCTGCAAGTGGATATTTGGCTAGCTTTGGGGATTTCGCTGGAAGCGGGAATACATATAAAAAGCACACAGCAGCGTTCTGAGAAACTGCTTTCTGATGTTTGCATTCAAGTCAAAAGTTGAACACTCCCTTTCATAGTGCAGTCCTGAAACACTCCTTTTGTAGTATCTGGAACTGGACTTTTGGAGCGCTTTCAGGGCTAAGGTGAAAAAGGAAATATCTTCCCATAAAAACTGGACAGAAGCATTCTCAGAAACTTGTTTATGCTGTATCTACTCAACTAACAAAGTTGAACCTTTCTTTTGATAGAGCAGTTTTGAAATGCTCTTTTTGTGGAATCTGCAAGTGGATATTTGGCTAGTTTTGAGGATTTCGTTGGAAGCGGGAATTCATACAAATTGCAGACTGCAGCGTTCTGAGAAACATCTTTGTGATGTTTGTATTCAGGACACAGAGATGAACATTCCCTATCATAGAGCAGGTTGGAATCACTCCTTTTGTAGTATCTGGAAGTGGACATTTGGAGCGCTTTCAGGCCTATGTTGAAAAAGGAAATATTTTCCCATAACAACTAGACACAAGCATTCTCAGAAACTTGTTTGTGATGTGTGCCCTCTACTGACAGAGTTGAACCTTTCTTTTCATAGAGCAGTTTTGAAACACTCTTTTTGTAGAATCCGCAAGAGGATATTTGCATCGCTTTGAGGATTTCGTGGGAAACGGGATTGTCTTCAGGTAAAATCTAGACAGAAGCATTCTCAGAAACTTCTTTGGGATGTTTGCATTCAAGTCACAGAGTAGAACATTCCCTTTGGTAGAGCAGGTTTGAAACACTCTTTTTGTAGTATCTGGAAGTGGACATTTGGAGCGCTTTCAGGCCCATGTTGGAAAGGGAAATATCTTCCCGTAACAACTAGGCAGAAGCATTCTCAGAAACTTATTTGAGATGTGTGTACTCAACTAAGAGAATTGAACCACCGTTTTGAAGGAGCAGTTTTGAAACACTCTTTTTCTGGAATCTGCAAGAGGATATTTGCCTAGCCTTGAGGATTTCGTTGGAAACGGGATTGTCTTCAGAGAAAATCTAGACAGAAGCATTCTCAGAAACTTCTTTGGGATGTTTGCATTCAAGTCACAGAGTAGAACATTCCCTTTGGTAGAGCAGGTTTGAAACACTCTTTTCGTAGTATCTGGAAGTGGACATTTGGAGCGCTTTCAGGCCTACGTTGGAAAAGGAAATATCTTCCCATAACAACTAGACAGAAGCATTCTCAGAAACTAGTTTCTGATGTGTGTCCTCAACTAACACAGTTGAACATTTCTTTAGACAGAACAGTTTTGAAACACTCTTTTTGTGGAATCTGCAAGTGGCTATTTGGCTAGATTTGAGGATTTCGTTGGAAACGGGATTACATATAAAAAGCAGTCAGCGGCATTCTCAGAAAGTTCTTTGTGATGATTGCATTCAAGTCACAGAATTGAACATTCCCTTTCACAGAGCAGGTTTGAAACACTCTTTTTGTAGTGTGTGTAAGTGGACATTTGGAGCACTTACCGGCCTAAGGTGAAAAAGGAAATATCTTCCCATAAAAACTAGACAGAAGCATTCTCAGAAACTTACTCGTGATGTGTGTCCTCAACTAAAGGAGTAGAACCTTTCTTTTCATAGAGAAGTTTTGAAACGCTCTTTTTGTGGAATCTGCAAGTGGATATTTGGCTAGTTTTGAGGATTTCGTTGGAAGCGGGAATTCATACAAATTGCAGACTGCAGCGTTCTGAGAAACATCTTTGTGATGTTTGTATTCAGGACACAGAGTTGAACATTCCCTATCATAGAGCAGGTTTGAATCACTCCTTTTGTAGTATCTGGAAGTGGACATTTGGAGCGCTTTCAGGCCTATGTTGGAAAAGGAAATATCTTCCCATAACAACTAGACAGAAGCATTCTCAGAAACTTATTTGAGATGTGTGTACTCAACTAAGAGAATTGAACCACCGTTTTGAAGGAGCAGTTTTGAAACACTCTTTTTCTGGAATCTGCAAGTGGATATTTGGCTAGCTTTGGGGATTTCGCTGTAAGCGGGAATACATATAAAAAGCACACAGCAGCGTTCTGAGAAACTGCTTTCTGATGTTTGCATTCAAGTCAAAAGTTGAACACTCCCTTTCATAGAGCAGTCCTGAAACACTCCTTTTGTAGTATCTGGAACTGGACTTTTGGAGCGCTTTCAGGGCTAAGGTGAAAAAGGAAATATCTTCCCATAAAAACTGGACAGAAGCATTCTCAGAAACTTGTTTATGCTGTATCTACTCTACTAAAAAAGTTGAACCTTTCTTTTGATAGAGCAGTTTTGAAATGCTCTTTTTGTGGAATCTGCAATTGGATATTTGGCTAGATTTGAGGATTTCGTTGGAAGCTGGAATACATACAAATTGCAGACTGCAGCGTTCTGAGAAACATCTTTGTGATGTTTGTATTCAGGACACAGAGTTGAACATTCCCTATCGTAGAGCAGGTTGGAATCACTCCTTTTGTAGTATCTGGAAGTGGACATTTGGAGCGCTTTCAGGCCTATGTTGAAAAAGAAATATCTTCCCAAAACAACTAGACAGAAGCATTCTCAGAAACTTGTTTGTGATGTGTGCCCTCTACTGACAGAGTTGAACCTTTCTTTTCATAGAGCAGTTTTGAAACACTCTTTTTGTAGAATCCGCAAGAGGATATTTGCATAGCTTTGAGGATTTCGTGGGAAACGGGATTGTCTTCAGGTAAAATCTAGACAGAAGCATTCTCAGAAACTTCTTTGGGATGTTTGCATTCAAGTCACAGAGTAGAACATTCCCTTTGGTAGAGCAGGTTTGAAACACTCTTTTTGTAGTATCTGGAAGTGGACATTTGGAGCGCTTTCAGGCCTATGTTGGAAAGGGAAATATCTTCCCGTAACAACTAGGCAGAAGCATTCTCAGAAACTTATTTGAGATGTGTGTCCTCAACTAAGAGAATTGAACCACCGTTTTGAAGGAGCAGTTTTGAAACACTCTTTTTCTGGAATCTGCAAGAGGATATTTGCCTAGCTTTGAGGATTTCGTTGGAAACGGGATTGTCTTCAGATCAAATCTAGACAGAAGCATTCTCAGAAACTTCTTTGGGATGTTTGCATTCAAGTCACAGAGTAGAACATTCCCTTTGGTAGAGCAGGTTTGAAACACTCTTTTTTTAGTATATGGAAGTGGACATTTGGAGCGCTTTCAGGCCTACGTTGGAAAAGGAAATATCTTCCCATAACAACTAGACAGAAGCATTCTCAGAAACTAGTTTCTGATGTGTGTCCTCAACTAACACAGTTGAACATTTCTTTAGACAGAACAGTTTTGAAACTCTCTTTTTGTGGAATCTGCAAGTGGATATTTGGCTAGATTTGAGGATTTCGTTGGAAACGGGATTACATATAAAAAGCAGACAGCAGCATTCTCAGAAAGTTCTTTGTGATGATTGCATTCAAGTCACAGAATTGAACATTCCCTTTCACAGAGCAGGTTTGAAACACTCTTTTTGTAGTGTGTGTAAGTGGACATTTGGAGCACTTTCCGGCCTAAGGTGAAAAAGGAAATATCTTCCCATAAAAACTAGACAGAAGCATTCTCAGAAACTTACTCGTGATGTGTGTCCTCAACTAAAGGAGTAGAACCTTTCTTTTCATAGAGAAGTTTTGAAACGCTCTTTTTGTGGAATCTGCAAGTGGATATTTGGCTAGTTTTGAGGATTTCGTTGGAAGCGGGAATTCATACAAATTGCAGACTGCAGCGTTCTGAGAAACATCTTTGTGATGTTTGTATTCAGGACACAGAGTTGAACATTCCCTATCATAGAGCAGGTTGGAATCACTCCTTTTGTAGTATCTGGAAGTGGACATTTGGAGCGCTTTCAGGCCCTATGTTGGAAAAGGAAATATCTTCCCATAACAACTAGACAGAAGCATTCTCAGAAACTTATTTCAGATGTGTGTACTCAACTAAGAGAATTGAACCACCGTTTTGAAGGAGCAGTTTTGAAACACTCTTTTTGTGGAATCTGCAAGTGGCTATTTGGCTAGATTTGAGGATTTCGTTGGAAACGGGATTGTCTTCAGATAAAATCTAGACGGAAGCATTCTCAGAAACTTCTTTGGGATGTTTGCATTCAAGTCACAGAGTAGAACATTCCCTTTGGTAGAGCAGGTTTGAAACACTCTTTTTGTAGTATCTGGAAGTGGACATTTGGAGCGCTTTCAGGCCCATGTTGGAAAAGGAAATATCTTCCCGTAGCAACTAGGCAGAAGCATTCTCTGAAACTTTTTTGAGATGTGTGTACTCAACTAAGAGAATTGAACCACCGTTTTGAAGGAGCAGTTTTGAAACACTCTTTTTCTGGAATCTGCTAGAGGATATTTGCCTAGCTTTGAGGATTTCGTTGGAAACCGGATTGTCTTCAGATAAAATCTAGACAGAAGCATTCTCAGAAACTTCTTTGGGATGTTTGCATTCAAGTCACAGAGTAGAACATTCCCTTTGGTAGAGCAGGTTTGAAACACTCTTTTTTTAGTATATGGAAGTGGACATTTGGAGCGCTTTCAGGCCTACGTTGGAAAAGGAAATATCTTCCCATAACAACTAGACAGAAGCATTCTCAGAAACTAGTTTCTGATGTGTGTCCTCAACTAACACAGTTGTACATTTCTTTATACAGAACAGTTTTGAAACACTCTTTTTGTGGAATCTGCAAGTGGATATTGGGCTAGATTTGAGGATTTCGTTGGAAAAAGGATTACATATAAAAAGCAGACAGCAGCATTCTCAGAAAGTTCTTTGTGATGATTGCATTCAAGTCACAGAATTGAACATTCCCTTTCACAGAGCAGGTTTGAAACACTCTTTTTGTAGTGTGTGTAAGTGGACATTTGGAGCGCTTTCCGGCCTAAGGTGAAAAAGGAAATATCTTCCCATAAAAACTAGACAGAAGAATTCTCAGAATCTTACTCGTGATGTGTGTCCTCAACTAAAGGAGTAGAACCTTTCTATTCATAGAGAAGTTTTCAAACGCTCTTTTTGTGGAATCTCCAAGTGGATATTTGGCTAGTTTTGAGGATTTCGTTGGAAGCGGGAATTCATACAAATTGCAGACTGCAGCGTTATGAGAAACATCTTTGTGATGTTTGTATTCAGGACACAGAGATGAACATTCCCTATCATAGAGCAGGTTGGAATCACTCCTTTTGTAGTATCTGGAAGTGGACATTTGGAGCGCTTTCAGGCCTATGTTGAAAAAGGAAATATCTTCCCATAACAACTAGACACAAGCATTCTCAGAAACTTGTTTGTGATGTGTGCCCTCTACTGACAGAGTTGAACCTTTCTTTTCATAGAGCAGTTTTGAAACACTCTTTTTGTAGAATCTGCAACAGGATATTTGCATAGCTTTGAGGATTTCGTGGGAAACGGGATTGTCTTCAGGTAAAATCTAGACAGAAGCATTCTCAGAAACTCCTTTGGGATGTTTGCATTCAAGTCACAGAGTAGAACATTCCCTTTGGTAGAGCAGGTTTGAAACCCTCCTTTTGTAGTATCTGGAAGTGGACATTTGGAGCGCTTTCAGGCCCATGTTGGAAAGGGAAATATCTTCCCGTAACAACTAGGCAGAAACATTCTCAGAAACTTATTTGAGATGTGTGTACTCAACTAAGAGAATTGAACCACCGTTTTGAAGGAGCAGTTTTGAAACACTCTTTTTCTGGAATCTGCAAGAGTATATTTGCCTAGCCTTGAGGATTTCGTTGGAAACGGGATTGTCTTCAGATAAAATCTAGACAGAAGCATTCTCAGAAACTTCTTTGGGATGTTTGCATTCAAGTCACAGAGTAGAACATTCCCTTTGGTAGAGCAGGTTTGAAACACTCTTTTTTTAGTATATGGAAGTGGACATTTGGAGCGCTTTCAGGCCTACGTTGGAAAAGGAAATATCTTCCCATAACAACTAGACAGAAGCATTCTCAGAAACTAGTTTCTGATGTGTGTCCTCAACTAACACAGTTGTACATTTCTTTAGACAGAACAGTTTTGAAACACTCTTTTTGTGGAATCTGCAAGTGGATACTGGGCTAGATTTGAGGATTTCGTTGGAAACGGGATTACATATAAAAAGCAGACAGCAGCATTCTCAGAAAGTTCTTTGTGATGATTGCATTGAAGTCACAGAATTGAACATTCCCTTTCACAGAGCAGGTTTGAAACACTCTTTTTGTAGTGTGTGCAAGTGGACATTTGGAGCGCTTTCCGGCCTAAGGTGAAAAAGGACATATCTTCCCATAAAAACTAGACAGAAGCATTCTCAGAAACTTACTCGTGATGTGTGTCCTCAACTAAAGGAGTAGAACCTTTCTTTTCATAGAGAAGTTTTGAAACGCTCTTTTTGTGGAATCTGCAAGTGGATATTTGGCTAGTTTGGAGGATTTCGTTGGAAGCGGGAATTCATACAAGATGCAGACTGCAGCGTTCTGAGAAACATCTTTGTGATGTTTGTATTCAGGACACAGAGTTGAACATTCCCTATCATAGAGCAGGTTTGAATCACTCCTTTTGTAGTATCTGGAAGTGGACATTTGGAGCGCTTTCAGGCCTATGTTGGAAAAGGAAATATCTTCCCATAACAACTAGACAGAAGCATTCCCAGAAACTTATTTGAGATGTGTGTACTCAACTAAGAGAATTGAACCACCGTTTTGAAGGAGCAGTTTGGAAACACTCTTTTTCTGGAATCTGCAAGTGGATATTTGGCTAGCTTTGGGGATTTCGCTGGAAGCGGGAATACATATAAAAAGCACACAGCAGCGTTCTGAGAAACTGCTTTCTGATGTTTGCATTCAAGTCAAAAGTTGAACACTCCCTTTCATAGAGCAGTCTTGAAACACCCCTTTTGTAGTATCTGGAACTGGAAATTTGGAGCGCTTTCAGGGCTAAGGTGAAAAAGGAAATATCTTCCCATAAAAACTGGACAGAAGCATTCTCAGAAACTTGTTTATGCTGTATCTACTCAACTAACAAAGTTGAACCTTTCTTTTGATAGAGCAGTTTTGAAATGGTCTTTTTGTGGAATCTGCAAGTGGATATTTGGCTAGTTTTGAGGATTTCGTTGGAAGCGGGAATTCATACAAATTGCAGACTGCAGCGTTCTGAGAAACATCTTTGTGATGTTTGTATTCAGGACACAGAGTTGAACATTCCCTATCATAGAGCAGGTTGGGATCACTCCTTTTGTAGTATCTGGAAGTGGACATTTGGAGCGCTTTCAGGCCTATGTTGAAAAAGGAAAAATCTTCCCATAACAACTAGACAGAAGCATTCTCAGAAACTTGTTGGTGATGTGTTTCCTCTACTGACAGAGTTGAACCTTTCTTTTCATAGAGCAGTTTCGAAACACTCTTTTTGTAGAATCTGCAAGAGGATGTTTGCATGGCTCTGAGGATTTCGTGGGAAACGGGATTGTCTTCAGGTAAAATCTAGACAGAAGCATTCTCAGAAACTTCTTCGGGATGTTTGCATTCAAGTCACAGAGTAGAACATTCCCTTCGGTAGAGCAGGTTTGAAACACTCTTTTTGTAGTATCTGGAAGTGGACATTTGTTGCGCTTTCAGGCCTATGTTGGAAAGGGAAATATCTTCCCGTAACAACTAGGCAGAAGCATTCTCAGAAACTTATTTGAGATGTGTGTACTCAACTAAGAGAATTGAACCACCGTTTTGAAGGAGCAGTTTGGAAACACTCTTTTTCTGGAATCTGCAAGAGGATATTTGCCTAGCTTTGAGGATTTCGTTGGAAAAGGGATTGTCTTCAGATCAAATCTAGACAGAAGCATTCTCAGAAACTTCTTTGGGATGTTTGCATTCAAGTCACAGAGTAGAACATTCCTTTGGTAGAGCAGGTTTGAAACACTCTTTTTTTAGTATATGGAAGTGGACATTTGGAGCGCTTTCAGGCCTACGTTGGAAAAGGAAATATCTTCCCATAACAACTAGACAGAAGCATTCTCAGAAACTAGTTTCTGATGTGTGTCCTCAACTAACACAGTTGAACATTTCTTTAGACAGAACAGTTTTGAAACACTCTTTTTGTGGAATCTGCAAGTGGATATTTGGCTAGATTTGAGGATTTCGTTGGAAACGGGATTACATATAAAAAGCAGACAGCAGCATTCTCAGAAACTTCTTTGTGATGATTGCACTCAAGTCACAGAATTGAACATTCCCTTTCACAGAGCAGGTTTGAAACACTCTTTTTGTAGTGTGTGTAAGTGGACATTTGGAGCGCTTTCCGGCCTAAGGTGAACAAGGAAATATCTTCCCATAAAAACTAGACAGAAGCATTCTCAGAAACTTACTCGTGATGTGTGTCCTCAACTAAAGGAGTAGAACCTTTCTTTTCATAGAGAAGTTTTGAAACGCTCTTTTTGTGGAATCTGCAAGTGGATATTTGGCTAGTTTGGAGGATTTCGTTGGAAGCGGGAATTCATACAAGATGCAGACTGCAGCGTTCTGAGAAACATCTTTGTGATGTTTGTATTCAGGACACAGAGTTGAACATTCCCTATCATAGAGCAGGTTTGAATCACTCCTTTTGTAGTATCTGGAAGTGGACATTTGGAGCGCTTTCAGGCCTATGTTGGAAAAGGAAATATCTTCCCATAACAACTAGACAGAAGCATTCCCAGAAACTTATTTGAGATGTGTGTACTCAACTAAGAGAATTGAACCACCGTTTTGAAGGAGCAGTTTGGAAACACTCTTTTTCTGGAATCTGCAAGTGGATATTTGGCTAGCTTTGGGGATTTCGCTGGAAGCGGGAATACATATAAAAAGCACACAGCAGCGTTCTGAGAAACTGCTTTCTGATGTTTGCATTCAAGTCAAAAGTTGAACACTCCCTTTCATAGAGCAGTCTTGAAACACCCCTTTTGTAGTATCTGGAACTGGAAATTTGGAGCGCTTTCAGGGCTAAGGTGAAAAAGGAAATATCTTCCCATAAAAACTGGACAGAAGCATTCTCAGAAACTTGTTTATGCTGTATCTACTCAACTAACAAAGTTGAACCTTTCTTTTGATAGAGCAGTTTTGAAATGCTCTTTTTGTGGAATCTGCAAGTGGATATTTGGCTAGTTTTGAGGATTTCGTTGGAAGCGGGAATTCATACAAATTGCAGACTGCAGCGTTCTGAGAAACATCTTTGTGATGTTTGTATTCAGGACACAGAGTTGAACATTCCCTATCATAGAGCAGGTTGGAATCACTCCTTTTGTAGTATCTGGAAGTGGACATTTGGAGCGCTTTCAGGCCTATTTTGGAAAGGGAAATATCTTCCCGTAACAACTATGCAGAAGCATTCTCAGAAACTTGTTTGTGATGTGTGCCCTCTACTGACAGAGTTGAACCTTTCTTTTCATAGAGCAGTTTTGAAACACTCTTTTTGTAGAATCTGCAAGAGGATATTTGCATAGCTTTGAGGATTTCGTGGGAAACGGGATTGTCTTCAGGTAAAATCTAGACAGAAGCATTCTCAGAAACTTCTTTGGGATGTTTGCATTCAAGTCACAGAGTAGAACATTCCCTTTGGTAGAGCAGGTTTGAAACACTCTTTTTGTAGTATCTGGAAGTGGACATTTGGAGCGCTTTCAGGCCCATGTTGGAAAGGGAAATATCTTCCCGTAACAACTAGGCAGAAGCATTCTCAGAAACTTATTTGAGATGTGTGTACTCAACTAAGAGAATTGAACCACCGTTTTGAAGGAGCAGTTTTGAAACACTCTTTTTCTGGAATCTGCAAGAGTATATTTGCCTAGCCTTGAGGATTTCGTTGGAAACGGGATTGTCTTCAGAGAAAATCTAGACAGAAGCATTCTCAGAAACTTCTTTGGGATGTTTGCATTCAAGTCACAGAGTAGAACATTCCCTTTGGTAGAGCAGGTTTGAAACACTCTTTTTTTAGTATATGGAAGTGGACATTTGGAGCGCTTTCAGGCCTACGTTGGAAAAGGAAATATCTTCCCATAACAACTAGACAGAAGCATTCTCAGAAACTAGTTTCTGATGTGTGTCCTCAACTAACACAGTTGAACATTTCTTTAGACAGAACAGTTTTGAAACACTCTTTTTGTGGAATCTGCAAGTGGCTATTTGGCTAGATTTGAGGATTTCGTTGGAAACGGGATTACATATAAAAAGCAGTCAGCAGCATTCTCAGAAAGTTCTTTGTGATGATTGCATTCAAGTCACAGAATTGAACATTCCCTTTCACAGAGCAGGTTTGAAACACTCTTTTTGTAGTGTGTGTAAGTGGACATTTGGAGCACTTACCGGCCTAAGGTGAAAAAGGAAATATCTTCCCATAAAAACTAGACAGAAGCATTCTCAGAAACTTACTCGTGATGTGTGTCCTCAACTAAAGGAGTAGAACCTTTCTTTTCATAGAGAAGTTTTGAAACGCTCTTTTTGTGGAATCTGCAAGTGGATATTTGGCTAGTTTGGAGGATTTCGTTGGAAGCGGGAATTCATACAAATTGCAGACTGCAGCGTTGTGAGAAACATCTTTGTGATGTTTGTATTCAGGACACAGAGTTGAACATTCCCTATCATAGAGCAGGTTGGAATCACTCCTTTTGTAGTATCTGGAAGTGGACATTTGGAGCGCTTTCAGGCCTATGTTGGAAAAGGAAATATCTTCCCATAACAACTAGACAGAAGCATTCTCAGAAACTTATTTGAGATGTGTGTACTCAACTAAGAGAATTGAACCACCGTTTTGAAGGAGCAGTTTTGAAACACTCTTTTTCTGGAATCTGCAAGTGGATATTTGGCTAGCTTTGGGGATTTCGCTGGAAGCGGGAATACATATAAAAAGCACACAGCAGCGTTCTGAGAAACTGCTTTCTGATGTTTGCATTCAAGTCAAAAGTTGAACACTCCCTTTCATAGAGCAGTCTTGAAACACCCCTTTTGTAGTATCTGGAACTGGACTTTTGGAGCGATTTCAGGGCTAAGGTGAAAAAGGAAATATCTTCCCATAAAAACTGGACAGAAGCATTCTCAGAAACTTGGTTATGCTGTATCTACTCAACTAACAAAGTTGAACCTTTCTTTTGATAGAGCAGTTTTGAAATGGTCTTTTTGTGGAATCTGCAAGTGGATATTTGGCTAGTTTTGAGGATTTCGTTGGAAGCGGGAATTCATACAAATTGCAGACTGCAGCGTTCTGAGAAACATCTTTGTGATGTTTGTATTCAGGACACAGAGTTGAACATTCCCTGTCCTAGAGCAGGTTGGAATCACTCCTTTTGTAGTATCTGGAAGTGGACATTTGGAGCGCTTTCAGGCCTATTTTGGAAAGGGAAATATCTTCCCATAACAACTATGCAGAAGCATTCTCAGAAACTTGTTTGTGATGTGTGCCCTCTACTGACAGAGTTGAACCTTTCTTTTCATAGAGCAGTTTTGAAACACTCTTTTTGTAGAATCTGCAAGAGGATATTTGCATAGCTTTGAGGATTTCGTGGGAAACGGGATTGTCTTCAGGTAAAATCTAGACAGAAGCATTCTCAGAAACTTCTTTGGGATGTTTGCATTCAAGTCACAGAGTAGAACATTCCCTTTGGTAGAGCAGGTTTGAAACACTCTTTTTGTAGTATCTGGAAGTGGACATTTGGAGCGCTTTCAGGCCCATGTTGGAAAGGGAAATATCTTCCCGTAACAACTAGGCAGAAGCATTCTCAGAAACTTATTTGAGATGTGTGTACTCAACTAAGAGAAATGAACCACCGTTTTGAAGGAGCAGTTTTGAACCACTCTTTTTCTGGAATCTGCAAGAGTATATTTGCCTAGCCTTGAGGATTTCGTTGGAAACGGGATTGTCTTCAGATAAAATCTAGACAGAAGCATTCTCAGAAACTTCTTTGGGATGTTTGCATTCAAGTCACAGAGTAGAACATTCCCTTTGGTAGAGCAGGTTTGAAACACTCTTTTTTTAGTATATGGAAGGACATTTGGAGCGCTTTCAGGCCTACGTTGGAAAAGGAAATCTCTTCCCATAACAACTAGACAGAAGCATTCTCAGAAACTACTTTCTGATATGTGTCCTCAACTAACACAGTTGAACTTTTCCTTAGACAGAACAGTTTTGAAACACTCTTTTTGTGGAATCTGCAAGTGGATATTGGGCTAGATTTGAGGATTTCGTTGGAAACGGGATTACATATAAAAAGCAGACAGCAGCATTCTCAGAAAGTTCTTTGTGATGATTGCATTCAAGTCACAGAATTGAACATTCCCTTTCACAGAGCAGGTTTGAAACACTCTTTTTGTAGTGTGTGTAAGTGGACATTTGGAGCGCTTTCCGGCCTAAGGTGAAAAAGGACATATCTTCCCATAAAAACTAGACAGAAGCATTCTAAGAAACTTACTCGTGATGTGTGTCCTCAACTAAAGGAGTAGAACCTTTCTATTCATAGAGAAGTTTTGAAACGCTCTTTTTGTGGAATCTCCAAGTGGATATTTGGCTAGTTTTGAGGATTTCGTTGGAAGCGGGAATTCATACAAATTGCAGACTGCAGCGTTCTGAGAAACATCTTTGTGATGTTTGTATTCAGGACACAGAGATGAACATTCCCTATCATAGAGCAGGTTGGAATCACACCTTTTGTAGTATCTGGAAGTGGACATTTGGAGCGCTTTCAGGCCTATGTTGAAAAAGGAAATATCTTCCCATAACAACTAGTCACAAGCATTCTCAGAAACTTGTTTGTGATGTGTGCCCTCTACTGACAGAGTTGAACCTTTCTTTTCATAGAGCAGATTTGAAACACTCTTTTTGTAGAATCCGCAAGAGGATATTTGCATCGCTTTGAGGATTTCGTGGGAAACGGGATTGTCTTCAGGTAAAATCTAGACAGAAGCATTCTCAGAAACTTCTTTGGGATGTTTGCATTCAAGTCACAGAGTAGAACATTCCCTTTGGTAGAGCAGGTTTGAAACACTCTTTTTGTAGTATCTGGAAGTGGACATTTGGAGCGCTTTCAGGCCCATGTTGGAAAGGGAAATATCTTCCCGTAACAACTAGGCAGAAGCATTCTCAGAAACTTATTTGAGATGTGTGTACTCAACTAAGAGAATTGAACCACCGTTTTGAAGGAGCAGTTTTGAAACACTCTTTTTCTGGAATCTGCAAGAGTATATTTGCCTGGCCTTGAGGATTTCGTTGGAAACGGGATTGTCTTCAGATAAAATCTAGACAGAAGCATTCTCAGAAACTTCTTTGGGATGTTTGCATTCAAGTCACAGAGTAGAACATTCCCTTTGGTAGAGCAGGTTTGAAACACTCTTTTTTTAGTATATGGAAGGACATTTGGAGCGCTTTCAGGCCTACGTTGGAAAAGGAAATATCTTCCCATAACAACTAGACAGAAGCATTCTCAGAAACTAGTTTCTGATGTGTGTCCTCAACTAACACAGTTGAACATTTCTTTAGACAGAACAGTTTTGAAACACTCTTTTTGTGGAATCTGCAAGTGGCTATTTGGCTAGATTTGAGGATTTCGTTGGAAACGGGATTACATATAAAAAGCAGACAGCAGCATTCTCAGAAAGTTCTTTGTGATGATTGCATTCAAGTCACAGAATTGAACATTCCCTTTCACAGAGCAGGTTTGAAACACTCTTTTTGTAGTGTGTGTAAGTGGACATTTGGAGCACTTTCCGGCCTAAGGTGAAAAAGGAAATATCTTCCCATAAAAACTAGACAGAAGCATTCTCAGAAACTTACTCGTGATGTGTGTCCTCAACTAAAGGAGTAGAACCTTTCTTTTCATAGAGAAGTTTTGAAACGCTCTTTTTGTGGAATCTGCAAGTGGATATTTGGCTAGTTTGGAGGATTTCGTTGGAAGCGGGAATTCATACAAATTGCAGACTGCAGCGTTCTGAGAAACATCTTTGTGATGTTTGTATTCAGGACACAGAGTTGAACATTCCCTATCATAGAGCAGGTTGGAATCACTCCTTTTGTAGTATCTGGAAGTGGACATTTGGAGGGCTTTCAGGCCTATGTTGGAAAAGGAAATATCTTCCCATAACAACTAGACAGAAGCATTCTCAGAAACTTATTTGAGATGTGTGTACTCAACTAAGAGAATTGAACCACCGTTTTGAAGGAGCAGTTTTGAAACACTCTTTTTCTGGAATCTGCAATTGGATATTTGGCTAGCTTTGGGGATTTCGCTGGAAGCGGGAATACATATAAAAAGCACACAGCAGCGTTCTGAGAAACTGCTTTCTGATGTTTGCATTCAAGTCAAAAGTTGAACACTCCCTTTCATAGAGCAGTCCTGAAACACTCCTTTTGTAGTATCTGGAACTGGACTTTTGGAGCGCTTCAGGGCTAAGGTGAAAAAGGAAATATCTTCCCATAAAAACTGGACAGAAGCATTCTCAGAAACTTGTTTATGCTGTATCTACTCTGCTAACAAAGTTGAAGCTTTCTTTTGATAGAGCAGTTTTGAAATGCTCTTTTTGTGGAATCTGCAAGTGGATATTTGGCTAGATTTGAGGATTTCGTTGGAAGCTGGAATTCATACAAATTGCAGACTGCAGCGTTCTGAGAAACATCTTTGTGATGTTTGTATTCAGGACACAGAGTTGAACATTCCCTATCATAGAGCAGGTTGGAATCACTCCTTTTGTAGTATCTGGAAGTGGACATTTGGAGCGCTTTCAGGCCTATGTTGAAAAAGGAAATATCTTCCCATAACAACTAGACACAAGCATTCTCAGAAACTTGTTTGTGATGTGTGCCCTCTACTGACAGAGTTGAACCTTTCTTTTCATAGGAGCAGTTTTGAAACACTCTTTTTGTAGAATCTGCAAGAGGATATTTGCATAGCTTTGAGGATTTCGTGGGAAACGGGATTGTCTTCAGGTAAAATCTAGACAGAAGCATTCTCAGAAACTTCTTTGGGATGTTTGCATTCAAGTCACAGAGTAGAATATTCCCTTTGGTAGAGCAGGTTTGAAACACTCTTTTTATAGTATCTGGAAGTGGACATTTGGAGCCCTTTCAGGCCTATGTTGGAAAGGGAAATATCTTCCCGTAACAACTAGGCAGAAGCATTCTCAGAAACTTATTTGAGATGTGTGTACTCAACTAAGAGAATTGAACCACCGTTTTGAAGGAGCAGTTTTGAAACACTCTTTTTCTGGAATCTGCAAGAGGATATTTGCCTAGCTTTGAGGATTTCGTTGGAAACGGGATTGTCTTCAGATCAAATCTAGACAGAAGCATTCTCAGAAACTTCTTTGGGATGTTTGCATTCAAGTCACAGAGTAGAACATTCCCTTTGGTAGAGCAGGTTTGAAACACTCTTTTTTTAGTATATGGAAGTGGACATTTGGAGCGCTTTCAGGCCTACGTTGGAAAAGGAAATATCTTCCCATAACAACTAGACAGAAGCATTCTCAGAAACTAGTTTCTGATGTGTGTCCTCAACTAACACAGTTGAACATTTCTTTAGACAGAACAGTTTTGAAACACTCTTTTTGTGGAATCTGCAAGTGGCTATTTGGCTAGATTTGAGGATTTCGTTGGAAACGGGATTACATATAAAAAGCAGACAGCAGCATTCTCAGAAAGTTCTTTGTGATGATTGCATTCAAGTCACAGAATTGAACATTCCCTTTCACAGAGCAGGTTTGAAACACTCTTTTTGTAGTGTGTGTAAGTGGACATTTGGAGCACTTTCCGGCCTAAGGTGAAAAAGGAAATATCTTCCCATAAAAACTAGACAGAAGCATTCTCAGAAACTTACTCGTGATGTGTGTCCTCAACTAAAGGAGTAGAACCTTTCTTTTCATAGAGAAGTTTTGAAACGCTCTTTTTGTGGAATCTGCAAGTGGATATTTGGCTAGTTTTGAGGATTTCGTTGGAAGCGGGAATTGATACAAATTGCAGACTGCAGCGTTCTGAGAAACATCTTTGTGATGTTTGTATTCAGGACACAGAGTTGAACATTCCCTATCATAGAGCAGGTTTGAATCACTCCTTTTGTAGTATCTGGAAGTGGACATTTGGAGCGCTTTCAGGCCTATGTTGGAAAAGGAAATATCTTCCCATAACAACTAGACAGAAGCATTCTCAGAAACTTATTTGAGATGTGTGTACTCAACTAAGAGAATTGAACCACCGTTTTGAAGGAGCAGTTTTGAAACATTCTTTTTCTGGAATCTGCAAGTGGATATTTGGCTAGCTTTGGGGATTTCGCTGGAAGCGGGAATACATATAAAAAGCACACAGCAGCGTTCTGAGAAACTGCTTTCTGATGTTTGCATTCAAGTCAAAAGTTGAACACTCCCTTTCATAGAGCAGTCCTGAAACACCCCTTTTGTAGTATCTGGAACTGGACTTTTGGAGCGATTTCAGGGCTAAGGTGAAAAAGGAAATATCTTCCCATAAAAACTGGACAGAAGCATTCTCAGAAACTGGTTTATGCTGTATCTACTCAACTAACAAAGTTGAACCTTTCTTTTGATAGAGCAGTTTTGAAATGCTCTTTTTGTGGAATCTGCAAGTGGATATTTGGCTAGGTTTGAGGATTTCGTTGGAAGCGGGAATTCATACAAATTGCAGACTGCAGCGTTCTGAGAAACATCTTTGTGATGTTTGTATTCAGGACACAGAGTTGAACATTCCCTATCATAGAGCAGGTTGGAATCACTCCTTTTGTAGTATCTGGAAGTGGACATTTGGAGCGCTTTCAGGCCTATTTTGGAAAGGGAAATATCTTCCCGTAACAACTATGCAGAAGCATTCTCAGAAACTTGTTTGTGATGTGTGCCCTCTACTGACAGAGTTGAACCTTTCTTTTCATAGAGCAGTTTTGAAACACTCTTTTTGTAGAATCTGCAAGAGGATATTTGCATAGCTTTGAGGATTTCGTGGGAAACGGGATTGTCTTCAGGTAAAATCTAGACAGAAGCATTCTCAGAAACTTCTTTGGGATGTTTGCATTCAAGTCACAGAGTAGAACATTCCCTTTGGTAGAGCAGGTTTGAAACACTCTTTTTGTAGTATCTGGAAGTGGACATTTGGAGCGCTTTCAGGCCCATGTTGGAAAGGGAAATATCTTCCCGTAACAACTAGGCAGAAGCATTCTCAGAAACTTATTTGAGATGTGTGTACTCAACTAAGAGAATTGAACCACCGTTTTGAAGGAGCAGTTTTGAAACACTCTTTTTCTGGAATCTGCAAGAGTATATTTGCCTAGCCTTGAGGATTTCGTTGGAAACGGGATTGTCTTCAGAGAAAATCTAGACAGAAGCATTCTCAGAAACTTATTTGTGATGTGTGTCCTCAACTGACAGAGTTGAACATTTCTTTTGAGAGAGGAGTTTTGAAACACTCTTTTTGTGGAATCTGCAAGTGGATATTTGGCTGGCTTTGAGGATTTCGTTGGAAATGGGAATACATATAAAAAGCAGACAGCAGCATTCTCAGAAACTAGTTTCTGATGTGTGTCCTCAACTAACACAGTTGTACATTTCTTTAGACAGAACAGTTTTGAAACACTCTTTTTGTGGAATCTGCAAGTGGATATTTGGCTAGATTTGAGCATTTCGTTGGAAACGGGATTACATATAAAAAGCAGACAGCAGCATTCTCAGAAAGTTCTTTGTGATGATTGCATTCAAGTCACAGAATTGAACATTCCCTTTCACAGAGCAGGTTTGAAACACTCTTTTTGTAGTGTGTGTAAGTGGACATTTGGAGCACTTTCCGGCCTAAGGTGAAAAAGGAAATATCTTCCCATAAAAACTAGACAGAAGCATTCTCAGAAACTTACTCGTGATGTGTGTCCTCAACTAAAGGAGTAGAACCTTTCTTTTCATAGAGAAGTTTTGAAACGCTCTTTTTGTGGAATCTGCAAGTGGATATTTGGCTAGTTTTGAGGATTTCGTTGGAAGCGGGAATTCATACAAATTGCAGACTGCAGCGTTCTGAGAAACATCTTTGTGATGTTTGTATTCAGGACACAGAGTTGAACATTCCCTATCATAGAGCAGGTTGGAATCACTCCTTTTGTAGTATCTGGAAGTGGACATTTGGAGCGCTTTCAGGCCTATGTTGGAAAAGGAAATATCTTCCCATAACAACTAGACAGAAGCATTCTCAGAAACTTATTTGAGATGTGTGTACTCAACTAAGAGAATTGAACCACCGTTTTGAAGGAGCAGTTTTGAAACACTCTTTTTCTGGAATCTGCAAGTGGATATTTGGCTAGCTTTGGGGATTTCGCTGGAAGCGGGAATACATATAAAAAGCACACAGCAGCGTTCTGAGAAACTGCTTTCTGATGTTTGCATTCAAGTCAAAAGTTGAACACTCCCTTTCATAGAGCAGTCTTGAAACACCCCTTTTGTAGTATGTGGAACTGGACATTTGGAGCGCTTTCAGGGCTAAGGTGAAAAAGGAAATATCTTCCCATAAAAACTGGACAGAAGCATTCTCAGAAACTTGTTTATGCTGTATCTACTCAACTAACAAAGTTGAACCTTTCTTTTGATAGAGCAGTTTTGAAATGGTCTTTTTGTGGAATCTGCAAGTGGATATTTGGCTAGTTTTGAGGATTTCGTTGGAAGCGGGAATTCATACAAATTGCAGACTGCAGCGTTCTGAGAAACATCTTTGTGATGTTTGTATTCAGGACACAGAGTTGAACATTCCCTTATCATAGAGCAGGTTGGAATCACTCCTTTTGTAGTATCTGGAAGTGGACATTTGGAGCGCTTTCAGGCCTATTTTGGAAAGGGAAATATCTTCCCGTAACAACTATGCAGAAGCATTCTCAGAAACTTGTTTGTGATGTGTGCCCTCTACTGACAGAGTTGAACCTTTCTTTTCATAGAGCAGTTTTGAAACACTCTTTTTGTAGAATCTGCAAGAGGATATTTGCATAGCTTTGAGGATTTCGTGGGAAACGGGATTGTCTTCAGGTAAAATCTAGACAGAAGCATTCTCAGAAACTTCTTTGTTATGTTTGCATTCAAGTCAAAGAGTAGAACATTCCCTTTGGTAGAGCAGGTTTGAAACCCTCTATTTGTAGTATCTGGAAGTGGACATTTGGAGCGCATTCAGGCCCATGTTGGAAAGGGAAATATCTTCCCGTAACAACTATGCAGAAGCATTCTCAGAAACTTATTTGAGATGTGTGTACTCAACTAAGAGAATTGAACCACCGTTTTGAAGGAGCAGTTTTGAAACACTCTTTTTCTGGAATCTGCAAGAGTATATTTGCCTAGCCTTGAGGATTTCGTTGGAAACCGGATTGTCTTCAGATAAAATCTAGACAAATGCATTCTCAGAAACTTCTTTGGGATGTTTGCATTCAAGTCACAGAGTAGAACATTCCCTTTGGTACAGCAGGTTTGAAACACTCTTTTTTTCGTATATGGAAGTGGACATTTGGAGCGCTTTCAGGCCTACGTTGGAAAAGGAAATATCTTCCCATAACAACTAGACAGAAGCATTCTCAGAAACTAGTTTCTGATGTGTGTCCTCAACTAACACAGTTGTACATTTCTTTAGACAGAACAGTTTTGATACACTCGTTTTGTGGAACCTTCAAGTGGATATTTTGGCTAGATTTGAGGATTTCGTTGGAAACGGGATTACATATAAAAAGCAGTCAGCAGCATTCTCAGAAAGTTCTTTGTGATGATTGCATTCAAGTCACAGAATTGAACATTCCCTTTCACAGAGCAGGTTTGAAACCCTCTTTTTGTAGTGTGTGTAAGTGGACATTTGGAGCGCTTTCTGGCCTAAGGTGAAAAAGGAAATATCTTCCCATAAAAACTAGACAGAAGCATTCTCAGAAACTTACTCGTGATGTGTGTACTCAAGTAAAGGAGTAGAAACTTTCTTTTCATAGAGAAGTTTTGAAACGCTCTTTTTGTGGAATCTGCAGGTGGATATTTGGCTAGTTTTGAGGATTACGTTGGAAACGGGAATTCATACAAATTGCAGACTGCAGCGTTCTGAGAAACATCTTTGTGATGTTTGTATTCAGGACACAGAGTTGAACATTCCCTATCATAGAGCAGGTTTGAATCACTCCTTTTGTAGTATCTGGAAGTGGACATTTGGAGCGCTTTCAGGCCCTATGTTGGAAAAGGAAATATCTTCCCATAACAAATAGACAGGAAGCATTCTCAGAAACTTATTTGAGATGGGTGTACTCAACTAAGAGAATTGAACCACCGTTTTCAAGGAGCAGTTTTGAAACGCTCTTTTTCTGGAATCTGCAAGTGGATATTTGGCTAGCTTTGGGGATTTCGCTGGAAGCGGGAATACATATAAAAAACACACAGCAGCGTTCTGAGAAACTGCTTTCTGATGTTTGCATTCAAGTCAAAAGTTGAACACTCCCTTTCATAGAGCAGTCCTGAAACACTCCTTTTGTAGTATCTGGAACTGGACTTTTGGAGCGCTTTCAGGGCTAAGGTGAAAAAGGAAATATCTTCCCATAAAAACTGGACAGAAGCATTCTCAGAAACTTGTTTATGCTGTATCTACTCAACTAACAAAGTTGAACCTTTCTTTTGATAGAGCAGTTTTGAAATGCTCTTTTTGTGGAATCTGCAAGTGGATATTTGGCTAGTTTTGAGGATTTCGTTGGAAGCGGGAATTCATACAAATTGCAGACTGCAGCGTTCTGAGAAACATCTTTGTGATGTTTGTATTCAGGACACTGAGTTGAACATTCCCTATCATAGAGCAGGTTGGAATCACTCCTTTTGTAGTATCTGGAAGTGGACATTTGGAGCGCTTTCAGGCCTATGTTGAAAAAGGAAATATCTTCCCATAACAACTAGGCAGAAGCATTCTCAGAAACTTGTTTGTGATGTGTGCCTTCTACTGACACAGTTGAACCTTTCTTTTCATAGAGCAGTTTCGAAACACTCTTTTTGTAGAATCTGCAAGAGGATATTTGCATAGCTTTGAGGATTTCGTGGGAAACGGGATTGTCTTCAGGTAAAATCTAGACAGAAGAATTCTCAGAAACTTCTTTGGGATGTTTGCATTCAAGTCACAGAGTAGAATATTCACTTTGGTAGAGCAGGTTTGAAACACTCTTTTTATAGTGTGTGTAAGTGGACATTTGGAGCGCTTTCAGGCCTACGTTGGAAAAGGAAATATCTTCCCATAACAACTAGACAGAAACATTGTCAGAAACTAGTTTCTGATGTGTGTCCTCAACTAACACAGTTGAACATTTCTTTAGACAGAACAGTTTTGAAACACTCTTTTTGTGGAATCTGCAAGTGGATATTTGGCTAGATTTGAGGATTTCGTTGGAAACGGGATTACATATAAAAAGCAGACAGCAGCATTCTCAGAAACTTCTTTGTGATGATTGCATTCAAGTCACAGAATTGAACATTCCCTTTCACAGAGCAGGTTTGAAACACTCTTTTTGTAGTGTGTGTAAGTGGACATTTGGAGCGCTTTCCGGCCTAAGGTGAACAAGGAAATATCTTCCCATAAAAACTAGACAGAAGCATTCTCAGAAACTTACTCGTGATGTGTGTCCTCAACTAAAGGAGTAGAACCTTTCTTTTCATAGAGAAGTTTTGAAACGCTCTTTTTGTGGAATCTGCAAGTGGATATTTGGCTAGTTTGGAGGATTTCGTTGGAAGCGGGAATTCATACAAATTGCAGACTGCAGCGTTCTGAGAAACATCTTTGTGATGTTTGTATTCAGGACACAGAGTTGAACATTCCCTATCATAGAGCAGGTTGGAATCACTCCTTTTGTAGTATCTGGAAGTGGACATTTGGAGCGTTTTCAGGCCTATGTTGAAAAAGGAAATATCTTTCCATAACAACTAGACAGAAGCATTCTCAGAAACTTATTTGTGATGTGTGCCCTCTACTGACACAGTTGAACCTTTCTTTTCATAGAGCACTTTCGAGACACTCTTTTTGTAGAATCTGCAAGAGGATATTTGGATAGCTTTGAGGATTTCGTGGGAAACGGGATTGTCTTCAGGTAAAATCTAGACAGAAGCATTCTCAGAAACTTCTTTGGGATGTTTGCATTCAAGTCACAGAGTAGAACATTCCCTTTGGTAGAGCAGGTTTGAAACACTCTTTTTGTAGTGTGTGTAAGTGGACATTTGGAGCTCTTTCAGGCCTACGTTGGAAAAGGAAATATCTTCCCATAACAACTAGACAGAAGCATTCTCAGAAACTAGTTTCTGATGTGTGTCCTCAACTAACACAGTTGTACATTTCTTTAGACAGAACAGTTTTGAAACACTCTTTTTGTGGAATCTGCAAGTGGATATTGGGCTAGATTTGAGGATTTCGTTGGAAACGGGATTACATATAAAAAGCAGTCAGCAGCATTCTCAGAAAGTTCTTTGTGATGATTGCATTCAAGTCACAGAATTGAACATTCCCTTTCACAGAGCAGGTTTGAAACACTCTTTTTGTAGTGTGTGTAAGTGGACATTTGGAGCGCTTTCCGGCCTAAGGTGAAAAAGGAAATATCTTCCCATAAAAACTAGACAGAAGCATTCTCAGAAACTTACTCGTGATGTGTGTCCTCAACTAAAGGAGTAGAACATTTCTATTCATAGAGAAGTTTTGAAACGCTCTTTTTGTGGAATCTCCAAGTGGATATTTGGCTAGTTTTGAGGATTTCGTTGGAAGCGGGAATTCATACAAATTGCAGACTGCAGCGTTCTGAGAAACATCTTTGTGATGTTTGTATTCAGGACACAGAGATGAACATTCCCTATCATAGAGCAGGTTGGAATCACTCCTTTTGTAGTATCTGGAAGTGGACATTTGGAGCGCTTTCAGGCCTATGTTGAAAAAGGAAATATCTTCCCATAACAACTAGACACAAGCATTCTCAGAAACTTGTTTGTGATGTGTGCCCTCTACTGACAGAGTTGAACCTTTCTTTTCATAGAGCAGTTTTGAAACACTCTTTTTGTAGAATCTGCAAGAGGATATTTGCATAGCTTTGAGGATTTCGTGGGAAACGGGATTGTCTTCAGGTAAAATCTAGACAGAAGCATTCTCAGAAACTTCTTTGGGATGTTTGCATTCAAGTCACAGAGTAGAACATTCCCTTTGGTAGAGCAGGTTTGAAACACTCTTTTTGTAGTATCTGGAAGTGGACATTTGGAGCGCTTTCAGGCCTATGTTGGAAAGGGAAATATCTTCCGGTAACAACTAGGCAGAAGCATTCTCAGAAACTTATTTGAGATGTGTGTACTCAACTAAGAGAATTGAACCACCGTTTTGAAGGAGCAGTTTTGAAACACTCTTTTTCTGGAATCTGCAAGAGGATATTTGCCTAGCCTTGAGGATTTCGTTGGAAACGGGATTGTCTTCAGATCAAATCTAGACAGAAGCATTCTCAGAAACTTCTTTGGGATGTTTGCATTCAAGTCACAGAGTAGAACATTCCCTTTGGTAGAGCAGGTTTGAAACACTCTTTTTTTAGTATATGGAAGTGGACATTTGGAGCGCTTTCAGGCCTACGTTGGAAAAGGAAATATCTTCCCATAACAACTAGACAGAAGCATTCTCAGAAACTAGTTTCTGATGTGTGTCCTCAACTAACACAGTTGAACATTTCTTTAGACAGAACAGTTTTGAAACACTCTTTTTGTGGAATCTGCAAGTGGCTATTTGGCTAGATTTGAGGATTTCGTTGGAAACGGGATTACATATAAAAAGCAGTCAGCAGCATTCTCAGAAAGTTCTTTGTGATGATTGCATTCAAGTCACAGAATTGAACATTCCCTTTCACAGAGCAGGTTTGAAACACTCTTTTTGTAGTGTGTGTAAGTGGACATTTGGAACCCTTACCGGCCTAAGGTGAAAAAGGAAATATCTTCCCATAAAAACTAGACAGAAGCATTCTCAGAAACTTACTCGTGATGTGTGCCCTCAACTAAAGGAGTAGAACCTTTCTTTTCATAGAGAAGTTTTGGAACGCTCTTTTTGTGGAATCTGCAAGTGGATATTTGGCTAGTTTTGAGGATTTCGTTGGAAGCGGGAATTCATACAAATTGCAGACTGCAGCGTTCTGAGAAACATCTTTGTGATGTTTGTATTCAGGACACAGAGTTGAACATTCCCTATCATAGAGCAGGTTGGAATCACTCCTTTTGTAGTATCTGGAAGTGGACATTTGGAGCGCTTTCAGGCCTATGTTGAAAAAGGAAATATCTTCCCATAACAACTAGACACAAGCATTCTCAGAAACTTATTTGAGATGTGTGTACTCAACTAAGAGAATTGAACCACCGTTTTGAAGGAGCAGTTTTGAAACACTCTTTTTCTGGAATCTGCAAGTGGATATTTGGCTAGCTTTGGGGATTTCGCTGGAGGCGGGAATACATATAAAAAGCACACAGCAGCGTTCTGAGAAACTGCTTTCTGATGTTTGCATTCAAGTCAAAAGTTGAACACTCCCTTTCATAGAGCAGTCCTGAAACACTCCTTTTGTAGTATCTGGAACTGGACTTTTGGAGCGCTTTCAGGGCTAAGGTGAAAAAGGAAATATCTTCCCATAAAAACTGGACAGAAGCATTCTCAGAAACTTGTTTATGCTGTATCTACTCAACTAACAAAGTTGAACCTTTCTTTTGATAGAGCAGTTTTGAAATGGTCTTTTTGTGGAATCTGCAAGTGGATATTTGGCTAGTTTTGAGGATTTCGTTGGAAGCGGGAATTCATACAAATTGCAGACTGCAGCGTTCTGAGAAACATCTTTGTGATGTTTGTATTCAGGACACAGAGTTGAACATTCCCTGTTCTAGAGCAGGTTGGAATCACTCCTTTTGTAGTATCTGGAAGTGGACATTTGGAGCGCTTTCAGGCCTATTTTGGAAAGGGAAATATCTTCCCATAACAACTATGCAGAAGCATTCTCAGAAACTTGTTTGTGATGTGTGCCCTCTACTGACAGAGTTGAACCTTTCTTTTCATAGAGCAGTTTTGAAACACTCTTTTTGTAGAATCTGCAAGAGGATATTTGCATAGCTTTGAGGATTTCGTGGGAAACGGGATTGTCTTCAGGTAAAATCTAGACAGAAGCATTCTCAGAAACTTCTTTGGGATGTTTGCATTCAAGTCACAGAGTAGAACATTCCCTTTGGTAGAGGAGGTTTGAAACACTCTTTTTGTAGTATCTGGAAGTGGACATTTGGAGCGCTTTCAGGCCTATGTTGGAAAGGGAAATATCTTCCCGTTACAACTAGGCAGAAGCATTCTCAGAAACTTATTTGAGATGTGTGTACTCAACTAAGAGAATTGAACCACCGTTTTGAAGGAGCAGTTTTGAAACACTCTTTTTCTGGAATCTGCAAGAGGATATTTGCCTAGCCTTGAGGATTTCGTTGGAAACGGGATTGTCTTCAGATCAAATCTAGACAGAAGCATTCTCAGAAACTTCTTTGGGATGTTTGCATTCAAGTCACAGAGTAGAACATTCCCTTTGGTAGAGCAGGTTTGAAACACTCTTTTTTTAGTATATGGAAGTGGACATTTGGAGCGCTTTCAGGCCTACGTTGGAAAAGGAAATATCTTCCCATAACAACTAGACAGAAGCATTCTCAGAAACTAGTTTCTGATGTGTGTCCTCAACTAACACAGTTTAACATTTCTTTAGACAGAACAGTTTTGAAACGCTCTTTTTGTGGAATCTGCAAGTGGATATTTGGCTAGTTTGGAGGATTTCGTTGGAAGCGGGAATTCATACAAATTGCAGACTGCCAGCATTCTCAGAAGTTCTTTGTGATGATTGCATTCAAGTCACAGAATTGAACATTCCCTTTCACAGAGCAGGTTTGAAACACTCTTTTTGTAGTGTGTGTAAGTGGACATTTGGAGCACTTACCGGCCTAAGGTGAAAAAGGAAATATCTTCCCATAAAAACTAGACAGAGCATTCTCAGAAACTTACTCGTGATGTGTGTCCTCAACTAAAGGAGTAGAACCTTTCTTTTCATAGAGAAGTTTTGAAACGCTCTTTTTGTGGAATCTGCAAGTGGATATTTGGCTAGTTTTGAGGATTTCGTTGGAAGCGGGAATTCATACAAATTGCAGACTGCAGCGTTCTGAGAAACATCTTTGTGATGTTTGTATTCAGGACACAGAGTTGAACATTCCCTATCATAGAGCAGGTTGGAATCACTCCTTTTGTAGTATCTGGAAGTGGACATTTGGAGCGCTTTCAGGCCTATGTTGGAAAAGGAAATATCTTCCCATAACAACTAGACAGAAGCATTCTCAGAAACTTATTTGAGATGTGTGTACTCAACTAAGAGAATTGAACCACCGTTTTGAAGGAGCAGTTTTGAAACTCTCTTTTTCTGGAATCTGCAAGTGGATATTTGGCTAGCTTTGGAGATTTCGCTGGAAGCGGGAATACATATAAAAAGCACACAGCAGCGTTCTGAGAAACTGCTTTCTGATGTTTGCATTCAAGTCAAAAGTTGAACACTCCCTTTCATAGAGCAGTCCTGAAACACCCCTTTTGTAGTATCTGGAACTGGACTTTTGGAGCGATTTCAGGGCTAAGGTGAAAAAGGAAATATCTTCCCATAAAAACTGGACAGAAGCATTCTCAGAAACTTGTTTATGCTGTATCTACTCAGCTAACAAAGTTGAACCTTTCTTTTGATAGAGCAGTTTTGAAATGCTCTTTTTGTGGAGTCTGCAAGTGGATATTTGGTTAGTTTTGAGGATTTCTTTGGAAGCGGGAATTCATACAAATTGCAGACTGCAGCGTTCTGAGAAACATCTTTGTGATGTTTGTATTCAGGACAGAGAGTTGAACATTCCCTATCATAGAGCAGGTTGGAATCACTCCTTTTGTAGTATCTGGAAGTGGACATTTGGAGCGCTTTCAGGCCTATGTTGAAAAAGGAAATATCTTCCCATAACAACTAGACACAAGCATTCTCAGAAACTTGTTTGTGATGTGTGCCCTCTGCTGACAGAGTTGAACCTTTCTTTTCATAGAGCAGTTTTGAAACACTCTTTTTGTAGAATCTGCAAGAGGATATTTGCATAGCTTTGAGGATTTCGTGGGAAACGGGATTGTCTTCAGGTAAAATCTAGACAGAAGCATTCTCAGAAACTTCTTTGGGATGTTTGCATTCAAGTCACAGAGTAGAACATTCCCTTTGGTAGAGCAGGTTTGAAACCCTCTTTTTGTAGTATCTGGAAGTGGACATTTGGAGCGCTTTCAGGCCCATGTTGGAAAGGGAAATATCTTCCCGTAACAACTAGGCAGAAGCATTCTCAGTAAACTTATTTGAGATGTGTGTACTCAACTAAGAGAATTGAACCACCGTTTTGAAGGAGCAGATTTGAAACACTCTTTTTCTGGAATCTGCAAGAGTATATTTGCCTAGCCTTGAAGATTTCGTTGGAAACGGGATTGTCTTCAGATAAAATCTAGACAGAAGCATTCTCAGAAACTTCTTTGGGATGTTTGCATTCAAGTCACAGAGTAGAACACTCCCTTTGGTAGAGCAGGTTTGAAACACTCTTTTTTTCGTATATGGAAGTGGACATTTGGAGCGCTTTCAGGCCTACGTTGGAAAAGGAAATATCTTCCCATAACAACTAGACAGAAGCATTCTCAGAAACTAGTTTCTGATGTGTGTCCTCAACTAACACAGTTGAACTTTTCTTTAGACAGAACAGTTTTGAAACACTCTTTTTGTGGAATCTGCAAGTGGATATTTGGCTAGATTTGAGGATTTCGTTGGAAACGGGATTACATATAAAAAGCAGACAGCAGCATTCTCAGAAAGTTCTTTGTGATGATTGCATTCAAGTCACAGAATTGAACATTCCCTTTCACAGAGCAGGTTTGAAACACTCTTTTTGTAGTGTGTGTAAGTGGACATTTGGAGCGCTTTCCGGCCTAAGGTGAAAAAGGAAATATCTTCCCATAAAAACTAGACAGAAGCATTCTCAGAAACTTACTCGTGATGTGTGTCCTCAACTAAAGGAGTAGAACCTTTCTATTCATAGAGAAGTTTTGAAACGCTCTTTTTGTGGAATCTCCAAGTGGATATTTGGCTAGTTTTGAGGATTTCATTGGAAGCGGGAATTCACACAAATTGCAGACTGCAGCGTTCTGAGAAACATCTTTGTGATGTTTGTATTCAGGACACAGAGATGAACATTCCCTATCATAGAGCAGGTTGGAATCACTCCTTTTGTAGTATCTGGAAGTGGACATTTGGAGCGCTTTCAGGCCTATGTTGAAAAAGTAAATATCTTCCCATAACAACTAGACACAAGCATTCTCAGAAACTTGTTTGTGATGTGTGCCCTCTACTGACAGAGTTGAACCTTTCTTTTCATAGAGCAGTTTTGAAACACTCTTTTTGTAGAATCTGCAAGAGGATATTTGCATAGCTTTGAGGATTTCGTGGGAAACGGGATTGTCTTCAGGTAAAATCTAGACAGAAGCATTCTCAGAAACTTCTTTGGGATGTTTGCATTCAAGTCACAGAGTAGAACATTCCCTTTGGTAGAGCAGGTTTGAAACACTCTTTTTGTAGTATCTGGAAGTGGACATTTGGAGCGCTTTCAGGCCCATGTTGGAAAGGGAAATATCTTCCCGTAACAACTAGGCAGAAGCATTCTCAGAAACTTATTTGAGATGTGTGTACTCAACTAAGAGAATTGAACCACCGTTTTGAAGGAGCAGTTTTGAAACACTCTTTTTCTGGAATCTGCAAGAGTATATTTGCCTAGCCTTGAGGATTTCGTTGGAAACGGGATTGTCTTCAGAGAAAATCTAGACAGAAGCATTCTCAGAAACTTCTTTGGGATGCTTGCATTCAAGTCACAGAGTAGAACATTCCCTTTGGTAGAGCAGGTTTGAAACACTCTTTTTGTAGTATCTGGAAGTGGACATTTGGAGCGCTTTCAGGCCTACGTTGGAAAAGGAAATATCTTCCCATAACAACTAGACAGAAGCATTCTCAGAAACTAGTTTCTGATGTGTGTCCTCAACTAACACAGTTGAACATTTCTTTAGACAGAACAGTTTTGAAACACTCTTTTTGTGGAATCTGCAAGTGGCTATTTGGCTAGATTTGAGGATTTCGTTGGAAACGGGATTACATATAAAAAGCAGTCAGCAGCATTCTCAGAAAGTTCTTTGTGATGATTGCATTCAAGTCACAGAATTGAACATTCCCTTTCACAGAGCAGGTTTGAAACACTCTTTTTGTAGTGTGTGTAAGTGGACATTTGGAGCACTTACCGGCCTAAGGTGAAAAAGGAAATATCTTCCCATAAAAACTAGACAGAAGCATTCTCAGAAACTTACTCGTGATGTGTGTCCTCAACTAAAGGAGTAGAAACTTTCTTTTCATAGAGAAGTTTTGAAACGCTCTTTTTGTGGAATCTGCAAGTGGATATTTGGCTAGTTTTGAGGATTTCGTTGGAAGCGGGAATTCATACAAATTGCAGACTGCAGCGTTCTGAGAAACATCTTTGTGATGTTTGTATTCAGGACACAGAGTTGAACATTCCCTATCATAGAGCAGGTTTGAATCACTCCTTTTGTAGTATCTGGAAGTGGACATTTGGAGCGCTTTCAGGCCTATGTTGGAAAAGGAAATATCTTCCCATAACAACCAGACAGAAGCATTCTCAGAAACTTATTTGAGATGTGTGTACTCAACTAAGAGAATTGAACCACCGTTTTGAAGGAGCAGTTTTGAAACACTCTTTTTCTGGAATCTGCAAGTGGATATTTGGCTAGCTTTGGGGATTTCGCTGGAAGCGGGAATACATATAAAAAGCACACAGCAGCGTTCTGAGAAACTGCTTTCTGATGTTTGCATTCAAGTCAAAAGTTGAACACTCCCTTTCATAGAGCAGTCCTGAAACACTCCTTTTGTAGTATCTGGAACTGGACTTTTGGAGCGCTTTCAGGGCTAAGGTGAAAAAGGAAATATCTTCCCATAAAAACTGGACAGAAGCATTCTCAGAAACTTGTTTATGCTGTATCTACTCAACTAACAAAGTTGAACCTTTCTTTTGATAGAGCAGTTTTGAAATGCTCTTTTTGTGGAATCTGCAAGTGGATATTTGGCTAGTTTTGAGGATTTCGTTGGAAGCGGGAATTCATACAAATTGCAGACTGCAGCGTTCTGAGAAACATCTTTGTGATGTTTGTATTCAGGACAGAGAGTTGAACATTCCCTATCATAGAGCAGGTTGGAATCACTCCTTTTGTAGTATCTGGAAGTGGACATTTGGAGCGCTTCAGGCCTATGTTGAAAAAGGAAATATCTTCCCATAACAACTAGACACAAGCATTCTCAGAAACTTGTTTGTGATGTGTGCCTTCTACTGACAGAGTTGAACCTTTCTTTTCATAGAGCAGTTTTGAAACACTCTTTTTGTAGAATCTGCAAGAGGATATTTGCATAGCTTTGAGGATTTCGTGGGAAACGGGATTGTCTTCAGGTAAAATCTAGACAGAAGCATTCTCAGAAACTTCTTTGGGATGTTTGCATTCAAGTCTCAGAGTAGAACATTCCCTTTGGTAGAGCAGGTTTGAAACACTCTTTTTGTAGTATCTGGAAGTGGACATTTGGAGCGCTTTCAGGCCTATGTTGGAAAGGGAAATATCTTCCCGTAACAACTAGGCAGAAGCATTCTCAGAAACTTATTTGAGATGTGTGTACTCAACTAAGAGAATTGAACCACCGTTTTGAAGGAGCAGTTTTGAAACACTCTTTTTCTGGAATCTGCAAGAGGATATTTGCCTAGCCTTGAGGATTTCGTTGGAAACGGGATTGTCTTCAGATCAAATCTAGACAGAAGCATTCTCAGAAACTTCTTTGGGATGTTTGCATTCAAGTCACAGAGTAGAAGATTCCCTTTGGTAGAGCAGGTTTGAAACACCCTTTTTTTAGTATATGGAAGTGGACATTTGGAGCGCTTTCAGGTCTACGTTGGAAAAGGAAATATCTTCCCATAACAACTAGACAGAAGCATTCTCAGAAACTAGTTTCTGATGTGTGTCCTCAACTAACACAGTTGAACATTTCTTTAGACAGAACAGTTTTGAAACACTCTTTTTGTGGAATCTGCAAGTGGCTATTTGGCTAGATTTGAGGATTTCGTTGGAAACGGGATTACATATAAAAAGCAGACAGCAGCATTCTCAGAAAGTTCTTTGTGATGATTGCATTCAAGTCACAGAATTGAACATTCCCTTTCACAGAGCAGGTTTGAAACACTCTTTTTGTAGTGTGTGTAAGTGGACATTTGGAGCACTTTCCGGCCTAAGGTGAAAAAGGAAATATCTTCCCATAAAAACTAGACACAAGCATTCTCAGAAACTTGTTTGTGATGTGTGCCCTCTACTGACAGAGTTGAACCTTTCTTTTCATAGAGCAGTTTTGAAACACTCTTTTTGTAGAATCTGCAAGAGGATATTTGCATAGCTTTGAGGATTTCGTGGGAAACGGGATTGTCTTCAGGTAAAATCTAGACAGAAGCATTCTCAGAAACTTCTTTGGGATGTTTGCATTCAAGTCACAGAGTAGAACATTCCCTTTGGTAGAGCAGGTTTGAAACACTCTTTTTATAGTATCTGGAAGTGGACATTTGGAGCGCTTTCAGGCCTATGTTGGAAAGGGAAATATCTTCCCGTAACAACTAGGCAGAAGCATTCTCAGAAACTTATTTGAGATGTGTGTACTCAACTAAGAGAATTGAACCACCGTTTTGAAGGAGCAGTTTTGAAACACTCTTTTTCTGGAATCTGCAAGAGGATATTTGCCTAGCTTTGAGGATTTCGTTGGAAACGGGATTGTCTTCAGATCAAATCTAGACAGAAGCATTCTCAGAAACTTCTTTGGGATGTTTGCATTCAAGTCACAGAGTAGAACATTCCCTTTGGTAGAGCAGGTTTGAAACACTCTTTTTTTAGTATATGGAAGTGGACATTTGGAGCGCTTTCAGGCCTACGTTGGAAAAGGAAATATCTTCCCATAACAATTAGACAGAAGCATTCTCAGAAACTAGTTTCTGATGTGTGTCCTCAACTAACACAGTTGAGCATTTCTTTAGACAGAACAGTTTTGAAACTCTCTTTTTGTGGAATCTGCAAGTGGCTATTTGGCTAGATTTGAGGATTTCGTTGGAAACGGGATTACATATAAAAAGCAGACAGCAGCATTCTCAGAACGTTCTTTGTGATGATTGCATTCAAGTCACAGAATTGAACATTCCCTTTCACAGAGCAGGTTTGAAACACTCTTTTTGTAGTGTGTGTAAGTGGACATTTGGAGCACTTTCCGGCCTAAGGTGAAAAAGGAAATATCTTCCCATAAAAACTAGACAGAAGCACTCTCAGAAACTTACTCGTGATGTGTGTCCTCAACTAAAGGAGTAGAACCTTTCTTTTCATAGAGAAGTTTTGAAACGCTCTTTTTGTGGAATCTGCAAGTGGATATTTGGCTAGTTTGGAGGATTTCGTTGGAAGCGGGAATTCATACAAATTGCAGACTGCAGCGTTCTGAGAAACATCTTTGTGATGTTTGTATTCAGGACACAGAGTTGAACATTCCCTATCATAGAGCAGGTTTGAATCACTCCTTTTGTAGTATCTGGAAGTGGACATTTGGAGCGCTTTCAGGCCTATGTTGGAAAAGGAAATATCTTCCCATAACAACTAGACAGAAGCATTCTCAGAAACTTATTTGAGATGTGTGTACTCAACTAAGAGAATTGAACCACCGTTTTGAAGGAGCAGTTTTGAAACACTCTTTTTCTGGAATCTGCAAGTGGATATTTGGCTAGCTTTGGGGATTTCGCTGGAAGCGGGAATACATATAAAAAGCACACAGCAGCGTTCTGAGAAACTGCTTTCTGATGTTTGCATTCAAATCAAAAGTTGAACACTCCCTTTCATAGAGCAGTCCTGAAACACTCCTTTTGTAGTATCTGGAACTGGACTTTTGGAGCGCTTTCAGGGCTAAGGTGAAAAAGGAAATATCTTCCCATAAAAACTGGACAGAAGCATTCTCAGAAACTTGTTTATGCTGTATCTACTCAACTAACAAAGTTGAACCTTTCTTTTGATAGAGCAGTTTTGAAATGCTCTTTTTGTGGAATCTGCAAGTGGATATTTGGCTAGTTTTGAGGATTTCGTTGGAAGCGGGAATTCATACAAATTTCAGACTGCAGCGTTCTGAGAAACATCTTTGTGATGTTTGTATTCAGGACAGAGAGTTGAACATTCCCTATCATAGAGCAGGTTGGAATCACTCCTTTTGTAGTATCTGGAAGTGGACATTTGGAGCGCTTTCAGGCCTATGTTGAAAAAGGAAATATACTTCCCATAACAACTAGACACAAGCATTCTCAGAAACTTGTTTGTGATGTGTGCCCTCTACTGACAGAGTTGAACCTTTCTTTTCATAGAGCAGTTTTGAAACACTCTTTTTGTAGAATCTGCAAGAGGATATTTGCATAGCTTTGAGGATTTCGTGGGAAACGGGATTGTCTTCAGGTAAAATCTAGACAGAAGCATTCTCAGAAACTTCTTTGGGATGTTTGCATTCAAGTCACAGAGTAGAACATTCCCTTTGGTAGAGCAGGTTTGAAACACTCTTTTTGTAGTATCTGGAAGTGGACATTTGGAGCGCTTTCAGGCCTATGTTGGAAAGGGAAATATCTTCCCGTAACAACTAGGCAGAAGCATTCTCAGAAACTTATTTGAGATGTGTGTACTCAACTAAGAGAATTGAACCACCGTTTTGAAGGAGCAGTTTTGAAACACTCTTTTTCTGGAATCTGCAAGACGATATTTGCCTAGCCTTGAGGATTTCGTTGGAAACGGGATTGTCTTCAGATCAAATCTAGACAGAAGCATTCTCAGAAACTTCTTTGGGATGTTTGCATTCAAGTCACAGAGTAGAACATTCCCTTTGGTAGAGCAGGTTTGAAACACTCTTTTTTTAGTATATGGAAGTGGACATTTGGAGCGCTTTCAGGCCTACGTTGGAAAAGGAAATATCTTCCCATAACAACTAGACAGAAGCATTCTCAGAAACTAGTTTCTGATATGTGTCCTCAACTAACACAGTTGAACTTTTCTTTAGACAGAACAGTTTTGAAACACTCTTTTTGTGGAATCTGCAAGTGGATATTGGGCTAGATTTGAGGATTTCGTTGGAAACGGGATTACATATAAAAAACAGTCAGCAGCATTCTCAGAAAGTTCTTTGTGATGATTGCATTCAAGTCACAGAATTGAACATTCCCTTTCACAGAGCAGGTTTGAAACACTCTTTTTGTAGTGTGTGTAAGTGGACATTTGGAGCGCTTTCCGGCCTAAGGTGAAAAAGGAAATATCTTCCCATAGAAACTAGAGAGAAGCATTCTCAGAAACTTACTCGTGATGTGTGTCCTCAACTAAAGGAGTAGAACCTTTCTTTTCATAGAGAAGTTTTGAAACGCTCTTTTTGTGGAATCTGCAAGTGGATATTTGGCTAGTTTGGAGGATTTCGTTGGAAGCGGGAATTCATACAAATTGCAGACTGCAGCGTTCTGAGAAACATCTTTGTGATGTTTGTATTCAGGACACAGAGTTGAACATTCCCTATCATAGAGCAGGTTTGAATCACTCCTTTTGTAGTATCTGGAAGTGGACATTTGGAGCGCTTTCAGGCCCTATGTTGGAAAAGGAAATATCTTCCCATAACAAATAGACAGGAAGCATTCTCAGAAACTTATTTGAGATGTGTGTACTCAACTAAGAGAATTGAACCACCGTTTTGAAGGAGCAGTTTTGAAACACTCTTTTTCTGGAATCTGCAAATGGATATTTGGCTAGCTTTGGGGATTTCGCTGGAAGCGGGAATACATATAAAAAGCACACAGCAGCGTTCTGAGAAACTGTTTTCTGATGTTTGCATTCAAGTCAAAAGTTGAACACTCCCTTTCATAGAGCAGTCTTGAAACACCCCTTTTGTAGTATCTGGAACTGGACATTTGGAGCGCTTTCAGGGCTAAGGTGAAAAAGGAAATATCTTCCCATAAAAACTGGACAGAAGCATTCTCAGAAACTTGTTTATGCTGTATCTACTCAACTAACTAAGTTGAACCTTTCTTTTGATAGAGCAGTTTTGAAATGCTCTTTTTGTGGAATCTGCAAGTGGATATTTGGCTAGTTTTGAGGATTTCGTTGGAAGCGGGAATTCATACAAATTGCAGACTGCAGCATTCTCAGAAACTTATTTGAGATGTGTGTACTCAACTAAGAGAATTGAACCACCGTTTTGAAGGAGCAGTTTTGAAACACTCTTTTTCTGGAATCTGCAAGTGGATATTTGGCTAGCTTTGGGGATTTCGCTGGAAGCGGGAATACATATAAAAAGCACACAGCAGCGTTCTGAGAAACTGCTTTCTGATGTTTGCATTCAAGTCAAAAGTTGAACACTCCCTTTCTTAGTGCAGTCCTGAAACACTCCTTTTGTAGTATCTGGAACTGGACTTTTGGAGCGCTTTCAGGGCTAAGGTGAAAAAGGAAATATCTTCCCATAAAAACTGGACAGAAGCATTCTCAGAAACTTGTTTATGCTGTATCTACTCAACTAACAAAGTTGAACCTTTCTTTTGATAGAGCAGTTTTGAAATGCTCTTTTTGTGGAATCTGCAAGTGGATATTTGGCTAGTTTTGAGGATTTCGTTGGAAGCGGGAATTCATACAAATTGCAGACTGCAGCGTTCTGAGAAACATCTTTGTGATGTTTGTATTCAGGACACAGAGTTGAACATTCCCTATCATAGAGCAGGTTGGAATCACTCCTTTTGTAGTATCTGGAAGTGGACATTTGGAGCGCTTTCAGGCCTATTTTGGAAAGGGAAATATCTTCCCGTAACAACTATGCAGAAGCATTCTCAGAAACTTGTTTGTGATGTGTGCCCTCTACTGACAGAGTTGAACCTTTCTTTTCATAGAGCAGTTTTGAAACACTCTTTTATAGAATCCGCAAGAGGATATTTGCATAGCTTTGAGGATTTCGTGGGAAACGGGATTGTCTTCAGGTAAAATCTAGACAGAAGCATTCTCAGAAACTTCTTTGGGATGTTTGCATTCAAGTCACAGAGTAGAACATTCCCTTTGGTAGAGCAGGTTTGAAACACTCTTTTTTTAGTATATGGAAGTGGACATTTGGAGCGCTTTCAGGCCTACGTTGGAAAAGGAAATATCTTCCCATAACAACTAGACAGAAGCATTCTCAGAAACTAGTTTCTGATGTGTGTCCTCAACTAACACAGTTGAACATTTCTTTTGACAGAACAGTTTTGAAACACTCTTTTTGTGGATTCTGCAAGTGGATATTTGGCTAGTTTTGAGGATTTCGTTGGAAGCGGGATTACATATAAAAAGCAGACAGCAGCATTCTCAGAAAGTTCTTTGTGATGATTGCATTCAAGTCACAGAATTGAACATTCCCTTTCACAGAGCAGGTTTGAAACACTCTTTTTGTAGTGTGTGTAAGTGGACATTTGGAGCACTTACCGGCCTAAGGTGAAAAAGGAAATATCTTCCCATAAAAACTAGACAGAAGCATTCTCAGAAACTTACTCGTGATGTGTGTCCTCAACTAAAGGAGTAGAACCTTTCTTTTCATAGAGAAGTTTTGAAACGCTCTTTTTGTGGAATCTGCAAGTGGATATTTGGCTAGTTTTGAGGATTTCGTTGGAAGCGGGAATTCATACAAATTGCAGACTGCAGCGTTCTGAGAAACATCTTTGTGATGTTTGTATTCAGGACACAGAGTTGAACATTCCCTATCATAGAGCAGGTTTGAATCACTCCTTTTGTAGTATCTGGAAGTGGACATTTGGAGCGCTTTCAGGCCTATGTTGCAAAAGGAAATATCTTCCCATAACAACTAGACAGAAGCATTCTCAGAAACTTATTTGAGATGTGTGTACTCAACTAAGAGAATTGAACCACCGTTTTGAAGGAGCAGTTTTGAAACACTCTTTTTCTGGAATCTGCAAGTGGATATTTGGCTAGCTTTGGGGATTTCGCTGGAAGCGGGAATACATATAAAAAGCACACAGCAGCGTTCTGAGAAACTGCTTTCTGATGTTTGCATTCAAGTCAAAAGTTGAACACTCCCTTTCATAGAGCAGTCCTGAAACACTCCTTTTGTAGTATCTGGAACTGGACTTTTGGAGCGCTTTCAGGGCTAAGGTGAAAAAGGAAATATCTTCCCATAAAAACTGGACAGAAGCATTCTCAGAAACTTGTTTATGCTGTATCTACTCTACTAACAAAGTTGAACCTTTCTTTTGATAGAGCAGTTTTGAAATGCTCTTTTTGTGGAATCTGCAAGTGGATATTTGGCTAGATTTGAGGATTTCGTTGGAAGCTGGAATTCATACAAATTGCAGACTGCAGCGTTCTGAGAAACATCTTTGTGATGTTTGTATTCAGGACACAGAGTTGAACATTCCCTATCATAGAGCAGGTTGGAATCACTCCTTTTGTAGTATCTGGAAGTGGACATTTGGAGCGCTTTCAGGCCTATTTTGGAAAGGGAAATATCTTCCCGTAACAACTATGCAGAAGCATTCTCAGAAACTTATTTGAGATGTGTGTACTCAACTAAGAGAATTGAACCACCGTTTTGAAGGAGCAGTTTTGACACACTCTTTTTCTGGAATCTGCAAGTGGATATTTGGCTAGCTTTGGGGATTTCGCTGGAAGCGGGAATACATATAAAAAGCACACAGCAGCGTTCTGAGAAACTGCTTTCTGATGTTTGCATTCAAGTCAAAAGTTGAACACTCCCTTTCATAGAGCAGTCTTGAAACACCCCTTTTGTAGTATCTGGAACTGGACTTTTGGAGCGATTTCAGGGCTAAGGTGAAAAAGGAAATATCTTCCCATAAAAACTGGACAGAAGCATTCTCAGAAACTTGTTTATGCTGTATCTACTCAACTAACAAAGTTGAACCTTTCTTTTGATAGAGCAGTTTTGAAATGGTCTTTTTGTGGAATCTGCAAGTGGATATTTGGCTAGTTTTGAGGATTTCGTTGGAAGCGGGAATTCATACAAATTGCAGACTGCAGCGTTCTGAGAAACATCTTTGTGATGTTTGTATTCAGGACACAGAGTTGAACATTCCCTATCATAGAGCAGGTTGGAATCACTCCTTTTGTAGTATCTGGAAGTGGACATTTGGAGCGCTTTCAGGCCTATTTTGGAAAGGGAAATATCTTCCCGTAACAACTATGCAGAAGCATTCTCAGAAACTTGTTTGTGATGTGTGCCCTCTACTGACAGAGTTGAACCTTTCTTTTCATAGAGCAGTTTTGAAACACTCTTTTTGTAGAATCTGCAAGAGGATATTTGCATAGCTTTGAGGATTTCGTGGGAAACGGGATTGTCTTCAGGTAAAATCTAGACAGAAGCATTCTCAGAAACTTTTTTGGGATGTTTGCATTCAAGTCACAGAGTAGAACATTCCCTTTGGTAGAGCAGGTTTGAAACACTCTTTTTGTAGTATCTGGAAGTGGACATTTGGAGCACTATCAGGCCCATGTTGGAAAGGGAAATATCTTCCCGTAACAACTAGGCAGAAGCATTCTCAGAAACTTATTTGAGATGTGTGTACTCAACTAAGAGAATTGAACCACCGTTTTGAAGGAGCAGTTTTGAAACACTCTTTTTCTGGAATCTGCAAGAGTATATTTGCCTAGCCTTGAGGATTTCGTTGGAAACGGGATTGTCTTCAGATCAAATCTAGACAGAAGCATTCTCAGAAACTTCTTTGGGATGTTTGCATTCAAGTCACAGAATAGAACATTCCCTTTGGTAGAGCAGGTTTGAAACACTCTTTTTTTAGTATATGGAAGTGGACATTTGGAGCACTTTCAGGCCTACGTTGGAAAAGGAAATATCTTCCCATAACAACTAGACAGAAGCATTCTCAGAAACTAGTTTCTGATGTGTGTCCTCAACTAACACAGTTGAACTTTTCTTTAGACAGAACAGTTTTGAAACACTCTTTTTGTGGAATCTGCAAGTGGATATTTGGCTAGATTTGAGGATTTCGTTGGAAACGGGATTACATATAAAAAGCAGACAGCAGCATTCTCAGAAAGTTCTTTGTGATGATTGCATTCAAGTCACAGAATTGAACATTCCCTTTCACAGAGCAGGTTTGAAACCCTCTTTTTGTAGTGTGTGTAAGTGGACATTTGGAGCGCTTTCCGGCCTAAGGTGAAAAAGGAAATATCTTCCCATAAAAACTAGACAGAAGCATTCTCAGAAACTTACTCGTGATGTGTGTCCTCAACTAAAGGAGTAGAACCTTTCTTTTCATAGAGAAGTTTTGAAACGCTCTTTTTGTGGAATCTGCAAGTGGATATTTGGCTAGTTTTGAGGATTTCGTTGGAAGCGGGAATTCATACAAATTGCAGACTGCAGCGTTCTGAGAAACATCTTTGTGATGTTTGTATTCAGGACACAGAGATGAACATTCCCTATCATAGAGCAGGTTGGAATCACTCCTTTTGTAGTATCTGGAAGTGGACATTTGGAGCGCTTTCAGGCCTATGTTGAAAAAGGAAATATCTTCCCATAACAACTAGACACAAGCATTCTCAGAAACTTGTTTGTGATGTGTGCCCTCTACTGACAGAGTTGAACCTTTCTTTTCATAGAGCAGTTTTGAAACACTCTTTTTGTAGAATCTGCAAGAGGATATTTGCATAGCTTTGAGGATTTCGTGGGAAACGGGATTGTCTTCAGGTAAAATCTAGACAGAAGCATTCTCAGAAACTTCTTTGGGATGTTTGCATTCAAGTCACAGAGTAGAACATTCCCTTTGGTAGAGCAGGTTTGATACCCTCTTTTTGTAGTATCTGGAAGTGGACATTCGGAGCGCTATCAGGCCCATGTTGGAAAGGGAAATATCTTCCCGTAACAACTAGGCAGAAGCATTCTCAGAAACTTATTTGAGATGTGTGTACTCAACTAAGAGAATTGAACCACCGTTTTGAAGGTGCAGTTTTGAAACACTCTTTTTCTGGAATCTGCAAGAGTATATTTGCCTAGCCTTGAGGATTTCGTTGGAAACGGGATTGTCTTCAGATAAAATCTAGACAGAAGCATTCTCAGAAACTTCTTTGGGATGTTTGCATTCAAGTCACAGAGTAGAACATTCCCTTTGGTAGAGCAGGTTTGAAACACTCTTTTTGTAGTATCTGGAAGTGGACATTTGGAGCGCTTTCAGGCCTACGTTGGAAAAGGAAATATCTTCCCATAACAACTAGACAGAAGCATTCTCAGAAACTAGTTTCTGATGTGTGTCCTCAACTAACACAGTTGAACTTTTCTTTAGACAGAACAGTTTTGAAACACTCTTTTTGTGGAATCTGCAAGTGGATATTTGGCTAGATTTGAGGATTTCGTTGGAAACGGGATTACATATAAAAAGCAGACTGCAGCATTCTCAGAAAGTTCTTTGTGGTGATTGCATTCAAGTCACAGAATTGAACATTCCCTTTCACAGAGCAGGTTTGAAACACTCTTTTTGTAGTGTGTGTAAGTGGACATTTGGAGCGCTTTCCGGCCTAAGGTGAAAAAGGAAATATCTTCCCATAAAAACTAGACAGAAGCATTCTCAGAAACTTACTCGTGATGTGTGTCCTCAACTAAAGGAGTAGAACCTTTCTATTCATAGAGAAGTTTTGAAACGCTCTTTTTGTGGAATCTCCAAGTGGATATTTGGCTAGTTTTGAGGATTTCGTTGGAAGCGGGAATTCATACAAATTGCAGACTGCAGCGTTCTGAGAAACATCTTTGTGATGTTTGTATTCAGGACACAGAGATGAACATTCCCTATCATAGAGCAGGTTGGAATCACTCCTTTTGTAGTATCTGGAAGTGGACATTTGGAGCGCTTTCAGGCCTATGTTGAAAAAGGAAATATCTTCCCATAACAACTAGACACAAGCATTCTCAGAAACTTATTTGAGATGTGTGTACTCAACTAAGAGAATTGAACCACCGTTTTGAAGGAGCAGTTTTGAAACTCTCTTTTTCTGGAATCTGCAAGTGGATATTTGGCTAGCTTTGGGGATTTCGCTGGAAGCGGGAATACATATAAAAAGCACACAGCAGCGTTCTGAGAAACTGCTTTCTGATGTTTGCATTCAAGTCAAAAGTTGAACACTCCCTTTCATAGAGCAGTCTTGAAACACCCCTTTTGTAGTATCTGGAACTGGACTTTTGGAGCGATTTCAGGGCTAAGGTGAAAAAGGAAATATCTTCCCATAAAAACTGGACAGAAGCATTCTCAGAAACTTGGTTATGCTGTATCTACTCAACTAACAAAGTTGAACCTTTCTTTTGATAGAGCAGTTTTGAAATGGTCTTTTTGTGGAATCTGCAAGTGGATATTTGGCTAGTTTTGAGGATTTCGTTGGAAGCGGGAATTCATACAAATTGCAGACTGCAGCGTTCTGAGAAACATCTTTGTGATGTTTGTATTCAGGACACAGAGTTGAACATTCCCTATCATAGAGCAGGTTGGAATCACTCCTTTTGTAGTATCTGGAAGTGGACATTTGGAGCGCTTTCAGGCCTATTTTGGAAAGGGAAATATCTTCCCGTAACAACTATGCAGAAGCATTCTCAGAAACTTGTTTGTGATGTGTGCCCTCTACTGACAGAGTTGAACCTTTCTTTTCATAGAGCAGTTTTGAAACACTCTTTTTGTAGAATCTGCAAGAGGATATTTGCATAGCTTTGAGGATTTCGTGGGAAACGGGATTGTCTTCAGGTAAAATCTAGACAGAAGCATTCTCAGAAACTTCTTTGGGATGTTTGCATTCAAGTCACAGAGTAGAACATTCCCTTTGGTAGAGCAGGTTTGAAACACTCTTTTTGTAGTATCTGGAAGTGGACATTTGGAGCGCTTTCAGGCCCATGTTGGAAAGGGAAATATCTTCCCGTAACAACTAGGCAGAAGCATTCTCAGAAACTTATTTGAGATGTGTGTACTCAACTAAGAGAATTGAACCACCGTTTTGAAGGAGCAGTTTTGAAACACTCTTTTTCTGGAATCTGCAAGAGTATATTTGCCTAGCCTTGAGGATTTCGTTGGAAACGGGATTGTCTTCAGAGAAAATCTAGACAGAAGCATTCTCAGAAACTTCTTTGGGATGCTTGCATTCAAGTCACAGAGTAGAACATTCCCTTTGGTAGAGCAGGTTTGAAACACTCTTTTTGTAGTATCTGGAAGTGGACATTTGGAGCGCTTTCAGGCCTACGTTGGAAAAGGAAATATCTTCCCATAACAACTAGACAGAAGCATTCTCAGAAACTAGTTTCTGATGTGTGTCCTCAACTAACACAGTTGAACATTTCTTTAGACAGAACAGTTTTGAAACACTCTTTTTGTGGAATCTGCAAGTGGCTATTTGGCTAGATTTGAGGATTTCGTTGGAAACGGGATTACATATAAAAAGCAGTCAGCGGCATTCTCAGAAAGTTCTTTGTGATGATTGCATTCAAGTCACAGAATTGAACATTCCCTTTCACAGAGCAGGTTTGAAACACTCTTTTTGTAGTGTGTGTAAGTGGACATTTGGAGCACTTACCGGCCTAAGGTGAAAAAGGAAATAATCTTCCCATAAAAACTAGACAGAAGCATTCTCAGAAACTTACTCGTGATGTGTGTCCTCAACTAAAGGAGTAGAACCTTTCTTTTCATAGAGAAGTTTTGAAACGCTCTTTTTGTGGAATCTGCAAGTGGATATTTGGCTAGTTTTGAGGATTTCGTTGGAAGCGGGAATTCATACAAATTGCAGACTGCAGCGTTCTGAGAAACATCTTTGTGATGTTTGTATTCAGGACACAGAGTTGAACATTCCCTATCATAGAGCAGGTTTGAATCACTCCTTTTGTAGTATCTGGAAGTGGACATTTGGAGCGCTTCAGGCCTATGTTGGAAAAGGAAATATCTTCCCATAACAACTAGACAGAAGCATTCTCAGAAACTTATTTGAGATGTGTGTACTCAACTAAGAGAATTGAACCACCGTTTTGAAGGAGCAGTTTTGAAACACTCTTTTTCTGGAATCTGCAAGTGGATATTTGGCTAGCTTTGGGGATTTCGCTGGAAGCGGGAATACATATAAAAAGCACACAGCAGCGTTCTGAGAAACTGCTTTCTGATGTTTGCATTCAAGTCAAAAGTTGAACACTCCCTTTCATAGAGCAGTCTTGAAACACCCCTTTTGTAGTATCTGGAACTGGACATTTGGAGCGCTTTCAGGGCTAAGGTGAAAAAGGAAATATCTTCCCATAAAAACTGGACAGAAGCATTCTCAGAAACTTGTTTATGCTGTATCTACTCAACTAACAAAGTTGAACCTTTCTTTTGATAGAGCAGTTTTGAAATGCTCTTTTTGTGGAATCTGCAAGTGGATAGTTGGCTAGTTTTGAGGATTTCGTTGGAAGCGGGAATTCATACAAATTGCAGACTGCAGCGTTCTGAGAAACATCTTTGTGATGTTTGTATTCAGGACACAGAGTTGAACATTCCCTATCATAGAGCAGGTTTGAATCACTCCTTTTGTAGTATCTGGAAGTGGACATTTGGAGCCCTTTCAGGCCTATGTTGGAAAAGGAAATATCTTCCCATAACAACTAGACAGAAGCATTCTCAGAAACTTGTTTGTGATGTGTGCCCTCTACTGACAGAGTTGAACCTTTCTTTTCATAGAGCAGTTTTGAAACACTCTTTTTGTAGAATCTGCAAGAGGATATTTGCATAGCTTTGAGGATTTCGTGGGAAACGGGATTGTCTTCAGGTAAAATCTAGACAGAAGCATTCTCAGAAACTTCTTTGGGATGTTTGCATTCAAGTCACAGAGCAGAACATTCCCTTTGGTAGAGCAGGTTTGAAACACTCTTTTTGTAGTATCTGGAAGTGGACATTTGGAGCGCTTTCAGGCCTATGTTGGAAAGGGAAATATCTTCCCGTAACAACTAGGCAGAAGCATTCTCAGAAACTTATTTGAGATGTGTGTACTCAACTAAGAGAATTGAACCACCGTTTTGAAGGAGCAGTTTTGAAACACTCTTTTTCTGGAATCTGCAAGAGGATATTTGCCTAGCCTTGAGGATTTCGTTGGAAACGGGATTGTCTTCAGATCAAATCTAGACAGAAGCATTCTCAGAAACTTCTTTGGGATGTTTGCATTCAAGTCACAGAGTAGAACATTCCCTTTGGTAGAGCAGGTTTGAAACACTCTTTTTTTAGTATATGGAAGTGGACATTTGGAGCGCTTTCAGGCCTACGTTGGAAAAGGAAATATCTTCCCATAACAACTAGACAGAGGCATTCTCAGAAACTAGTTTCTGATGTGTGTCCTCAACTAACACAGTTGAACATTTCTTTAGACAGAACAGTTTTGAAACACTCTTTTTGTGGAATCTGCAAGTGGCTATTTGGCTAGATTTGAGGATTTCGTTGGAAACGGGATTACATATAAAAAGCAGTCAGCAGCATTCTCAGAAAGTTCTTTGTGATGATTGCATTCAAGTCACAGAATTGAACATTCCCTTTCACAGAGCAGGTTTGAAACACTCTTTTTGTAGTGTGTGTAAGTGGACATTTGGAGCACTTTCCGGCCTAAGGTGAAAAAGGAAATATCTTCCCATAAAAACTAGACAGAAGCATTCTCAGAAACTTACTCGTGATGTGTGTCCTCAACTAAAGGAGTAGAACCTTTCTTTTCATAGAGAAGTTTTGAAACGCTCTTTTTGTGGAATCTGCAAGTGGATATTTGGCTAGTTTGGAGGATTTCGTTGGAAGCGGGAATTCATACAAATTGCAGACTGCAGCGTTCTGAGAAACATCTTTGTGATGTTTGTATTCAGGACACAGAGTTGAACATTCCCTATCATAGAGCAGGTTGGAATCACTCCTTTTGTAGTATCTGGAAGTGGACATTTGGAGCGCTTTCAGGCCTATGTTGGAAAAGGAAATATCTTCCCATAACAACTAGACAGAAGCATTCTCAGAAACTTATTTGAGATGTGTGTACTCAACTAAGAGAATTGAACCACCGTTTTGAAGGAGCAGTTTTGAAACACTCTTTTTCTGGAATCTGCAAGTGGATATTTGGCTAGCTTTGGGGATTTCGCTGGAAGCGGGAATACATATAAAAAGCACACAGCAGCGTTCTGAGAAACTGCTTTCTGATGTTTGCATTCAAGTCAAAAGTTGAACACTCCCTTTCATAGAGCAGTCCTGAAACACTCCTTTTGTAGTATCTGGAACTGGACTTTTGGAGCGCTTTCAGGGCTAAGGTGAAAAAGGAAATATCTTCCCATAAAAACTGGACAGAAGCATTCTCAGAAACTTGTTTATGCTGTATCTACTCAACTAACAAAGTTGAACCTTTCTTTTGATAGAGCAGTTTTGAAATGCTCTTTTTGTGGAATCTGCAAGTGGATATTTGGCTAGTTTTGAGGATTTCGTTGGAAGCGGGAATTCATACAAATTGCAGACTGCAGCGTTCTGAGAAACATCTTTGTGATGTTTGTATTCAGGACACAGAGTTGAACATTCCCTATCATAGAGCAGGTTGGAATCACTCCTTTTGTAGTATCTGGAAGTGGACATTTGGAGCGCTTTCAGGCCTATTTTGGAAAGGGAAATATCTTCCCGTAACAACTATGCAGAAGCATTCTCAGAAACTTGTTTGTGATGTGTGCCCTCTACTGACAGAGTTGAACCTTTCTTTTCATAGAGCAGTTTTGAAACACTCTTTTTGTAGAATCTGCAAGAGGATATTTGCATAGCTTTGAGGATTTCGTGGGAAACGGGATTGTCTTCAGGTAAAATCTAGACAGAAGCATTCTCAGAAACTTCTTTGGGATGTTTGCATTCAAGTCACAGAGTAGAACATTCCCTTTGGTAGAGCAGGTTTGAAACACTCTTTTTGTAGTATCTGGAAGTGGACATTTGGAGCGCTTTCAGGCCCATGTTGGAAAGGGAAATATCTTCCCGTAACAACTAGGCAGAAGCATTCTCAGAAACTTATTTGAGATGTGTGTACTCAACTAAGAGAATTGAACCACCGTTTTGAAGGAGCAGTTTTGAAACACTCTTTTTCTGGAATCTGCAAGAGTATATTTGCCTAGCCTTGAGGATTTCGTTGGAAACGGGATTGTCTTCAGAGAAAATCTAGACAGAAGCATTCTCAGAAACTTCTTTGGGATGTTTGCATTCAAGTCACAGAGTAGAACATTCCCTTTGGTAGAGCAGGTTTGAAACACTCTTTTTTTAGTATCTGGAAGTGGACATTTGGATCGCTTTCAGGCCTACGTTGGAAAAGGAAATATCTTCCCATAACAACTAGACAGAAGCATTCTCAGAAACTAGTTTCTGATGTGTGTCCTCAACTAACACAGTTGAACATTTCTTTAGACAGAACACTTTTGAAACTCTCTTTTTGTGGAATCTGCAAGTGGCTATTTGGCTAGATTTGAGGATTTCGTTGGAAACGGGATTACATATAAAAAGCAGACAGCAGCATTCTCAGAAAGTTCTTTGTGATGATTGCATTCAAGTCACAGAATTGAACATTCCCTTTCACAGAGCAGGTTTGAAACACTCTTTTTGTAGTGTGTGTAAGTGGACATTTGGAGCACTTACCGGCCTAAGGTGAAAAAGGAAATATCTTCCCATAAAAACTAGACAGAAGCATTCTCAGAAACTTACTCGTGATGTGTGTCCTCAACTAAAGGAGTAGAACCTTTCTTTTCATAGAGAAGTTTTGAAACGCTCTTTTTGTGGAATCTGCAAGTGGATATTTGGCTAGTTTTGAGGATTTCGTTGGAAGCGGGAATTCATACAAATTGCAGACTGCAGCGTTCTGAGAAACATCTTTGTGATGTTTGTATTCAGGACACAGAGTTGAACATTCCCTATCATAGAGCAGGTTTGAATCACTCCTTTTGTAGTATCTGGAAGTGGACATTTGGAGCGCTTTCAGGCCTATGTTGGAAAAGGAAATATCTTCCCATAACAACTAGACAGAAGCATTCTCAGAAACTTATTTGAGATGTGTGTACTCAACTAAGAGAATTGAACCACCGTTTTGAAGGAGCAGTTTTGAAACACTCTTTTTCTGGAATCTGCAAGTGGATATTTGGCTAGCTTTGGGGATTTCGCTGGAAGCGGGAATACATATAAAAAGCACACAGCAGCGTTCTGAGAAACTGCTTTCTGATGTTTGCATTCAAGTCAAAAGTTGAACACTCCCTTTCATAGTGCAGTCTGAAACACTCCTTTTGTAGTATCTGGAACTGGACTTTTGGAGCGCTTTCAGGGCTAAGGTGAAAAAGGAAATATCTTCCCATAAAAACTGGACAGAAGCATTCTCAGAAACTTGTTTATGCTGTATCTACTCAACTAACAAAGTTGAACCTTTCTTTTGATAGAGCAGTTTTGAAATGCTCTTTTTGTGGAATCTGCAAGTGGATATTTGGCTAGTTTTGAGGATTTCGTTGGAAGCGGGAATTCATACAAATTGCAGACTGCAGCGTTCTGAGAAACATCTTTGTGATGTTTGTATTCAGGACACAGAGTTGAACATTCCCTATCATAGAGCAGGTTGGAATCACTCCTTTTGTAGTATCTGGAAGTGGACATTTGGAGCGCTTTCAGGCCTATTTTGGAAAGGGAAATATCTTCCCGTAACAACTATGCAGAAGCATTCTCAGAAACTTGTTTGTGATGTGTGCCCTCTACTGACAGAGTTGAACCTTTCTTTTCATAGAGCAGTTTTGAAACTCTCTTTTTGTAGAATCCGCAAGAGGATATTTGCATAGCTTTGAGGATTTCGTGGGAAACGGGATTGTCTTCAGGTAAAATCTAGACAGAAGCATTCTCAGAAACTTCTTTTGGATGTTTGCATTCAAATCACAGAGTAGAACATTCCCTTTGGTAGAGCAGGTTTGAAACACTCTTTTTGTAGTATCTGGAAGTGGACATTTGGAGCGCTTTCAGGCCCATGTTGGAAAGGGAAATACCTTCCCGTAACAACTAGGCAGAAGCATTCTCAGAAACTTATTTGAGATGTGTGTACTCAACTAAGAGAATTGAACCACCGTTTTGAAGGAGCAGTTTTGAAACACTCTTTTTCTGGAATCTGCAAGAGTATATTTGCCTAGCCTTGAGGATTTCGTTGGAAACGGGATTGTCTTCAGAGAAAATCTAGACAGAAGCATTCTCAGAAACTTCTTTGGGATGTTTGCATTCAAGTCACAGAGTAGAACATTCCCTTTGGTAGAGCAGGTTTGAAACACTCTTTTTGTAGTATATGGAAGTGGACATTTGGAGCGCTTTCAGGCCTACGTTGGAAAAGGAAATATCTTCCCATAACAACTAGACAGAAGCATTCTCAGAAACTAGTTTCTGATGTGTGTCCTCAACTAACACAGTTGAACATTTCTTTAGACAGAACAGTTTTGAAACACTCTTTTTGTGGAATCTGCAAGTGGCTATTTGGCTAGATTTGAGGATTTCGTTGGAAACGGGATTACATATAAAAAGCAGTCAGCAGCATTCTCAGAAAGTTCTTTGTGATGATTGCATTCAAGTCACAGAATTGAACATTCCCTTTCACAGAGCAGGTTTGAAACACTCTTTTTGTAGTGTGTGTAAGTGGACATTTGGAGCACTTACCGGCCTAAGGTGAAAAAGGAAATATCTTCCCATAACAACTAGACACAAGCATTCTCAGAAACTTGTTTGTGATGTGTGCCCTCTACTGACAGAGTTGAACCTTTCTTTTCATAGAGCAGTTTTGAAACACTCTTTTTGTAGAATCTGCAAGAGGATATTTGCATAGCTTTGAGGATTTCGTGGGAAACGGGATTGTCTTCAGGTAAAATCTAGACAGAAGCATTCTCAGAAACTTCTTTGTTATGTTTGCATTCAAGTCACAGAGTAGAACATTCCCTTTGGTAGAGCAGGTTTGAAACCCTCTTTTTGTAGTATCTGGAAGTGGACATTTGGAGCGCATTCAGGCCCATGTTGGAAAGGGAAATATCTTCCCGTAACAACTATGCAGAAGCATTCTCAGAAACTTATTTGAGATGTGTGTACTCAACTAAGAGAATTGAACCACCGTTTTGAAGGAGCAGTTTTGAAACACTCTTTTTCTGGAATCTGCAAGAGTATATTTGCCTAGCCTTGAGGATTTCGTTGGAAACCGGATTGTCTTCAGATAAAATCTAGACAGAAGCATTCTCAGAAACTTCTTTGGGATGTTTGCATTCAAGTCACAGAGTAGAACCTTCCCTTTGGTAGAGCAGGTTTGAAACACTCTTTTTTTAGTATATGGAAGTGGACATTTGGAGCGCTTTCAGGCCTACTTTGGAAAAGGAAATATCTTCCCATAACAACTAGACAGAAGCATTCTCAGAAACTAGTTTCTGATGTGTGTCCTCAACTAACACAGTTGAACATTTCTTTAGACAGAACAGTTTTGAAACACTCTTTTTGTGGAATCTGCAAGTGGCTATTTGGCTAGATTTGAGGATTTCGTTGGAAACGGGATTACATATAAAAAGCAGTCAGCAGCATTCTCAGAAAGTTCTTTGTGATGATTGCATTCAAGTCACAGAATTGAACATTCCCTTTCACAGAGCAGGTTTGAAACACTCTTTTTGTAGTGTGTGTAAGTGGACATTTGGAGCACTTACCGGCCTAAGGTGAAAAAGGAAATATCTTCCCATAAAAACTAGACAGAAGCATTCTCAGAAACTTACTCGTGATGTGTGTCCTCAACTAAAGGAGTAGAACCTTTCTTTTCATAGAGAAGTTTTGAAACGCTCTTTTTGTGGAATCTGCAAGTGGATATTTGGCTAGTTTTGAGGATTTCGTTGGAAGCGGGAATTCATACAAATTGCAGACTGCAGCGTTCTGAGAAACATCTTTGTGATGTTTGTATTCAGGACACAGAGTTGAACATTCCCTATCATAGAGCAGGTTTGAATCACTCCTTTTGTAGTATCTGGAAGTGGACATTTGGAGCGCTTTCAGGCCTATGTTGGAAAAGGAAATATCTTCCCATAACAACTAGACAGAAGCATTCTCAGAAACTTATTTGAGATGTGTGTACTCAACTAAGAGAATTGAACCACCGTTTTGAAGGAGCAGTTTTGAAACTCTCTTTTTCTGGAATCTGCAAGTGGATATTTGGCTAGCTTTGGGGATTTCGCTGGAAGCGGGAATACATATAAAAAGCACACAGCAGCGTTCTGAGAAACTGCTTTCTGATGTTTGCATTCAAGTCAAAAGTTGAACACTCCCTTTCATAGAGCAGTCCTGAAACACCCCTTTTGTAGTATCTGGAACTGGACTTTTGGAGCGATTTCAGGGCTAAGGTGAAAAAGGAAATATCTTCCCATAAAAACTGGACAGAAGCATTCTCAGAAACTTGTTTATGCTGTATCTACTCAACTAACAAAGTTGAACCTTTCTTTTGATAGAGCAGTTTTGAAATGGTCTTTTTGTGGAATCTGCAAGTGGATATTTGGCTAGTTTTGAGGATTTCGTTGGAAGCGGGAATTCATACAAATTGCAGACTGCAGCGTTCTGAGAAACATCTTTGTGATGTTTGTATTCAGGACACAGAGTTGAACATTCCCTATCATAGAGCAGGTTGGAATCACTCCTTTTGTAGTATCTGGAAGTGGACATTTGGAGCGCTTTCAGGCCTATTTTGGAAAGGGAAATATCTTCCCGTAACAACTATGCAGAAGCATTCTCAGAAACTTGTTTGTGATGTGTGCCCTCTACTGACAGAGTTGAACCTTTCTTTTCATAGAGCAGTTTTGAAACACTCTTTTTGTAGAATCTGCAAGAGGATATTTGCATAGCTTTGAGGATTTCGTGGGAAACGGGATTGTCTTCAGGTAAAATCTAGACAGAAGCATTCTCAGAAACTTCTTTGGGATGTTTGCATTCAAGTCACAGAGTAGAACATTCCCTTTGGTAGAGCAGGTTTGAAACACTCTTTTTGTAGTATCTGGAAGTGGACATTTGGAGCGCTTTCAGGCCCATGTTGGAAAGGGAAATATCTTCCCGTAACAACTAGGCAGAAGCATTCTCAGAAACTTATTTGAGATGTGTGTACTCAACTAAGAGAATTGAACCACCGTTTTGAAGGAGCAGTTTTGAAACACTCTTTTTCTGGAATCTGCAAGAGTATATTTGCCTAGCCTTGAGGATTTCGTTGGAAACGGGATTGTCTTCAGATAAAATCTAGACAGAAGCATTCTCAGAAACTTCTTTGGGATGTTTGTATTCAAGTCACAGAGTAGAATATTCCCTTTGGTAGAGCAGGTTTGAAACACTTTTTTTTTAGTATATGGAAGTGGACATTTGGAGCGCTTTCAGGCCTACGTTGGAAAAGGAAATATCTTCCCATAACAACTAGACAGAAGCATTCTCAGAAACTAGTTTCTGATGTGTGTCCTCAACTAACACAGTTGTACATTTCTTTAGACAGAACAGTTTTGAAACACTCTTTTTGTGGAATCTGCAAGTGGATATTTGGCTAGATTTGAGGATTTCGTTGGAAACGGGATTACATATAAAAAGCAGACAGCAGCATTCTCAGAAAGTTCTTTGTGATGATTGCATTCAAGTCACAGAATTGAACATTCCCTTTCACAGAGCAGGTTTGAAACACTCTTTTTGTAGTGTGTGTAAGTGGACATTTGGAGCGCTTTCTGGCCTAAGGTGAAAAAGGAAATATCTTCCCATAAAAACTAGACAGAAGCATTCTCAGAAACTTACTCGTGATGTGTGTCCTCAACTAAAGGAGTAGAACCTTTCTTTTCATAGAGAAGTTTTGAAACGCTCTTTTTGTGGAATCTGTAAGTGGATATTTGGCTAGTTTTGAGGATTTCGTTGGAAGCGGGAATTCATACAAATTGCAGACTGCAGCGTTCTGAGAAACATCTTTGTGATGTTTGTATTCAGGACACAGAGTTGAACATTCCCTATCATAGAGCAGGTTGGAATCACTCCTTTTGTAGTATCTGGAAGTGGACATTTGGAGCGCTTTCAGGCCTATGTTGAAAAAGGAAATATCTTCCCATAACAACTAGACACAAGCATTCTCAGAAACTTGTTTGTGATGTGTGCCCTCTACTGACAGAGTTGAACCTTTCTTTTCATAGAGCAGTTTTGAAACACTCTTTTTGTAGAATCTGCAAGAGGATATTTGCATAGCTTTGAGGATTTCGTGGGAAACGGGATTGTCTTCAGGTAAAATCTAGACAGAAGCATTCTCAGAAACTTCTTTGGGATGTTTGCATTCAAGTCACAGAGTAGAACATTCCCTTTGGTAGAGCAGGTTTGAAACACTCTTTTTGTAGTATCTGGAAGTGGACATTTGGAGCGCTTTCAGGCCTATGTTGGAAAGGGAAATATCTTCCCGTAACAACTAGGCAGAAGCATTCTCAGAAACTTATTTGAGATGTGTGTACTCAACTAAGAGAATTGAACCACCGTTTTGAAGGAGCAGTTTTGAAACACTCTTTTTCTGGAATCTGCAAGAGGATATTTGCCTAGCCTTGAGGATTTCGTTGGAAACGGGATTGTCTTCAGATCAAATCTAGACAGAAGCATTCTCAGAAACTTCTTTGGGATGTTTGCATTCAAGTCACAGAGTAGAACATTCCCTTTGGTAGAGCAGGTTTGAAACACTCTTTTTTTAGTATATGGAAGTGGACATTTGGAGCGCTTTCAGGCCTACGTTGGAAAAGGAAATATCTTCCCATAACAACTAGACAGAAGCATTCTCAAAAACTAGTTTCTGATGTGTGTCCTCAACTAACACAGTTGAACATTTCTTTAGACAGAACAGTTTTGAAACTCTCTTTTTGTGGAATCTGCAAGTGGCTATTTGGCTAGATTTGAGGATTTCGTTGGAAACGGGATTACATATAAAAAGCAGACAGCAGCATTCTCAGAACGTTCTTTGTGATGATTGCATTCAAGTCACAGAATTGAACATTCCCTTTCACAGAGCAGGTTTGAAACACTCTTTTTGTAGTGTGTGTAAGTGGACATTTGGAGCACTTTCCGGCCTAAGGTGAAAAAGGAAATATCTTCCCATAAAAACTAGACAGAAGCATTCTCAGAAACTTACTCGTGATGTGTGTCCTCAACTAAAGGAGTAGAACCTTTCTTTTCATAGAGAAGTTTTGAAACGCTCTTTTTGTGGAATCTGCAAGTGGATATTTGGCTAGTTTGGAGGATTTCGTTGGAAGCGGGAATTCATACAAATTGCAGACTGCAGCTTTCTGAGAAACATCTTTGTGATGTTTGTATTCAGGACACAGAGTTGAACATTCCCTATCATAGAGCAGGTTTGAATCACTCCTTTTGTAGTATCTGGAAGTGGACATTTGGAGCGCTTTCAAGCCTATGTTGGAAAAGGAAATATCTTCCCATAACAACTAGACAGAAGCATTCTCAGAAACTTATTTGAGATGTGTGTACTCAACTAAGAGAATTGAACCACCGTTTTGAAGGAGCAGTTTTGAAACACTCTTTTTCTGGAATCTGCAAGTGGATATTTGGCTAGCTTTGGGGATTTCGCTGGAAGCGGGAATACATATAAAAAGCACACAGCAAGCGTTCTGAGAAACTGCTTTCTGATGTTTGCATTCAAGTCAAAAGTTGAACACTCCCTTTCATAGTGCAGTCCTGAAACACTCCTTTTGTAGTATCTGGAACTGGACTTTTGGAGCGCTTTCAGGGCTAAGGTGAAAAAGGAAATATCTTCCCATAAAAACTGGACAGAAGCATTCTCAGAAACTTGTTTATGCTGTATCTACTCAACTAACAAAGTTGAACCTTTCTTTTGATAGAGCAGTTTTGAAATGCTCTTTTTGTGGAATCTGCAAGTGGATATTTGGCTAGTTTTGAGGATTTCGTTGGAAGCGGGAATTCATACAAATTGCAGACTGCAGCGTTCTGAGAAACATCTTTGTGATGTTTGTATTCAGGAAACAGAGTTGAACATTCCCTATCATAGAGCAGGTTGGAATCACTCCTTTTGTGGTATCTGGAAGTGGACATTTGGAGCGCTTTCAGGCCTATGTTGGAAAAGGAAATATCTTCCCATAACAACTAGACAGAAGCATTCTCAGAAACTTATTTGAGATGTGTGTACTCAACTAAGAGAATTGAACCACCGTTTTGAAGGAGCAGTTTTGAAACACTCTTTTTCTGGAATCTGCAAGTGGATATTTGGCTAGCTTTGGGGATTTCGCTGGAAGCGGGAATACATATAAAAAGCACACAGCAGCGTTCTGAGAAACTGCTTTCTGATGTTTGCATTCAAGTCAAAAGTTGAACACTCCCTTTCATAGAGCAGTCCTGAAACACTCCTTTTGTAGTATCTGGAACTGGACTTTTGGAGCGCTTTCAGGGCTAAGGTGAAAAAGGAAATATCTTCCCATAAAAACTGGACAGAAGCATTCTCAGAAACTTACTCGTATTGTGTGTCCTCAACTAAAGGAGTAGAACCTTTCTTTTCATAGAGAAGTTTTGAAACGCTCTTTTTGTGGAATCTGCAAGTGGATATTTGGCTAGTTTTGAGGATTTCGTTGGAAGCGGGAATTCATACAAATTGCAGACTGCAGCGTTCTGAGAAACATCTTTGTGATGTTTGTATTCAGGACACAGAGTTGAACGTTCCCTATCATAGAGCAGGTTTGAATCACTCCTTTTGTAGTATCTGGAAGTGGACATTTGGAGCGCTTTCCGGCCTCAGGTGAAAAAGGAAATATCTTCCCATAAAAACTAGACAGAAGCATTCTCAGAAACTTACTCGTGATGTGTGTCCTCAACTAAAGGGGTAGAACCTTTCTTTTGATAGAGCAGTTTTGAAACACTCTTTTTGTAGAATCTGCAAGTGGATATTTCGATAGCTTTGTGGATTTCGTTGGAAACGGGAATATCCTCATATAAAAATCTAGAGAGAAGCATTCTCAGAAACTTGTTTATGCTGTATCTACTCAACTAACAAAGTTGAACCTTTCTTTTGATAGAGCAGTTTTGAAATGCTCTTTTTGTGGAATCTGCAAGTGGATATTTGGCTAGTTTTGAGGATTTCGTTGGAAGCGGGAATTCATACAAATTGCAGACTGCAGCGTTCTGAGAAACATCTTTGTGATGTTTGTATTCAGGACACAGAGATGAACATTCCCTATCATAGGAGCACGTTGGAATCACTCCTTTTGTAGTATCTGGAAGTGGACATTTGGAGCGCTTTCAGGCCTATGTTGAAAAAGGAAATATCTTCCCATAACAACTAGACACAAGCATTCTCAGAAACTTGTTTGTGATGTGTGCCCTCTACTGACAGAGTTGAACCTTTCTTTTCATAGAGCAGTTTTGAAACACTCTTTTTGTAGAATCTGCAAGAGGATATTTGCATAGCTTTGAGGATTTCGTGGGAAACGGGATTGTCTTCAGGTAAAATCTAGACAGAAGCATTCTCAGAAACTTCTTTGGGATGTTTGCATTCAAGTCACAGAGCAGAACATTCCCTTTGGTAGAGCAGGTTTGAAACACTCTTTTTGTAGTATCTGGAAGTGGACATTTGGAGCGCTTTCAGGCCTATGTTGGAAAGGGAAATATCTTCCCGTAACAACTAGGCAGAAGCATTCTCAGAAACTTATTTGAGATGTGTGTACTCAACTAAGAGAATTGAACCACCGTTTTGAAGGAGCAGTTTTGAAACACTCTTTTTCTGGAATCTGCAAGAGGATATTTGCCTAGCCTTGAGGATTTCGTTGGAAACGGGATTGTCTTCAGATCAAATCTAGACAGAAGCATTCTCAGAAACTTCTTTGGGATGTTTGCATTCAAGTCACAGAGTAGAACATTCCCTTTGGTAGAGCAGGTTTGAAACACTCTTTTTTTAGTATATGGAAGTGGACATTTGGAGCGCTTTCAGGCCTACGTTGGAAAAGGAAATATCTTCCCATAACAACTAGACAGAAGCATTCTCAGAAACTAGTTTCTGATGTGTGTCCTCAACTAACACAGTTGAACATTTCTTTAGACAGAACAGTTTTGAAACTCTCTTTTTGTGGAATCTGCAAGTGGCTATTTGGCTAGATTTGAGGATTTCGTTGGAAACGGGATTACATATAAAAAGCAGACAGCAGCATTCTCAGAAAGTTCTTTGTGATGATTGCATTCAAGTCACAGAATTGAACATTCCCTTTCACAGAGCAGGTTTGAAACACTCTTTTTGTAGTGTGTGTAAGTGGACATTTGGAGCACTTTCCGGCCTAAGGTGAAAAAGGAAATATCTTCCCATAAAAACTAGACAGAAGCATTCTCAGAAACTTACTCGTGATGTGTGTCCTCAACTAAAGGAGTAGAACCTTTCTTTTCATAGAGAAGTTTTGAAACGCTCTTTTTGTGGAATCTGCAAGTGGATATTTGGCTAGTTTGGAGGATTTCGTTGGAAGCGGGAATTCATACAAATTGAAGACTGCAGCGTTCTGAGAAACTGCTTTCTGATGTTTGCATTCAAGTCAAAAGTTGAACACTCCCTTTCATAGAGCAGTCCTGAAACACCCCTTTTGTAGTATCTGGAACTGGACTTTTGGAGCGATTTCAGGGCTAAGGTGAAAAAGGAAATATCTTCCCATAAAAACTGGACAGAAGCATTCTCAGAAACTTGTTTATGCTGTATCTACTCAACTAACATAGTTGAACCTTTCTTTTGATAGAGCAGTTTTGAAATGCTCTTTTTGTGGAATCTGCAAGTGGATATTTGGCTAGTTTTGAGGATTTCGTTGGAAGCGGGAATTCATACAAATTGCAGACTGCAGCGTTCTGAGAAACATCTTTGTGATGTTTGTATTCAGGACAGAGAGTTGAACATTCCCTATCATAGAGCAGGTTGGAATCACTCCTTTTGTAGTATCTGGAAGTGGACATTTGGAGCGATTTCAGGCCTATGTTGAAAAAGGAAATATCTTCCCATAACAACTAGACACAAGCATTCTCAGAAACTTGTTTGTGATATGTGCCCTCTACTGACAGAGTTGAACCTTTCCTTTCATAGAGCAGTTTCCAAACACTCTTTGTGTAGAATCTGCAAGAGGATATTTGCATAGCTTTGAGGATTTCGTTGGAAACGGGATTGTCTTCAGGTAAAATCTAGACAGAAGCATTCTCAGAAAACTTCTTTGGGATGTTTGCATTCAAGTCACAGAGCAGAACATTCCCTTTGGTAGAGCAGGTTTGAAACACTCTTTTTGTAGTATCTGGAAGTGGACATTTGGAGCGCTTTCAGGCCTATGTTGGAAAGGGAAATATCTTCCCGTAACAACTAGGCAGAAGCATTCTCTGAAACTTTTTTGAGATGTGTGTACTCAACTAAGAGAATTGAACCACCGTTTTGAAGGAGCAGTTTTGAAACACTCTTTTTCTGGAATCTGCTAGAGGATATTTGCCTAGCTTTGAGGATTTCGTTGGAAACGGGATTGTCTTCAGATAAAATCTAGACAGAAGCATTCTCAGAAACTTCTTTGGGATGTTTGTATTCAAGTCACAGAGTAGAACATTCCCTTTGGTAGAGCAGGTTTGAAACACTCTTTTTTTAGTATATGGAAATGGACATTTGGAGCGCTTTCAGGCCTACGTTGGAAAAGGAAATATCTTCCCATAACAACTAGACAGAAGCATTCTCAGAAACTTGTTTCTGATGTGTGTCCTCAACTAACACAGTTGAACTTTTCTTTAGACAGAACAGTTTTGAAACACTCTTTTTGTGGAATCTGCAAGTGGATATTTGGCTAGATTTGAGGATTTCGTTGGAAACGGGATTACATATAAAAAGCAGACAGCAGCATTCTCAGAAAGTTCTTTGTGATGATTGCATTCAAGTCACAGAATTGAACATTCCCTTTCACAGAGCAGGTTTGAAACACTCTTTTTGTAGTGTGTGTAAGTGGACATTTGGAGCACTTTCCGGCCTAAGGTGAAAAAGGAAATATCTTCCCATAAAAACTAGACAGAAGCATTCTCAGAAACTTACTCGTGATGTGTGTCCTCAACTAAAGGAGTAGAACCTTTCTTTTCATAGAGAAGTTTTGAAACGCTCTTTTTGTGGAATCTGCAAGTGGATATTTGGCTAGTTTGGAGGATTTCGTTGGAAGCGGGAATTCATACAAATTGCAGACTGCAGCGTTCTGAGAAACATCTTTGTGATGTTTGTATTCAGGACACAGAGTTGAACATTCCCTATCATAGAGCAGGTTGGAATCACTCCTTTTGTAGTATCTGGAAGTGGACATTTGGAGCGCCTTCAGGCCTATGTTGGAAAAGGAAATATCTTCCCATAACAACTAGACAGAAGCATTCTCAGAAACTTATTTGAGATGTGTGTACTCAACTAAGAGAATTGAACCACCGTTTTGAAGGAGCAGTTTTGAAACACTCTTTTTCTGGAATCTGCAATTGGATATTTGGCTAGCTTTGGGGATTTCGCTGGAAGCGGGAATACATATAAAAAGCACACAGCAGCGTTCTGAGAAACTTCTTTCTGATGTTCGCATTCAAGTCAAAAGTTGAACACTCCCTTTCATAGAGCAGTCTTGAAACTCCCCTTTTGTGGTATCTGGAAGTGGACATTTGGAGTGCTTTCAGGGCTAAGGTGGAAAAGGAAATATCTTCCCATAAAAACTGGACAGAAGCATTCTCAGAAACTTGTTTATGCTGTATCTACTCAGCTAACAAAGTTGAACCTTTCTTTTGATAGAGCAGTTTTGAAATGCTCTTTTTGTGGAGTCTGCAAGTGGATATTTGGTTAGTTTTGAGGATTGCGTTGGAAGCGGGAATTCATACAAATTGCAGACTGCAGCGTTCTGAGAAACATATTTGTGATGTTTGTATTCAGGACACAGAGTTGAACATTCCCTATCATAGAGCAGGTTTGAATCACTCCTTTTGTAGTATCTGGAAGTGAACATTTGGAGCGCTTTCCGGCCTCAGGTGAAAAAGGAAATATCTTCCCATAAAAACTAGACAGAAGCATTCTCAGAAACTTATTTGAGATGTGTGTACTCAACTAAGAGAATTGAACCACCGTTTTGAAGGAGCAGTTTTGAAACACTCTTTTTCTGGAATCTGCAAGTGGATATTTGGCTAGCTTTGGGGATTTCGCTGGAAGCGGGAAT